>NC_000021.9:37364249-37674203 GCF_000001405.40 Homo sapiens | reverse complement strand
AAAGGTTTGCTGCAGTAACTCAGCTGAGAGCTGACATTGGGGACAGGTTGGGTTGAAGGTGAAAAAGATGCCGTTGAGTTCCGCAAACCATATCTGGGGCATATTTCAGGGATCTGAAGGTTCTCCCCTGGCCCCACACTCCAGAATAGCCTGTTTACACTGGCTAGAGGGCAGTTAGACTTCACATGGTTGGGATATGCTGTCATCACTAAGGGAAATCACAGGGCTCAAAGTCACAGCATGGAAGCAAACAGGTAAACCCTGAGGGAACAGCATCAGCTCTCCCTGCTCTTTGGCCATCTTCTCTCCCAAGGCTCCTCCAGGTGTCTCCGATGTGCAGCCAGGATGAGCCCCAATGAGAGCCCCTTCCCCTTCTTTCCTCCACTGGTTTGCCTGATCAACTCCTACTCATCCTTCAAAGCCCAGCACATCTTTTGTAAAGACTTCCCTGCTTCAGTCCTGCCTAGAGAATCCCTCCCTTCCCTGTCCCCCTCTAACTCTGAACACACCTCTAAAATTAAACATACCCATCTGTCTGCTGGTTATGCATGTCAGTGCCTGTGTCCTCATTTCTGTCTCATCCCTGTGTCCCTGTGTTGTGTCCTATCCACAACAGGTGTGTGATGAGTGAGTTGGACACAACACAGACACAAGTGAGCCCAGCCACTGGGCCAGGAAAAGTGCTGCTCTGAGATGCACCCTCATTTCTGAAGCTGAGAGACAAATCCTATCCCTGAGAAAAGGAAGCCTGGAGCCCCAGGAAGGAGGATGGATGAGCTCCAAGGAGCCGGCTCCTGGAAAGAAACAGGACTGGAAGAGGGGGAGGGGACAGGGGCAGCCCAGCCAAAGGAAGCTGCAGGACAGTCCAGCTGGAGATGGAAGCCTCCCAGTAATGGGACCACCCAGGAAAGCTGATGGACAACCACCCACTTCCCTAGCTCCAGCAGGCTGCCCCTGGGCCTATCGGCCATAGCCCTAGAGATGGTTCAGGTCCCAACCCTCTTCCTCCAGCCTCTGCTCCATTTCCACCACTCCTCTTTCCCTCATGCTGTCTTACCTGTCCCCGTCTCCTCTCAATTCTTCTTCTCCTCCTTTGTTTTCTCTCTCTCATTTTGCATTCAATAATGAATATTATTGCTCATTAAAAACGTTTTGAGAATAATGTAAAAAGGAGACTTTTATAGCATTTACCACACTTAAAAGAAAAATCTGGCCTGGACAATGTAGCAAGACTCTGTCTCTACAAAAAATAAAATAATTAACAGGGCACAGCAGCATGCACCTGTAGTCCCAGCTACTTGGGAGGCTGAGACAGGAGGACCACTTTAGCCCAGGAGTTCGAGGCTGCAGTAAGCTGTGATGGTACCACTGCACTCCCACCTTAGCCACATAGCCAGATCCTATCTCAAGAAAACAGAGAGAGAGAGAAGAAAGAAAGAGAAAGGAAGGGAAGGGAAGGGGAAGGGAGAAAAAGAGAAAGAGAGAAAAACCTACCATCTCCTTACATGTGTATTACATCTTTATTTCCTTTTTGATTAGGTAAAAAGTCCAAGTGAAACAACCATAGCTGATAAGTTTATACTAAGCTAAGGATATACCATGTATCTTGAACTTTAACATTTTCAAGTAAAAAGAGATGTCAGAGAACCCAAACTGACTTATGAAAAAAGAAAAAAAAATTGAGGATGTCTTAGCTCATACAACCAAAAACCCAGGGGGAGAGGACTTCCGATGCTGCCGGTTCCTAGGCGCTGAGATGACCCCCAGACCCAGCTCCTTTTCTCCAGGTCTCCTGCTTTCCCTTCCTTCTGCATCACCGTCATCCTTAGACTACTTCTTTCATGGTAGCAGAAGTGTCCACCACATTTCAGGCCCCAACTTCTCACAAGCAGAAGAGTCAGGATCTCTTCCAGAAGCTTCCACAGAAAAGAGAAGCTTCCTTCCTAGAAGCTAAAGCTATATTTCTTTGCATCTCATTGTCCTTAAGGAGGTCATATGCCATTTCCGACCCAATCACTGGGGACAAGCAGATGAGCTCTATGGACTTGCTTAAGCCAAGCAGGGATCACCCTTAAGAGATGGGGTCAATCCCTCCTAGACTACAGGTAGAGAATGGGTCAAGACACAATTCCCTCCAGAGCAATTAAGTAAAAAAAAGAAACAGAAAGTATTCCAATTGGAAAGAAGTAAAACTAGTTCTATTCAAAGATAACATGATCTTATACAGAGAAAACCCCAAAGAATCCACAAAAATACTACGAGAGCCAATAAACAAATTCAGAAAAGTTGTAGAGTACAAGATCAACACAAAAAAAAATGTTGAATTTCTATACATAAGGACCTAGGAAGAAACAAACTCCGCATCTCGTACTATACTCTTACAACAGATAACACTTCCATGACTCCAGAGGGCTGTTGGGGTTTCTCCAACAACAACCAGTGCTGCAGGTCATTCTCCAGTGGACACCCCTGTGTGTTCCCTAATTCAGTTCAGCTCTGACACTGTCTACCTGCAGGCAGTGTCAGATCCCACAGGGTGAGGGCTCAGCCCCACAAGCCTGCCCCACCCCGGCAGATGCCAGTCGCAAGCACAGGTTGTGGCCTGTGCTTCTGACCAACTGGCTGTAAATTGGGAGTTCCCGCAACCCCATCCTGGGATTCAATTAATTTGCGAAAGCAGTTCACAGAACTCAGGGAACCACTCTACTTACACCTACCCATTTATTATAAAGGATATAATTAAGGGTACAGATGAGCAGCCAGAAGGAAGAAGGGTACAGGGCAAAGTGTGGGAGAAGAGGCAAGAAGAGGGGCACGCCCTCCCTGGGTTAACCCCTTCCAGGAACATCCATGTGTTCAGCTTTCCAGAAGCCCCCAGAACTCAGTCCTTTTGCTTTTCTATGGAAGCTTCATTATGTAGGCATGAGTAATGATATCATTGGCCATTGGTGATCAACTGAACCTTCAACCCCCTTCCCTTCCCTGGAGGTTGGGGGTGGGACCGAAAGTCTCAACCTTCTAATCATGCCATGGTCTTTCAGGTGGCCAGCCCCCACCCGGAAGCTATCTAGAGGTCTGCAGCTGCCAGTCATCTCAGTAGCAAACAAAAGACATTCTTAACACTCCAGAGATTCTAGTGGTTTTAGGAGCTATGTATCAGGAAATGGGATAAAGGCCAAATATATATTTCACAATATCACAATACACTAGCAATGGACAATTCAAAAAGGAAATTAAGAAAACAGGCCCATTGACAATAGCATCCAAAAAATGAAATAAAATACCTAAGTTCAAACCAAGGAAGTGAAAACTCATATACTGAAAATCATAAGGTCCTGCTGAAAGAAATGAAAGAATATCTAAATAAATGGAATAACATCCTGTGCTTATAGGTTGGAGGGCTTAATATTATTTTTGCTTTGTTTTGTTTTGTCTTTTTGAGACAGGGTCTTATTCTGTCACCCAGGCTGGAGTGCAGTGGCACGATCTTGGGTGACTGCAGCCTCTGCCTCCCAGGCTCAAGTAATTCTCCCACCTCAGCCCTCCAAGTAGCTGGGACTACAAGCATGCACCACCATGCCCAGCTAACTTTTGTATTTTTAGGAGAGACATGGTTTCACCACGTTGCCCCGGCTGGTTTCAAACTCCTGAGCTCAAGTTATCTGCACACCTCAGCCTCCCAAAGTGCTGAGATTACAGGTGTGAGCCACTGCACTCAGCCCAGGCTTAATATTATTAAGATGGCAGTACTACCCAAAGTGATCTGCAGATTTAATGTTATCCCTGCCAAAATTCCAATGGCCATTTTGCAGAACTAAAAAGCCCAATCCTCAAGTTCATATGGAAATGCAAGGGTCCCCAAATGGCCAAAACAATGCTGAAAAAGAACAAAATTAGAAGATTCACACTTCCTCATTTCAAAACTTACTATAAAACTATAGTAATTAAAGCAGTGACTGAATATAAGGCATAAGGATGGACATCTAAACCAGTGGAATAGAATTTAGAGTCCAGAAATAAACCTGCACACCTTAGAATAATTGACTTTCATGAGGACACTAAGATCATTTAATGGGAAAGAATCCTCTTTTCAACAAATGGTGCTGGGACAACTAGATATATACATGCAAAAGAATTAGTTGAAACTCTACCTCATACATTTGCAAAAATAAACTCAAAATGCATCAAGACCTAAATAGAGGAGCAAAAGCTGTAAGACTCTTTAGAAGAAAACACAGGGGTAAATCTTCATGACTTCGGATTCATCAATGGATTCTTAGCTGTGACACCACAAGTACAGGCAACAAAAGAAAAATATAAATATAACTTCATCAAAATAAAAAACTTGTATGCATTGAAATACATTATCATGAAAGTGAAAGACAACATACAGAATGGGAGAAAATATTTTCAAATTATTTTCAAATATTTTGAATATCCATCTTAACCATGTTATTCCAGCTACAATTCTGTGAAGACATTTCAGAGTCTCTGCATATTTCCTTATTGTAAGCTCCAAACAGTAGATTCAGCATCATGAAAATGTCCAAAGCATTGTTGTTTTTATCCCTGCATTATAGCAGAGATGCATATGCACATTCACACACACACACACACACACACACAACACACACAGACTTCATGCTCCCCAACACCACCTACCATCTCCCTAAAGATACAAAGAACTGATTGGCATCAAGCAGAGATTTCTTTGAGGCTTCCCTGTTTTGTTTTCATTGAGCTTTGAATTTGTAGTATGTCAGCAAAAAAAGGCAAACTCTGTAAACTACTTAAAGAGGTTTATTCTGAGCCAAATATGAATGACCAGGGCCCAAAGCACAGTCTCAAGAAGTCCGGAGAACATGTGCCCAAGGTGACTGGGTTACGGCTTGGTCATATACGTTTTAGGGAGACATAAGACCTCAATCAATACATGTGAGGTATAAATTGTTTAGTTCTGGAAAGGCAGGACAACTGGAAGGTGGGGGGGTGCCTTACAGGTCATAGGTGGATTCAAAGATTTTCTGATTGGCAATTGGTTGAAGAGTTAAGTTATTATCTAAAGACCTAGAATCAATAGAAAGGAGTGTTTGGGTTAAGATAAGGGGTTGTGGAGACCAGGGTTCTTGTTATGTAGATGAAGTCTCATAGGTAGCTGCCCTTTGAGACAATAGATGGCAATGTTTCCTATTTAGATCTTTTAAAGGTGCTAATCTCTTCTGGATTGGGAGGGCCTGGAAGGGGAAATACCTAGTTATATTATTAGAGATTCCTTACAGATGCAAATTTTGCATCACGAAAGCCAGCTTTGCAGCACCATTTCAAAGTATAGCAAAGAAACCTATTTTGGGATAAAATATTTTGATATCCTCCTTTACCTGTCATGTGATGTTATACTAGAGTCAGTATATAATTTGCAAAAAGGATCCTTCTCCTTCCTCAGCAGAATTGGAGTGCCCCAAAGTTCAGATGAGTAAGAAAGTGGAGAAGCTCAGAGGCCGTGCAGGCCAGCTTCCTCCAACCAGCACGGGTGCGGCATCCACACCCAGGCTCAGACAGGAAGACACAGGCCTCCGGATGCTGCTGTGGGCCGAGGTGTATCTCCCAATCTGCCTATGTTGAAGTCCTAACCCCCCATACCTCAGCATGTGGCTGTATTTGGAGGTAGGGCCTTTAAAGAAGTGATTAAGGTAAACGAGGCCATTAGGGTGGGCCCTCATCCAACCTAACTGGTGTCCTTATAAGAATAGGAGATTAGGACACAGACACAGACACACACAGAGGGGTGACCCTGTGAGGACCCAGGGAGGAGAGGGCATCTGTAAGCCAAGGAGAGAGAACTGTGTTATTTAAGGCGCCATCTGTGGTTTCCCTTGAGGCAGTTCTGGGGAGCTCCTACAGGCTCCCATTACCCCTGGGGCACTAGCACTCCTCCAACTCCTCACGTGGGGCTGAACATGGGTCTGAAGGCCTCTATGGGTTTTGGAGAGGGCTCTGAGGCAGAAGACCAGAGAAGCCCCCATCAAGCACTGGAGGGGGTATGCTTTCAGCATGCACAGAACTGCCCCACACACCCGAGCTGAGGCCCTGGGGCTGTGGGCTCCGTCCCCAAGGGAGCCAGGCACCAGTGGTTCTCAGCTGCGCCCACTGATCAGACCATGGCGTGAGCTTTCAGCAAATGTCCACTGCATCCAATGACATCAGAATTGTGGAGTAAAGCCCAGGCCCCTGCGCTTTTAAGAAGCTCCAAGGAGCTCTGGCATGCCTCCTGGAGGAGGACACCACTCCAGGAGTGGCACTTGCTTCTCTGTGCCCAGAGTCGAGGTAGGCTCTGGCCCAACTGCACGAGATGGACCTAGGACAGTGGTTCTCAGTCAAGGGCAAGTTTTGTCCCCCGGGAGACAGAGGGCAATATATGGAGGCATTTTGGATGTCACAATGGGGTGAGAGGACTCTGCTACTGGCACCCTGTGATCAGAGGCAGAGAATGCTGCTAAACACCCTGCAGTGCCGACCCCGGAGCCCGCTACCCCGGACCTGCTACCCGGCGCCTGCTACCCTGGACCTGCTACCCCGGTGCCTGCTACCCCAGACCCCGCTACCCTGGCTCCTGCTACCCCAGCACCCACTACCCTGGAGCCTGCTACCCCGGCGCCCGCTACCCCGGACCCCGCTACCCCGGCGCCCACTACCCCAGCGTCCTCTACCCCAGCTCCCGCTACCCCGGCGCCTACTACCCCTGATGTCCTATTGAGTCATTCCAAGTCCTGGAATTATTTGGACTGACCCTAGGCTTAGCTGAATCCCCCTGGTCCAGACAGGATGGGCTTGTTACAAGAGGTCCTATGTGATGAGGGAAAGGTGTTGCTAAACGCCCCCCACAGTAGAGAATTCTCCAATTCAAAATGTGGAACCCTGGCCTGGATATATGAAGAGGGAACAAAAGGAACTCACACTCATCGGCCCTTGTTACATATCCAGTTTGGGTCTGGACACTTTGCCTGCGTTGCCTCATTTAATTTTTTTTTTTTTTTTTTTTTTTTTTTTTTAGTATTTATTGCTCATTCTTGGGTGTTTCTCGGAGAGGGGGATGTGGCAGGGTCATAGGATAATAGTGGAGAGAAGGTCAGCAGATAAACAGGTGAACAAAGGTCTCCGGTTTTCCTAGCCAGTGGTCCCTGCGGCCTTCCACAGTGTTTGTGTCCCTGGGTACTTGAGATTAGGGAGTGGTGATGACTCTTAACGAGTATGCTGCCTTCAAGCATCTGTTTAACAAAGCACATCTTGCACCGCCCTTAATCCATTTAACCCTGAGTTGACACAGCACATGTTTCAGAGAGCACGGGGTTGGGGGTAAGGTTATAGATTAACAGCATCCCAAGGCAGAAGAATTTTTCTTAGTACAGAACAAAATGGAGTCTCCTATGTCTACTTCTTTCTACACAGACACAGTAACAATCTGATCTCTCTTTCTTTTCCCCACATTTCCCCTTTCTTTTCGACAAAACTGCCATCGTCATCATGGCCCGTTCTCGATGGTCACTGTCTCTTCAGAGCTGTTGGGTACACCTGCAGAAAGGCTGTCACTTTACACTTGGAAGATTGCACAGTGGCCAGGCAGAGGCACTCCTCACTTCCCAGACGGGGTGGCGGCCGGGTACCTCATTTAATTTTTAAAGGGAAAACAATGAACGATGTACTAGCATTGTATCCCCATTTTACAGATTGGGAAATTGCATCTCAGAGAGGCAAGGTGACTTGCTGAGACAGCACAGCCAGCAAGGGTTGGGGTTGGATGTCCTGGCACCTCGGAGCAGCTCATGGTGCTCATCCCACAGGAGCCCCTGAGCCAAGTCACCCAGTCCAAACCGTGAGAGTCAGCTCAGCCTCAGGTCAGCCTGAGGAATCCCAGGGGAAGGGGAGTGAGGACTTGGTCCTACTCAACAGGAAGCCAGAACTAGGGGTTCTTGGGCCACTAGAAGCTGACCTTGCCATTCCCAGATCTCTGCCTGTGTACCCATCTTCTCCCCTCTGAGCCTCTGCCCAAGGATAGGATCCCTTCACTCCCGCTTCTGTGGTTTGGGAAGGATCACTCCACCTGTGCAAGCCATGTCTTCTAACCTGCAACATGGGAAGTGATAAAACCTTGCTTTCAGGTTTCAGGGTGGCTGTGGGTATGAAATGACATCATGGTAGCAACTAGCCAATCCAGCAACTAGCTGGGCCTGCTCATTTCTGGCTCCTTTTTCTACCTGCATCCAGTGAGAGGCCACTCTCTGCCCCCAGCTCCACTCCTCCAGGAAGCCTTATGACAACTCCCTGCTTGGAGTAACTAAACAAGCAAACCTCTGGCACCAGCTCACACATCACCCTCAGCTGCTGTCCAACTCTCTGTCGAGATAATTGTGTTTCTCAGATACACTTTGAATTACTAAACAGCAGCAACGCTCGGCTACAAAAATTGTCTGTGATACTTGAGGGAGGGATGAATGATGTCAGCGAGCAGACACTTGGTCGACCTAAAACTGTATTTTAGTCTTGTTCCTCCCTTCCTTGTCCACTGAGAGAGGAAGGAAAGGTTGGCACACCTGCATTGAGCTGTCCAAATCCAGCTCTACCTCATACCAGCATGGAGACTCACTCACCAAGGTTGCAATCTCCCTGCTAGAAATTCAGCGGAGTAATTAAAAATTACTTTCCTATCTGATCTGGCTGTTTCTCTTTACAATTCAGAGCTACTTCCGATTCCCATGAGGTTCGTCCACATCCTGCCAATTGCTAAATGTTTATTGTAAAACCAGAGAACAATGACTACCTCATTCCTGGAGAAATAATGCTTTCAATGATCGCATGGACTTATACAGACGACTGGCACCATGGCCTGCCTTGCCAGGGAGGCTCTCTTGGGAACCATCAATAATCATAAATAATGATAATAATAGTTACTGTTTATTTAATGCATCCTATGTGCCAGTGAACCTTTCTCTTGCTTGCTGCAAGATACTTCTATTCATTATCTGCTTTAATCTTCACAGGGATCCAGTGAGATTTGTGCCATTGTTGACCCATTTGGCAAATGACTAAACCAAGGCTTAAAAGGAATATTCTTGCCAGGCGTGGTGGCTCATGTCTGTAATCCCAGCACTTTGGGAGGCTGAGGCAGGCGGATCCCAAGGTCAGGAGATCGAGACCATCCTGGCTAACACGGTGAAACCCCGTCTCTACTAAAAAATACAAAAAATTAGCCGGGCGCGGTGGCAGGCACCTGTAGTTCCAGTTACTCGGGAGGCTGAGGCAGGAGAATGGTGTGAACCGGGAGGCAGAGCTTGCAGTGAGCCAAGATTGCGCCACTGCACTTCAGCCTGGGCAACAAAGCGAGACTCCATCTCAAAAAAAAAAAAAAAAAAAAAAGGAATATTCTTTCTTTTTCCAATCTCCATAACGTTGGAATTATCTATTCCTTAAATGTTTGGGAAAACTCAGAGTAAAACACCATCTAGCATTTTCTTTCTATGAACTCTTTTAACTACTGATTTCATTTCTTTAATAGTTATAGGACTATTCAAGTTTTTCTATTTGTAACTGAGTCAGTTTTTGTAAGTAATATTTTTTAGATCTTTGTTTATTTCATATAAAGTTTCCAATTTGCTGGTATGAATTCATGATATTTCTTAAAATATTTTTACTGCATCTTTTGTTATGCACACTTTTTAATTTCAGATATTGTGTATTTAAATTATATATTTTTTTACTGTATTAATCTCATCAGGGATTGGTCAATTTCACTTACCTCCAAAGAATCAACTTTAATTCTTCCCATTGCACAGTTGTTTTCTATTTGGTTACTTTCTGCTGTCATCTTTATTGTCTCTTTATTTCTTTTTCTCTGGCTGAATTCTGTTACTTTTTCTCTCTAATTTCTTAAAGTGGGTGTTTCGCTCATTATTTTTCTTTCTTCTTTTTTTCTAATGTAATTTAGGGTTCATTTTCCAAGAGTCAGTTTTACCCCAAAACTTTTTATATGTAGTTTTTTATTCTATTGTTCAATTCTAAGAGCTAATTCCTATGATGTTGGATTATTAACTGATAAATTATTTAGATTCAACTTTATTTTATTTCCAAAAGTATGGTGTTTTATTAGTCTTCTTTGCTACTGACTTCTTAATTAATTTCATAATAATTGGATAATGTGAACTGAATGATAGTTTCTTTGGGACTTATAAAGACTTACTTGCTAACGTTGTACATGGTAAATATCCAGTGTTCTGTAGGTGCTTAAAAAGAATGCAAGGCCAGCTGTGGGATGCAGTGTTTGTCATGTGTTCATGAGGCTAAGCTTGCTAATTGTGTTCTTCATAGGTATGCGTATATTCTTACTGATTTTTGTCTATTAATTTAATTTTTCAATTACTGATAGAGCTGTCATTATGATGGTGACTGTGTCCATTTCATCTTGTACTCTTGGTTTTTTCTACTGTGAAACTGTATTATTAGATGTATATAATCAGTATTCTTCTCCTGGTGAGTAGAATCTTTCATCATTATGGTGACCCTTTCATCTCTTGCAATACCTTTTGCCTTCATCCATGTTGTCCCATATTAGTATAGCTATACCACTGTTCTTTTTGATTAATATTTGTTTGATATATCCCTTCCTATTATTTTAGCTTCAACTTTTCTATGCCCTTTTGTTTGGGGAGTGCCTCTTGTAAACAGTATGTAGCTGGATTTTTTTTTTTTGTTTCATGAAACTCTCTTTGTCTTTTAACTAGAGAATTAGCTGAGTGCTCTAAGACAGTGGTCTTCAACTTTTTTGCTCACATACTCCTTAAACATTTGGGAAAACTATTAGGCCTCTCACATATTTTTAATTTGACATCCAGAATTTTTATTATAAGCTTAAATAATTATAAAAGATGTTTTTTCTAGCATACTGTAAATACTGACATAAACAATTACAGAACTCATGTAAATAGATCCCATGGAATATAAATTTACAACAATTCAATACCCATCATCGTCCACTAAAAAAACACAAGTCAAGCCTTTCTTTAAACATCTGGAGTTTTAGAGTATCCTTTTCTTCCTTGAACTTTTATTTCCATTTCATCTCACCTACAGAATTTTATCCTAATATATTAAATTTTTTTTGCTTCCAAGTATTTTTTAATCACCCTCTCAGACCTCTCTGCAACAAGAATATGTATACAAAATTTAAAATATTAAAAATCTTATCAAAAACAAACCACCTCATTAAAAAGTGGGCAAAGGACATGAAAAGACACTTCTCAAAAGAAGACATTTATGTGGCTGATGAACATACGAGAAAAGAACTCAACATCACTGGTCATTCAAGAAATGCAAATCCAAAACCACAATGAGATACCATCTCACGCCAGTCAGAATGGTGATTATAAAAAAGTCAAGAAATAACAGATGCTGGCGAGGATGTGGAGAAATAGGAATGTTTTTACACTGTTGGTGGGAATGTAAATTAGTTAATCATTGTGGAAGACAGTCTGACGATTCCTCAAAGACCTAGAACCAGAAATATCATATGACCCAGCAATCGCATTACTGGGTATATACCTAAAGGAATATAAATCATTCTATTACAAAGATACATGCATGCATATGTTCATTGCAGCACTATTCACATAACAAAGACATAGAATCAACCCAAATGCCCACAATGATAGACTGGATAAAGCAAATGTGGTACATATACACCATGGAATACTATACAGCCATAAAAAGGAATGAGATCATGTCCTTTGCAGGGACATGGATGAAGCTGGAATAATGGAAGCCATTATCCTTAGCAAACCAACACAGGAACAGAAAACCAAGCACCACATGTTCTCACTTATAAGTGGAAGCTGAACAATGAGAACACATGGACAGAGCGAGGGGAACAACACACACTCAGGCCTGTCAGGGATGGGGATGGGGAGGGAGAGCATCAAGAAAAACAGTTAATGCTTGCTGGGCTTAGTACCTAGGTGATGGGTTGATAGATGCAGCAAACCACCATGGCACACATTTACCTATGTAACAAACCTGTACATCCTGCACATGTATCCTGGAACTTAAAATATAAAAATAAAAATAAATAAAATTTTCTCTGATCACAAGACTGCAAGGATTAAATTGTTTTCTTCTAGATAGTTATTATAACATAAGCAGAACGCAAATGATCAAAACATAAATATATTAAGTTTTGGTAAATAATTTTTAAGTACAAATAGTAAAATTTTATTAGAATTATGTCTCTTAGGCTGGGCGCAGTGGCTCAAGCCTGTAATCTCAGCACTTTGGGAGGCCGAGGCAGGCAGATCACGAGGTCAGGAGATCGAGACCATCCCAACTAACACGGTGAAACCCCGTCTGTACTAAAAAAAAAAATAGAAAAAATTAGCGGGGCATGGTGGCCGGCGCCTGTAGACCCAGCTACTCAAGAGGCTGAGGCAGGAGAATGGCGTGAACCTGGGAGGCGGAGCTTGCAGTGAGCGAGATCGCGCCACTGCACTCCAGCCTGGGCGACAGAGAGAGACTCCAGTCTCAAAAAAAAAAAAAAAAAAAAAAAAAACTATGTCTCTTAAGGAAATGGGTGGAGCTTCTAATTTTTTTACATGTAGCTATAGATTAATATGACTTACTGGTAGTCTAAGGCAGGATTCAGCATTACTTCTGTTCCAATCTTTATTAGTTTAGATATATGCACTTATGAACATTATTCTCAAAATTACAGAAAAGGGAAGAAATGAGTATTGATGTAGCACATCACTCTGTTCTATGAACCCCTTTGGAGTCATTTGTTATTAAAAATCACGTGCTGATTAATCATGGAAAGTTATTTTAAATTACCCATAAGCTGTTTCCGTTTTGTTAAAAGCAAATAATTAGAACCCACCTATCTTACAAAAGTTACTAGTCATTTGTTACTAGTCATTATAGACAGTCACATTCTCACTTTCAAGGAATTATACCAAAAGGTGGGAGTGGGGAGGGGGTCTTATCAACAGTTATCAAATAACTATTAATCTGTTACTCATAGTTAGAAAAGCCTCTTTTAGCCTGATATCCTGTGAAAATTTCAGAAACATAGAGATAGTATGAATTTCAATAGACCCTTGCAAAAAAAGTTGAATATGGATTTACAATATTCAATTGTATTTTGGCCAAAAGATCATGAAAGTGTTTTCCCTGTAAATGTTGAAGAAACTAAGACACTATCTTACCTCTATCCTATGTGACTTTCTGTCAGAGATGTTCCATCAATCTGCTTAGGTGTGCACATTTTCACTTTCTCAACCTTAAAATCATGCAAATGATCCAACCAAGGCACAGACGGGGACACCGATGGGAGACAGGCCTTACCAAGATTAGCGGTGTCAATTAAGGCCAAACGGGTGCCCTCTGGTGCAGTGCCTGGCCCGCAGTAAGCGTGCTCTCCAACAAGCTCCCTCCAGCCCTGGTGGTGAGCATGACAGCAGCATGCTCTGAACCTCATGGAGAGTCCCAGCACGCCTTCTCCCCATCCCAAATTATTTCTAACACAGGTACGCCAGTGAGGTGTGTGTTTGCTGCCTGGGTGACATGAGCTACCATCGTCTACAAGTCTTTGTTTGGTCCTTATGGGAACAATGCATTCTGTGGCCATAGTAGGGAATGGAAGGGGCAAGGTCATTAAAGGAAAATCAGCATCCCATGTGCTAGCCCACTCTACAACTCAAATGAATTCAGAACCTCACAGCTGGGCCAGAACACCCCACGACCAGTGCTTCCCATTCAGGGTAGAGCATGGGAGAGAAGGAGAGCCCCGAAGCCAGCCTGGGGCACATGATGCCACTATTAGAAGGGTGTCCAACAGCACTGATATTTCTTATCTCTCGCCCCTTTGTCTAGGGCCTTGCACCCTGTGGCAGGAATCCTGGTAAAACATGGCCTTTCTTGGTCAAGTTGGAGGGGACCAGTTGTGAAAGAAAAAAGGAAGAGAGTGTAGGTGTGTGCCCAGGCAGGTGCCTCTTGGGAAAGCTGCCTGGACAGTGAGCTCTGCACGTGAGTCTCACCCAAGCTGCTGTGCCAAGTCCCCAGGAAGTGGGCACACCAAAGCCACCTGAGGTCATGGGGTTAGCACCTGCCCCAGGGCAGCCTCCCTCCAGCATTCCTGCAGCTCTCTGGACTTTGGCATCCTCTTTTGACCTCTGAACACTTCCCTTTCTTTTTAACTTTGTCATGTGCAGCCATCTACATTTCTGAAATATAGCCAGCATTTTAAACATTACAGAGGGAGACAGTTTTCTGAGTTCTCTAGACAGCCATGTTGCCAGAGATGATAGTGATGGGTAGTTTTATAAAAGGTTTTGAATCACTGCTCATTGGAGAGGGCATGAAGAAGCCAAAAGTGGACAAGGTTGAATCCTGAAGCAGCAAACGTTAGAAAGAGTCATATCTATGGAGGCTTCAGGTATCAGGGATGATTGTGGTCCAGGCATTGGGTCAAGGCAAGTCCCACATCAGATGGGGAAATTGAGGCTATAGCCCTGTACCCACTCAGACTCCTGAGTACCCCAGGTCGGGGGGATCTGAGGCAGTGGCTGGAGCCAGCAGCCTGCCCTCCAGCTAGACTGCATTTCTGCTCTTTCCTCTGCCCTTCCCTCTTTTAGTTTTCCGCTCTTCTTTCTCTTTTTCCATTCTCATCTTCTTCTCTGTCACATCTCAGACCTGCCCAAGGAGGGCTGGTAGCATCTGAAGCACTTGGGGTTGCAAAGGACCTGCCATGTGTGAGGGGTTGCCACAGGCCCCTACTCCACCACATCAAGGGCTTTGCTGTCCGCGAGGATGTTCTGAGACATGGGGCTCACCCTGCCTCCCTTGGGTCACACCTTTTGGTGCATGTCCATGACTTATTTGGTGCTCAGTTCGTGGTCAGGAATGCAGCCTCACAGTGACACATCGTTCTTGTGGAACAACATGATCTGATCTGTGATTCAGTTTCCAGGAGTTCCTGGAAAAAAAAGAAAAACAGGGACTGCGTGGAACTCTTCTTCTGGACTCCACCAGGGGCCCTGAGAGCACAGTTTTGACACAGGTGCAGTAAGTTCTTAGCAACTGAAGCCCTTACAAAGTAGCAAAGCATTCCATGCTGGGAAACTTCATTTTAAAAACATCTTGTTTGAGAAACGAGTTAGGAGTGTTCCCAACTTGGCTTCCAGCTAATGTAAACACTGAAAACAAATTAATCATTTGGAGAAAGAGAACAAGGAGTTTAATGTTTTGAAGTGTGGGAGCCAACATTTCCAGATGGACTCTTCATGTGTTGGGGTCAGAAAGGAAAGAGGACCAGCCTGGGCATTGGAGGATCTGGGTAGCCCTGGGCTCCGCTACTGGCCAGCTGAATGGCCTGGGGCAAAGGACCACTGCCTCTGTTTCTTCACCTGCAATAAGAGGAGTGAGGAACGCCCTCTGAAGTCCCTTCCACCCCAGTGAGCCAGCACTCTTGGCCTCAGCGTCCCTTCCCCTCCTGTAAGCGCTGCCTCTGGAGCTTACATTGCCTAGTGTGCACTTGGGAGAGTGAGCAAAGTATCTGGGTATATTTTCTCTTTTCATCTATTCTGCAGACAAGCCAAAAAAGGAAAAAAAGGAAAGAAAAAATCTCTCTGTATCACCACCACCCATTTCTTCGGGGCTTTCTAAATCTATCACAAAGTTGCCTGCTAACATCGCTTAGCCTGCTTGCTGCAACATTCTAGCAAATGAAAAGCTCTTCTCAGATGTTCTGCACTGCAGATATTTCAGGACCCATTTTAAATGGCTGCAAAGCAGCAGAAACTTGACAGAGAAATTCCCCCACGTGGGTAGGCATTTCCAAGAAACCTCAGTTTTCTCATCCAAGCTAAATCGCAATGTCATGCTCGTCTTCAGGGACCAAATACTTCCATCTCTCCATTTAATTCACTGTGCGTTCCTGCTGTATGCTTGAGGTGCTCTGATCTCTTTTATTTTCCACTTAATCTCTAAAATGAATGTCTGAGTCGTGACCACTGTGAAATCAGTTAATTGAGCCCTTACTGCAGTGTTCCCTGCCCCCACCAGGTTAGAAGCAATTCTGTTCCACACAGAATAAAGTAACCTGTAAATATTTGCAGGAATAAGAGCCTCGTTTTAAGAGAAAACCCACAAACTACAAAAATGAATCTTGAAGCCTAAGACCAGCCCTGCAAGGCAAGGCAAGGAAAACCTGGGTGGCCAAAGATCTGAGTTCAAATCCCGACTCACCACTCTACCAGCTTGCAGAACCATCACTGGAAAGACACCGTCGTGAAATACTGATTTCTCAGATGCCGTCTCCCCCAGAAAATTCCCTTCATGGAGCAGGGACTTTTCTAAACCAGAGGGTGGCCTGGGCGGGTCAGTTATGAGAAATTACCACTTTCTCTACTACCTCTTCTCTAAGACCTCACTTAACTGAATTTTCATCAGGAATGATATGGGCAAAATTAGAAGACTGATTTTCACTGAGTCCAGAAAGTGAGGGGCACCCCTCTGGTTTGTTACAGGCACCCAACGATCCCAGCTGAGTCCCCAATCTCTTTGAGAGGAGGGAGAGGAGAGGAAGGGGTCCTAGTGAACCCCTGTCAAGCTGGGAGCAGGCAGCCTCAGTGCTTGTGCTACTAAGGAAGAGCAGGAACTATTTTCTGGGCACACTAGGCAGACCCTCACCTGTCTCAGAATCCCCCGTCCTTATGGCAGAGAAGGTTCCCAGGGCTCCCACTGCTGAGCCTCACCCCAGACCCACCCCTAAGGTTTTCAGGGCCAGAACAAGAGCACAAATGGGGCCCCCAGGACATGCCTCTTCTCTCCCACCCTTATCTCCTGTCTCATCCAGTGAGGGTCATTGGTGACGTGTGTAGGTTCACCCCAACCAGCTCCCCAAGTCCCATCCCCAGCTCTGCAGCCCTGAGCCACCCTTCCATGACTCTAGCCAGCACAGGCCTTGGATCAGGGCCGTTGGAGGAGAGAGTTCCCAGGTCCCAGATACCTGGGGACCGGCTGGGGGTGAGGCAGGGGTTCTGGGTGGACTGGTCCCCTTGGCTTCTCAGACTCCTCACCCTGTGTAGGAAGGCCCATGTGGGTACCAGGGCAGGACACCCTGTCCCCTCCCTCCTCTCCAAGAAGCAACCTCTCTGCATCTTCTAGGACCTCCAATGGCAGAACAGGACAGCGCCATCACTGACATCCCCTGGAACTTTTCTTTGGGTGGGAAGGAAGCACAAGCATCATTGAGTACCCTGGCGCTGGGGTGCCAACTTCTTGGGCCAAAGGACAAGAAAATATCCTCTCATTATAGTCTCTTCCAGCAGAGAGAAGGAAGCATAAACAAAAGCAGCCTCCCCTCCCCAGAGAAGAGAGACAGGAGGCTTGGCCACGTAGAATGTGAATTTCTCTTCCATCCTCAAGTTTTGAGGACAGTGTCCCTGACAGAAGGCAAGCCAAGGGTCTGATCTCCAGCCACCGTCCAGCTCAGGCAGGCCGGGGAAAGGACAAAGATAAGAATCGCCCTTGTGTCCCATGCCAGCCCCAGCCGCTCCAGCTCCAGCTGCACCACCCCTGCAGGGCTGCAGAGCCATGGGGAGGCTGGGAGAGGAGCGGGCAAGGGAGGCTGCTATGCGGCCCACCTCAGAGGTTAGAGTACCACATGTGAGCCTGGGTGGGGGGCCACCATGCTAAAGCTCATCGTCTACCCCACAAACCAACCACTTTGACTCAGCCTGGGTCTGCAGCTGCAGCCCGGGAAGGCCCCAGCAGGGAGAGGAGAGCTGGTGGGGACATCAAGGCAGCCCCTTAGCATTCATGAGGGATCTGAAGCTGGCATGCACAGACCAGGCCTGTGTCTTCTGTGTGAGGAGCTTGTCAAGATTCTGTGGACCCTGAGCACAGCAGGAAGAACCCCCAATGATTGGATGAAAGCACTAGAGCCAGGAGTCAGCATCTCCTGTGCTGCTCAGCAGGGAGAAGGGGTGTGGCCAGCTGATGCCAGCCTGTGGAGCAGGGGTGTATCATTTGGAGAGGGCACAGCAGCATCACGCTGAGTCCAGGCACCATGTCCCATTATCATTGATGTAACGTGTGCATGCCACGTCTGGCAGCACCATGGTGATGCAAAACCCCTAAGTCCATGAGGGTCCAGGAAGGCCCCCCCATGGGCCATGGCCATGTGGTGTCACACGCTCTCTCCTATGCCATCCTCCCAGGGCTGTGTGTGGGAAAGAGAAAAAGAGAGAGAGCAAGAGAGACATAGGGGAAGTTCCACACCCAAGTCCATGGAATGATGTCAGCCAAATACAGAAACAGAAGTGCAAACCCTGACCTCCGTGGCTTCGTCTTGCTCCTCTTCTGCCCCAGGGCTGGCCTCTAGTTATGACCTTTGGGGAAAAATGCTTCCCCATGCATGGGAGTCATGCTGACACAGAGCTCCCTGGTTACCACTAAGAATCAGAGAAGGTCCCTGAGTCAAGCACTGGATTATAAGAAGCCAACTACCAACTGAAACATAACTGAAGATAATTTTATACTTAAATAGGACTTTTCACTTTGCAAAGAATTTTCACATCATTCCCCTTGTCCATTCTACCTTCCTATGTCCTACCTTCTCAAATACATACACACACACACAAGTGCACAGCCTATATAAAAACCCACATAAGACCTGGTATTACTTCTTCCTTAGAAGAAAAAGTCTGTTGAAATTCTTGTAAAGAACAATCAATGAGTTCATTCAGCTTCTTCATAAATAATTTCAGCTTTGATTTGCCTATGATACAATTACTCCAAAAGTAATCTGGCCACTTCTGGGGAGGGTGTTGGTGGAGGAGCTCAGAGGCCCTAGGTATCAATTACCTCTTCATGGTTACACTCTCTCTCTCTCTCTCTCTCTCTCTCTCTCTCTCTCTCTCTCTCTCTCTCTCTCTCTCTCACACACACACACACACACACACACACACACACACACACACACACAAATGTCTAGAGTGTGAAGGCAGTGTATTCTAAGACCATGGCAGGACTAGCTTGGATAGAGCTTGACCCAGGAACTCAAATGATGTCACCAGGACCTTCTCTTCTTCCATCTCCCTGCTCCACTTCCTTTGTGCTGCCTCTGTCTCGGTCCACCTCTCTCTCACATCTTCTCAGGTTCAAGTTTAATGGGAAAGAGCTGTAGTACTTGCCCATAGCTCCCATGAGTTCTGAGAATCACAGTGATTGACTCGGGCCACAGGCCTACCCATTGGCCTTGGGGATGTCCATGCCGATTGGCTGAGGCTGGTCATGCACTCCTCACCCAGAGCCAGGGAGAGAGCTGCATCCCCAGACCCAGCCAGGGGCTGTGCAGACAGGATGAAGATGCAGATGCCAGGAGGCCACCACAAATGCCAGGACACCCAGGTCTTCCATGAATTTGCTCTGTCCCTGGGACCAGTCATTTAATCTCATAGATTTGCTCATCAGTGAAATGGAAGTAGCAAGAACCACCCCTGCCTGCTGCTTCACCGAGCCATTGAGAAGCTCAACGGAGACATTAAAATGGCAAGGAACAGCATGGGCAGGCCCTGCATGGTGGCCAGAGGGGTCTCTTGACACACTCAAGGACACATGAGTCAGGGCCCCTACCCCTGACTGGTGCTGTTTCTCCTAAAACTGCTGTATTTGGGGCTGTGAGAGTAAACTGGAGGAAAGCAATATGGGAAGAGTTATTAGGAAATGCCAAAACATTTTTTTTTTTTTTACCAAATGTCAAGACAGCAGAGAGATGTCGAATCAAGAAGGTAGAAGACCAATCAGAAAGTAGCAGAAGAGCTGACAGACGCTTCCATTTGTTGAGTCTACTGAGGTGTGTGGGTGTCCATTTTCTGTGTTCCAGCACCTTCACCTAGATCACAGGACATGGAGACTGAAGAGATGCTTGCTTCCTGATTCCATGAGTGAATGAATGAAAGGAAAAAGTGTGGATGAACTAACAAACGAGCCACTGTGCCTGGTGCTGCACGTCCATGATCCCTAATGCTCACACACCAAAAAAAAAAAAAAAAAAAAACCCACAAAGTGGAATTTTTTTCTTGGATTCTGAGAGACAGTGAGGGTTGCCCAAGGGCAGCCTTTATAAAATTCCTACCTAAGAGTCTCTCCAGGCTGGTTCCAGAACTTTCTAGGGTCCCCACACTCCTTCTTGAGCCACCGTAGGGTCCTGGAGTCTCTGTTGGGGTGGGACTCTCTCACACTTTGAGTAATGTCTTTCATATTTCACTCCATTTTTCTAGAGGTTGCCCTAACTAAGAATGCATCTCTAACTTTCTGTGGAAAGTGGTTTGCTGGCTAAGACAAGTCAAATATGCTTACCTTGTGCAACCTGATAAGAATGGAACATAGTACATCAGAGAATAAGAAAGGCAAGATAATTAAACTAATACTTTGCTCAGAATACCAAACTAGAATTACAACAGGGTTGAAGACAGGATGGAGAGAGCCTATGAAATGTATCAAACATTGACTGAAGTCCTGTAATACCATGCACTGTGGAATTAATATTGGCAGTTGATAACAGCAATTTCCCTAAAGCATTTAAATGCATTTGCTTTATTTTTTAAGCACAGTTAGAAAGCTTGCTTCCATCATCATTCACCCTACGTCCCCCCTTGAGTATTTTAATCCCTCCCTTCCTTTGTCATAACTTCCCATAAAGAGAATGCATGTTTACATCTCCCCATCTGCTTCTGCAGCCTGGCCAGCACCCCTTGCCACCACACACCTGCGCCACCAGCATTGATGGCAACTAGTTCACGTGTCAACTTCAACCACAGTCTCCATCCTGCAGGCTTGTAACCTTATTTTCAACCTACTGACCCACTGATTTTACTCCAAATTCATTATCGTTTCCTGTCTTCACTTCTTTCTTTATCCAGCTCTAGTCCATGAATTCAGTAAAATTCTTGACAGTTCCTTAATTCCCTTTTTACTCCTTTGTTTTGTGTTGCTGTTGTTGTTGTTGCATCACTGGAGAAAATGTCAGCCCTAGAAGTAGCCAAATATTGACCTTCTGTGAGCTGCACTTGAGCTGCTGATCTCTGCTAAATAATCCCACACACACACGGGCAGATGAGCATCATTCTAAATTCATGCAACCCAACCTCACAGGGACCTTCAACGCTGCCCAGTAATTTTTCTGTTCAATGTGCTCTCCCAGGCTCCACAAAGAGCATTTCAAACTTTCTCCACTCATTCCCTCTCAGCAAATGGACTTACTCAGGAAATTGAAAACATCAGACAGGAATCCCCTAGCTTCCTCAAGTAAGCCTGCAGTGTTTTCCACATCTGAGTCCATCCTTTTCTTTCCTCCCATTGCAAAAGAGAAAATGCCCCTCTTCCTGCAGAAAATTCCAGCTCCTGTGCTTTAAGTCCCATCTTCTCTTGCCTATCTGACAACTAGAGTGGCCAATCATCCCAGTTTGTCCAAAGTTATCCCAGTTTTAGCACTAAAAGTCCTGTGTCCCAGGGTACCTCTTAGTCCTGGACAATCCAGAATAGCCTCACCCTAAAACACTATAAATAATCCCCTCTTTCTCCCAAATATTTGACCTCTCTCTTCCCAATGAATTCTTTGTATGTAATTGTGTCAAGTCTCTCCCATTAAAACAAAACAACAAAAAAAACAAAAACCCTCCTTCGCTTCCACAATTCTCCATCAACCTTGGCTCTTTCTGCCCCCTGACAAGCAAATTCTTCAAAAGAGTTGTTGATACTTCCATTCTTCCTCTTCTTTTTGCCATTCACTACTCAACAGGCTCCCACAGGTTTCTGACCCCACTGTTCTGCTGAAACATCCCCTGCCCAGCTCATCAATGATCTTTAGTCTTTAAATCCAATACACTAGTTCCATTTCTTTTGTCCATCCAGCAGTTTTTGATGTTGACCACTGTTTCTTTCTGGAACCACTCTCCTCCGTGGGCTCCTATGACCTGAAGCTTCCTGGTTTTTCTTCTGCCTCTATTCACTCAAGCTGTTGTTCAGCCTCCACCTCCTGTAACCAGCCATGAAAATGTTGGTTCATTTTCTCAAGGTTCAGTCTAACTAATCTCTTTTCCCCCCTCACTCTATTCTATCTCCAATTCTCATTGACGTTCCACAACATCAGCTACTGTACACCAGTGACTCCCAAATTTACCTCTAACCTAAAGACTCATCCTAAAGAGATATGGAGTAAAATCAGTGGGTCAGTAAGGTTGAAAATAAGGTTACAAGCCCGCAGGATGGAGACTGTGGTTGAAGTTGACATGTGAACTAGTCACCATCAATGCTGGACAAGTTAGACTTGTCCCTAAAGTTCCAGAAGACTTTATCCAACCATCCTTTGACAGCTCCTCTTAGAGCCTGGGCATCACTTAACCTGTCCAAACTAAACTCACACACTCCTTCTCAATCCAGTCCTCTCCAGGAGTCCATATGTTGGTGTACAGCTCCACTGTCCACCCAGGTGCTCAGTCCAGAAACCTAGATGACATCAAGGGAATTTGTATGTTCCCTGTCCCCATTTCCAACCCAGCATCAAGCTCAGTCTATTTCCCTTCCCCGCTCTGTCTTGAATCCTTCCACTCCCTTCCTCTGCATGACCACTCCAATCTACCCGCCATCATCCCTTGCCCAGACCACTGGGAAGGCTCCTCCTTGCTCTCGGTTTGTTCATTCTTGCTCTGCCCCAGTCCCCTATGAGCACTGCAGCTCAAGGGCTCTTTTCAAAACACAGAGAGGAGGATCCTATCTATCTCCTCCAAACTCTCCAATGCCTTCTTACTGCTTTTAGAGGGAAGGCTGGTTTATTGATGTGGCCGACAGGCCTACATGTGGGCCCCCGCTCTCCTCTTTAGCCTCACCTCATATCATTATCTCATGTATGACTGTCCCCACAACACAGTCACTGCTCCTTCAGTCCAGGGATACCCTTCTCTGTCCACCCCCCTGTAGTGTGACATCGAGAAAGCCATCCCTACTCCCAAGTGACACCAAGCTCCTGCCCTTAAATGGTCCTGTGGCTCTCTGTACCTTTCTTTTGTAAAACTCATTACAAGTTTTATACAATGATCAATGTCTTTCATTTCCCTAGCCTCGATAAGTTTTAGGAGGAGAAGGTCTGTTTCTAGTTTCATTCATTCTGATAATTAACATAGTAACTGTCTCACAGAGTAAGTGCTATTATAATTCAAGGAGTGGCAATAGAATTGAACTTTTGAGTTGTCATCGAGTATTATCAAGTATTTATCGAGCTTATGGTATACAAGAGATACAAATCTCATTGAGATTATCTGATTAGGAGATGAGGGTGGATGTACAAAGACAGACAAAGCATACATATTTACTAAACGCCAGAGACTGACAGCCTAGTTGGGGAAGGAAGACTTATGCCAAAATTCTTTTGATAATTGTAATGAATGAAACCTCAAAAATTGTCAAGTGAAAAGCAATAAGCAGAGTGTGAAGAGCCTAGCAGGTGCTTCAGACAATAGATGAAGCAGGATTCTTGAAGGAAAGCTGGCTGAGATGCTCAGAGAGGCCTCCTAAAACCACTGGATAGAATTTCAATAAACAGAGGGAGAGGAAGCGTAGTCCAGGCAGGGGAATGACACGCAGGACAGTGAGGAGGCTGTGGCCATCCAGTTGCCGTCTTTGTTGAGAGCCCACAGCGAGGCAGTTATAACGCACTACACACCTGGTACCTACCATATGTGCACCTGACAACAACCTGGAGGTATTATTATTCCTTTTTCACACACAAGGAAACTGAGGCTCAGGAAAGTAATGGAGCTTGTCACAACTCATGTGGAGAGTGAGAGGCAGAACTCGGACTCAGTCCAGAGGTAGCTTATTGCCAAAGCCCAAGCCTACAACAACCCTATCTGCCCACCCCACCTTGCTGGAGCAGAGAGCTCAAGGAAGCGGGCAGAGGGAACTGGCGCCAGACGCTAAACCTGGGCTTAATGTGTGGCCAGGATTATCTAAGGACCAGGCAGAATCAAAGCCACATTCATTGTGCCCTGCTTTTCTAGAATGCAGACACACTGGACAGATTGTTTTTAAATGCTGGAATTAGGCCAGGCGCGGTGGTTCACACCTGTAATCCCAGCACTTTGGGAGGCTGAGGTGGGTGAATCACAAGGTCAGGAGATGGAGACCATCCTGGCTAACATGGTGAAGCCCCGTCTCTACTAAAAATACAAAAAAAAAAAAAAAATTAGCTGGGTGTGGTGGCGGGCGTCTGTAGTCCCAGCTACTTGGGGAGGCTGAGGCAGGAGAATGGCGTGAACCTGGGAGGCGGAGTTTGCAGTGAGCCGAGATGGCGCCACTGCACTCCAGCCAGGGCGACAGAGCGAGACAGACCTATTTAGAGACATAGAACAAACAGATAGGAAATAAGTGAAGAAGCTCAGCTTCTCCCAGTTTTGTGCTTCGGTATCAAAAGGAACATTCATTATCAATGTGGCTAGATCAGAACCCAGGCTGGTTCATCTGGAAGCAGCACCTGCAGAAATGTCAGCAAGGCACAGCCTAGCAAAGGTGATGCGGGGTCTGGCTACATCGCGGTGGTGCCGCAGACAGCCTCTTGCAAACAAACTCTCCTGCCCACAGCCTCCCACTACAGAAAGCCCTGTCTCCTGGGTTTCGTCATGGGATTGCTGCTGAGAGCTTTTTCGACTTAAAAAAAATTTCATCAATTTCTCATTCTATGTTCATTAATAACTCCTATTGAGAAGCATACAATTATAATGTGTTCTGAGTCTGTGGAACAACATTGAACAATTAGTGCAACTGGAGGTGGCCTCAGAGGAAAGAGGCAGCACCACCTCCTTCTCCTAGAAATCTCAGGTCAAGATTCCTTGGGTCGGAACTCCTCGGCCTCTCCCACAACATGCCATGGTTAGCTTGAGGAAATGTAAGATAAGTGAGGAGGAGGGAAAGCAAAAGCACAGTGATTTATAAACTCCCTTTCTTTTTCTTTCTTTTTTTTTTTTTTTTTTTTTTGAGATGGAGTCTCACTCTGTCACCCAGGCTGGAGTGCAATGGCACAATCTCAGCACTCTGCAGCCTCCACCTTCGAAGTTCAGGTGATTCCTTCTGCCTCAGCCTCCCGAGTAGTTGGGATTACAGGCACCCGCCACCACACCCAGCTAATTTTTGTATTTTTGGTAGAGACGGGGTTTCACCATGTTGGCCAGGCTTGTCTCGAATTCCTGACCTCAGGTGATCTGCCCGCCTTAGCCTCCCGAAGTGCTGGGATTACAGGCATGAGCCACCGCGCCTGGCCTAAACTCCCTTTCTGTAGGTGACCTGATTTAAATATCTGCAGTTTTAAAAAAAACTTTAAAAACCCAAAGTAATGAGTTCAGTGTGATGTGATTGGACAAATGACTGACCCCAAGAAATAGCAGGAAGAAGGTTAATTTTCATCATTTTGTCAGGTGGCATCCACACTCCAAGAAGCAGCATAATAAAATTAAGACTGTCTATTCCAAGAGAAGTCATTTTAAACTTGCACCTATTGGCAATTTGGTTAGGAGAAAATGCACCTATTGGCAATTTGGTTACAAGTGAAATTAAAGTATCCAGGAAAGGAAATAATCTATTCTGGATTTTGTCCCCCACTCTAAATATTAGCAAGATGACATCCCATGGAGATCCCAGACCAGCTCTCCAGGGTTAGCAGCTAAAATGTTGATGTCTATAACGTGTGCCAGTAGCATTCCCCAGAGGAAAGGTAAACCTTACAGACCACAGCTTTCCCCATCATCTTTCCGAGAAGTCCAAGAGTTCAGCCAGCAGGTGCCATTCATGAAGGTTTGAGTGACAAGGCCCAGCTACTTGCAAGACTTCCTCCCCTCCACGGCCCACAGCTCTGTAGACAGAGCTCCCTGGCCTCAGTGATTGCAGCCTATGCCCTCAGGGGCACAGCCTCCTCCCCTGTAGATTCCTCCCCCGTTTTACACCTGCATGCTCAGAAATGCCACCCCTACCAGCTGTGCTTCAGCCTGATGTCCCCCTCCCTGGGCTGTCTGATGAGGGTCAGTGGTAGCAGCAGCCCAGCTCACTCCTGGCTAACCCAGGCTGGAAAGGCTTCCTGCAGCCTCAGAACAGTCACGGATCACAGGCATGACTTCTGACACATTCTGCCAGCTCAGACTGCTTGTCCCAACTTGAGGTCCAGGAAATGCAATCAGTGTTAGCAGTGCCATTTTCCACGCAATATCAACATAAACCAAGGTATAGATGCTGCCTCTGCTGCCACAAAGCTCTGCTGAGGTGTTTGTTACTCACAGTTCCCAAAGTCGGGGCCACACCATGTCATTGGGGGGCAGAGGTGTTCCACATGAGGAAGCACCCTGTCAGCCAGGAGGGAACAAGGGAGGGAAGCTGTGGGCAAGACCCCTTATCATGGTTTCCATGAGAAGGAATGGATGATGCTGGTCAGCAGGCTTAGGATGGGCTAGTTTGGATCATTTCAGCAGACTCTGGAGCATGGAGACTGTCCCTAATGTTTGAGGCCTAACTCTGGGGGGGATTAAGGTGAGTGGATCATGGCCTGGAGTGAGAGAGCTTCATGAGAGAAGTGATTGGGGGTATGGACCCTGGAGCCATTGGTTTGCATCTGAAAAGTGATTCCATGGGCAAATGTTGTTTACTGGTCTCTGGCAATTGGGTCAGCACAGCCTCAGATGTCAAAGGATCAGAATACAGAAAATAAAAGACATGGTTAAGACACTAACCCAGAACTAAGCCGTTTCTGACATAGACACAAAATACAGCTTCCCCTCCATCCCGACCCTACTCATACACACATCTGTCGGCCAAGTCTTTATGTCTAATAGGACACTCTTAGAAGTAAGACCAAAAAACCTCATGGATCCAAAGAAATGAGCTAAAAAGTAAGAATTAAGTCAGCCCCTTCAAGTTATAATAAGGATACCAATAATAGCCCATGCATAATAAGTGATGTCATGAAGAACATGTTACATGTTCTGCCCTGTGCTATATCCTCATGTATTACTTCATTTAATACATGACTTGTCTTCCTCAAAATAGGACAGATGAAAGGGCTCCATCCCTCCCCGTCGCTCTGATCCCTACACACAGTCTATTTCCACCACCTTGGAAGAGCTGCTGTTGAAACTAAACTAACTGAAACTTGGCCAGGCACGGTGGCTCAGGCCTGTAATCCCAGCACTTTGGGAGGCTGAGGTGGGCGGATCACGAGGTCAGGAGATGGAGACAGTCTTGGCTAACACGTGTGAAACCCCGTCTCTACTAAAAAAGTACAACAAATTAGCCGGGCGTGGTGGCAGGCGCCTGTAGTCCCAGCTACTGGGGAGGCTGAGGCAGGAGAATGCCGTGAACCCGGGAGGCGGAGCTTGCAGTGAGCCGAGATCGCACCACTGCACTCCAGCCTGGGCGACAGAGCCAACTCCGTCTCAAAAAAAAAAATAAAAATAATTTAAAAAACTAACTGAAACTGCACCGTGACCCAGGATTCTGGTACCTGCTGTTCCTGCTCTCTGGCTCTGCTGAACATCGCCCGGCACACCGGCTGCTGGAACTGGAACATGCCAACCCTCCCTAGAGGGAAAACAGTGTGTTGAGATGACAGAGATTAGCCCAGAGAGGCACACAGTGCTGTTACTCAGCTCCCGCTCGTCTTTAAAAGCCTGAGCCAAATAAATGATTAAGCTACAAGGATCTCATGTCACCCCGGGATAATAACAAGCTACAGGTGTGAATATAAATTGATGAGATAATCCTGTTATTACTAGAATTTCACAGGACAGAACTTGGGCACATGGTGGTGATTTGTGAGCCAAGGGATGTAGCGTGGTGGGGGTTTATTTTGCCACACCAAGTTTTCATTTGTTCCTGAAAATATTTCTTATGAAATATATATAAAAAATATTTGAAATGCTAAACTCTCCTAGGTTACATTACCCCAGTTAATGTAGGAATGTAGAGATCCGTTGATATATACACTTGAAATAAATACTTCAAAACTAGACTTGGACTGAAGGAGACTCTCTGACTTCTAAATGTATTACGCATACATTTACGAGGATGTACGAATTCAGAAGGCTTGTCTCACATTCTATAAACCAAACCAAATTTTCCACAAGTCAGGAAAGATTCCAAGTGTGAAGAAAGGGTGAGAGTCCTTAACAGAGTCATAAGTGGATTTTTACCCCCGTTTTATTAACTGTTCACTGTTAAGTCCGAAGAAGTGAGGGACTTCCAGCAGATCACAAGAGAGGCTGTGCACTGGACTCTGGACCTCTTGAGACAGCTCTAATAGTAAAAATGAATCAGATTTATGAAGAAGCTCTGGAAAAGGCTGCTACGTGACTCTACAAGTAATATTTTCTAGTCTAGTAGCTACCACCAAAGGAACACTGGTACCTGGGATACCACTGGGTGCTCACCCGTTCCAGGGTCACCGCAGCCCCAGAGCAGCCTAGGCAGAATGGCTTAGAACCTCTGGGACAAAACTTCCCTATTAAACATGGTTCAAACACTTCACTGCCACCAAGATCCACAGACCTTCACAAACATGGAGGATGCAAACTACATTTACTTTTCCAAATTTGCCCACTATTTCAATTTAAGACTGCCTTCATTAGATGACCCACGAGAAGATGTGGTTGCTTCGATAAATATGTCTCTATTTTATCATCTTCCTGGTGCTGGATTTGTGAGTCACTCTGTAAGGAGCTTGTTTGGTTTTTTTGTTTATTTGTTTTTATTTGTTTGTTTTTAAAGACAGAGTCTTGCTGTATTGCCTAGGCTGGAGTGCAGTAGTGCAATCATGGCTCACCACAGCCTCGACCTCTGGGGTTCAAGCAATCCTCCCTATTCAGCCTCCCCTCCTGAGTAGCTGGGACCACACCCAGCTAAATTTGTTTTATTTTATGTAGAGACAAGGTCTCTTTATGTCGCCCAGGCTGGTCTCTAACTCTGGCCTCAAATGATCCTCCTGCCTCAGCCTCCCAAATTGCTGGGATTACGAGTTTGAGCCACCATACCCAGCCTTGTTTTAAAAAATCTATTGCTTTTGGTTCAAAATTCTTTAAAGTCTGTTTTTTCACAAAAAAAAAAAAAAAAAACCCACCTGTTTTCTTGCAACCAGTGATGCTCTCCTTTCTTCTTCCCTTGCTCATCAGCCCTCCTCCCCATGAGAAGGGCACCTTGGAATCTTTTAGAAAGGATGCGGAGGTGAGGAGGGAGGGCAGGAAGTCCGGCTATTGTTTCGCCAGTCTCCCTTAACTTTAAGAAGAATTTAAAACACGCTCAAGGCATTTCCTTTTGACAGGCTATTAACAAAGCAGGGTACAAACTGGTCCTCAGAGAATGGCGATATTTTATCACTCTGCAAATTGATCAAATGTGGCTCCCGAGGTGCAAAATTAATGAGAACGTAAACAATTATGAAAAGGCAATAAAAGTGAACTATAGCTAGGCCAGGCGTAAGCTGTGTTTAATTTTTAGTTTAATTTCTCCAGTTTCTCTATACTTCTGAAATATCAGTCAGATTCATAGACCTAAAAATATGTCGGGGGGAGAGGTTTACACGTTCTATTTCCTTCCAACAAGTAAATTACCCAGTTACTAAATCAAGCCTTAGACACATGCATCTTATACCACAGAGGCAAATCTCGGTTTGGGGAACCAAAAGTTGTTTTAATAGGTATTATATGGCATTATATGCTTTGACAAATCAGTAAAAGTTCTCCTTTTTTTAACTTTTATTTTAAGTTCAGGGGTACATGTGCAGGTTTGTTGTATAGGTAAACTTGCGTCATGGGGATTTTTTATACAGCTTATTTTATTAGCCAGGTATTAAGCCTAACACCCATTGGTTATTTTTCCTGATCCTCTCCCTCCTCCACCCTCTGCCCTCCACCAGGCCCCAGTGTGTGTTGTTCCCCTCTATGTGTTCATGAGTTCTCATAATTTAGCTCCCACTTTTAAGTGAGAACATGTGGTATTTGGTTTTGTGTTTCTGCATGAGTTTGCTGAGGATAATGCCCTCCAGCTCCATCCATGTTCCTGCAAAGAACATGATCTCATTCTTTTTTATGGCTGCATAGTATTCCATGGTGTATATGTACCACATTTTCTTTATCCAATCCACAATTGATAGGCATTTAGGTTGATTTCATGTCTTTGCTATTGTGAATAGTGCTGCAATGAACCTACACATGCATGTGTCTTTGTAACAGAAAAATTTATATTCCTCTGGGTATGTACCCAGTAATGGGACTGCTGGGTCGATTGATATTTCTGTTTTTAGGTCTAAACTTCTTTCTCTCTAGTAACCCTCTGCCTTCAGGAGACCTTTCTATTCACTTTCACCTTCCTGGATAATTGCCCAGATGCAAATGTGTGGCAAAGGGAGGTCTAGAGACCTAAGGGGTCACAGGGGATTGTGGGAGACCAATAGTTTGCACAGGATGACAAATTTAGCTTTTCCTCAGGTGTCCACATCTGGGTGGTATCACCTTAGTCCAGAGCTTGTTTGCAAACAACAGATAGAGACCCTGACACACATTGGTCCGACTCCCGTGCAGCAACTCCCTGGCCCCTCCAGCTACCCACCCCTTGCCCATTCTTCAGGGCCCAGCTAAAGGCATTCTTCCTTTTCCAGGAGCAAGGGTAGAGGCAGGGCCAGACCAGTGAGTTTGCCCACAACAGGAGCTCTGAAACCACTGCACTCACTCTTACCAGGTCCCTTGGCTCTGAGTGTCTTGGTCTGATGGCCAGTCTGTTTCCTGTCCACAGGGTGGCTTCCCTGAGCTCCTGGTTTCATGAAGGGCTAGGTAATTAAGATGAGACCATCATAGAGGGTTTGCCTCTACTGTTTTTTCCACTTGACTGCTACAGAAACAATGTAGACAGAGTTTCCTAGGAGCTTTTGTCTTCTCAAAAGCACAATACCTGCCTTTAACACCAGTGGTAAACATACTAGGACTGGAGCCCATAGATCCATGAAAATTGCCCAACTATATGCCTGTTGTCCATCAAAAAGATCCTAAGTCTTTTGTTAAGCTGTCCCCCCCACCACCCATAGCTCTATATTGTTCAGTTATCATACTCAAAACTTGGAGGTCTGTCTGTTTTTACTAGAATCATAAAGTCCATTGACATAGATGTTTATGTTTCAGCTACACAGAGCAATAATATCACATAAGCTTTCCCAAGACTTGTCAACTCACCAGAGGGCATGCTCAGGATCACAGATCCTGCTTTTATCTTTCATGATGAAGACATTTTAGTTATAAGTATCTTTTTTTGTTTTAGTAGAAAGTTTTTAAATTTTTAAGCCAAACTTCCTTCTCCCAGCCTCACCCATCTCTCCAGAACCTTAAATAGTTGATCACCTCCTCCCCTACCTGTAGATGGAGCCACACCCACTCAAACAGAGCCTTTCTCAGCCATGTTTAAACATGGTCGGATGCTCACGGCTTTCAGAACTCACCCAACCCCATATCCCTTGCTAACTTTTGCCTTCTCCCCTATCTTCGGGGTCAGATGCTTGAGAAACTTTTCTATATTGACTTCCCACCTCCTCACCTCAAACACTTCTCAAACCACCTCACTGGCTCCCTCTTTACCCCTCAGCTTTGACCACCATGTTTGAATCCAATGCATATTGTTCAGTTTGCGGCAGTTTTCTCTTTTAGCATTTTCTGACAGCGTTAACCACTTGCTCTTCCTGAAATATCCTCCTCACGTGGCTTCTGCCGCCCTTTGCTCTCCGGATCTTCTACTGCCTCTCCAGCCTCTCTCTTTCAACATCCTGGACAGGCTCATCCCCCTTCTCCTGCCCATCAGATGTTACGTTTTCACAGGCTTTGTCTCCTGCTCAGCCTTTCCTTCTCATTTGACCCTCCCTAGGCAATCTCGCCCCCTCCCAGGCTTCTGTTATCATCCATATGCCACTGATATCCCCACTGTGTATGTCTAACCAAGGCCTCTTCTGTAGATCTGAGATTTGGTTATCCCGATGGCCTGCTCAATATTCTTGCATGTGTCAAAGCCACAACAATGTAAACATGTCCAAAACCAAACGTATCATCTTCCTGCATTCAAGATTCCCAGTGGCACCACCATCCATCCGTCCTGTTGCCCATGCCAGAAACCTGGGTGTCCTTCTCGGCTCTTCCCTCTAACTGGCCCTCATGAATAATTCGTTACAGAGGTCTGTCTACTTGACCTCCTAAATATGTCTTGAATCCATTTCAGTCTCCCTATCTTCATCACTTCTGTTCTAGTCCCAATACTATAATTTCTTCTTCGTGCAATTGAAGCAGCTTTCTATTTCCCCCACATCTGCTTACTTTGTCCTCCTCCAAGTCGTTTTCTCCTCTGCAGTCAGAGCAGTGTTTTCATTTGGTACCAAAAGCTCCCCTGCCCATCCCCCAAACACACTCGTCTACTTTCAGCTTCTTGAACACCCAAGGAGCCTTCCTACAACAGCTCTTCCCCCTGCAAATGCTGTTCCCTCTGCTTGTAGGGCATTCACCCTTACCCCACACGTTGCCTTATCCATCCTTCAAATCTTAGCTCAAATGTCACATCCTCAGGGAGACATTTTTACTAATTTGCACACAAGACCAAATACAGTCCTTTTTTACAGTCTCATAGGATAATCCACCTTTACTTCATTGCATTTATCACAGGAGTAACTTTATATTTATTCGGATTCTCAGTAGACTATACATCCAATGAATCCGAGGGCCAAGTCATCATTCTGTTCTCAGAACCCATCAAAGTGCCTGACACATAATAGATTCTCAATAAATACATGATGAACAAATAAATGAAATTATTACCAGCTGGGTCTTTTTACTCATTTAGCCATTATTTATTAGACATATAGCCAAATACTATACTATGGAATGGAGATAAAATTGTGGCCAAGACAGAGCTCCTGCCCACAGAAACCCCCATCCCCAGACTTGAGAGAGATACAGACAAGTATTGACAGTTACAATTTGGTGAAAAAGATTCTGATGGGGTGAGCACTGGATACTGTGAAAGTGTGTGAGGTTCCTATAACCCAGTTGCAGCTTAAGTAAATTCCCTCTTCCTATTCCCTACTTTTTCTTAAACCTCCTCCCCATTACATGCATGCACGCACTTAACCCTGGAAGAGTTGTTTTATTCTTCTACTTCTGCTTTCCTTTGTTTTATTTGAACCTGGGATCCTATGGGCTTTAGTGAGTTCATGAGCACCTGATCATTGGGAAACTTTGGAATGCATGTATATTTTAAGAGAAGAGGATCTATGAGTTTCATCAGATTCCCAAAAGGGTCCTTGCCTCAAAAAGTTAAGAACCAGTGCCTGAAAAATGCAGAATAATGAGGGACAATGAAATGAAGGGCGACTCTTTAAATACCACGCATCAAAGAGTATTTTGAAATGTCCAAAGAACAAGTATATGTAAAGTAAACCCTGACATCAATAGGAAGCCAAGACATGGCATCACCAGATCTTTCCCTGTGGAGGTTTTTATTCCACTTGAAAGAATCAACAAACAACAAAACATATGATGTAAGGGACAAACGCTATTGATCAATGAGGCTAATTCTACAAGAAAGGTCAGCTGTTGCTTTTACACTTGACCAAGGAAAGGAAGGGAATTAAGAGCATCCCTAGTGGTGTCCTCAGGCAGAGCCATGTGTTGAGTACTTTCACATGTGATGCTTCACATTGATGTGATAGCACCTATAATCTGGTCATTGTTTTCCCCATGTGACTGATGAGGAAGTGAGAGAGGTGAAGTAGCCTGTCCTAGGTCCCACAGCCATTCCAAGCAGCCAAGATTCAAACCCAGGCCTGTGTGCCTCCCACTCCTGTAGTGTGGCCCCTAGGCTTCATTGAGGAGACTGTGCTCTGTAAAATGAAATGAATGCATTAAGTGATTTCAAATTACTTTAGCAGAAGGAACCTATTATTCAGTTTCTTGTTCTGAAACATTGTTTCCATGGGAAAAGACTGGGAAACAAGAACGTGTATGCATATATGTTTGCTTTGCTTATTTTTACAGAAGGAGACACAGGAAGGATTGTATTGGTTCATTCTTTCACTGCTATAGACTGGGTAATCTATAAAGAAAAGAGGTTTAATTGGCTCACAGATCTGCAGGCTGTACAGGAAGCATGATAGCATCAGATTCTGGGGAAGCCCCAGGAAACTTACAATCATGGCAGAAGGGGAAGGGGAAGCAGGTATGTCTTACATGGCTGGAGCAGGAGGAAGAGAGAGAGAGTCAGGGAAATGCCACACACTTTTAAACAAAATCTCATGAGAACAGCACCAAAGAGGAAAATCTGCCTCCATGATCCAGTCGTCTTCCACCAGGCCACCTCCAACATTGAGGATTACAGTTCAACATGAGATTTGGGCAGGGACACAAATCCAAACCATATCAAGGATCTAGCAGAAATGAATAAAAATGACCTCACATTGGAGGTGGGCAGAAGGAGTTTAGGATGGGAATGAGACTTTTCTGAATATGTCTTTTTGTGCTGACTAAATTTTTGAACCATTTAAATGGCTTACAAGTTTAAAAACAAAATAGAAAAAGAATGACAAAAGCAAACCCTAAAGGGAAACACAAATAGAAACAAAGGAACCTAACTGTTTATGCAATGGATAACATAACCACATAGAAAAAAAAATAGTTCAGGTAACTTTTGAACACAGTGTTTTGATTGTACAACCTCGTGGGAATATTCTAGGATTTAAAAGAATTGCAAGCAATTTTTAGTTTTACCTCAGAGGTTTGTAGTTGTTGGTATCAAAAGGGCAAAGTGCATCTGTAGAATTAACAAAAGGCTATTTATTGAGATCATACAAGGAAGACTGCTACCATCACTTTCCTCCTAGTGAAAAATCAAAGGAGGGTGGGTTTTATAGAGTAAAAGAAGGAAGTCTTAAGACAAATAATCTTTGCTTGGTGAGTGTTCTATTAGGTAGAATTTTTGGAAGTAGGGAAGCTTTCTGATTGGCTTTCAAGTGCATTGGGCAGTTTGTGATTGGTCCATCACCTACTGGTACATTATTGGGAGCCCTCAGGCTAAATAAGGTGACATGGGATTTTCTTTTTCAACTGGAGGAATTGCTGGTCCTTAGCTGTGAGGTCTGAGTCTTGCATAAGCAATTCCTCAGTAGAGTTAAGGATGTGACCGTTCCGAAAGTGTTTTGTATGTTTTGTAGGAGAGAGCCTACATATACAGGTTGTTGAGAATTCAGATTCTTACTGTTGGAGGAGGAAGATACAAATATAGAATGGGAGAATTTGAAGAAGTTTCCTGCAGTTTGAGATTTGATTTGGGGCTATCTCGTGATTTCTTAAAAGTAAATGAAGGTTGCCTGGTGTCTGCAAGCAATTTTCTGAAGATGGTAGCCAGGACCCCAGATTTGGGCAGAGAATAAACACCATTTGTGTGGAAGATGAGGTAAGAATGGACAGGCTTAAAAGGAAAGCTAGCGGAGGGTGGAAATGGTAGGCAGAAGGGAGTGGCAATTTGGGACAAATGGTGGCCAGGTGCTGGTGTGCAGAATGCCTTTGGCTATGATCATTCATTTGCACTCCATTTTATTTTGTAAAATATGTTATCAATCTTTAGGTGTAAGACACTATAGCAGTTATAAAGATCAAAATTTATGGCTGGGAGCGGTGGCTCACACCTGTAATCCTAGCACTTTGGGAGGCTAAGAAGGGTGGCTCACCTGAGGTCGGAAGTTCAAGACCAGCCTGGCCAACATGGTGAAACCCCATCTCTACCAAAAATACAAAAATTAGCAGGGCATGGTGGTACACGCCTCTAATCCCAGCTACTTGGGAGGCTGAGGCAGGAGAATCACTTGAACCCAGGAGGCAGAGGCTACAGTGAGCTGAGATCACGTCACTGCACTTCAGCCTGGGCAACAGAGCGAGACTCCATCTTAAAAATAAAAATAAATCAAGATCAAAATTAACATGTGGTCTCTGTCCTCAAATGTAGAAATAATAGTGTTGTGGTTGACAGCGTAGACTCTGGAGCTTGGCCTCCTAAATGAGAACCCTCACCCCACTACCTATTGTACCTACTTGTCTGCTTAGGCTGCCACAGCAACATACCAGACTCAGTGGCTTTAACAGGAGAAATGTATTTCCTTACAGTTCTAGAGGCTGAAAGTCCAAGATCAAGGTGTCAGCAGGGTTGGCTTCTGCTTAGGGCTCTCTGCCTAGCTTGTAGGACAACCACCTTCTTGCTGTGTCCTCACACGGCCTCTTCTGTGTGCATGTAGAAAGAGCGTACACATGCTCTGTTGTCTCTTCCTCTTAAGGATACCCATTCTTATGATCTCATTTGACTTAACTTATCTCCCTAAGGCCAGTTCTCCAGATACAGTCATATTGGAGGTCAGGGCTTTGAATATGAATTTTGGGGCATGATATTCAATCCACAGCACTATGTGACCCAGAGAAGTTACTTAATCTGTCTTTGCCTTAGTTTGCTCACACATAAGATCATAGCATCTGTCTGAGAAGACTGTTTCAGGGACCAGATGGTTGGCTCACACCGAGCACACACTGAGCCCAGCACACAGTAAACACTCAATAAATAACATTTCTTACTTAATTCAATACTTAATTTATACACTTATCAATGACCTTGGTGAGAATAGAATTAGGAGTACACATGTAGGATCTTTTTTAGACATTTTTAAAAATCCACACTTCCATTTGTTTTTGCATAACTGGAGGTGACCCTCACTGGCCCTCTAATATTTGGGTAATAGAAGAAACACAACTGTTCATTGAAGGGATTTTTAACCTGAGCCTAGGGCAGGGCTCATCGTTATTTAAATGTTCGGCAGTTGGCAAAACCTAATGAACTAAAACCATGATTATGCCAGAAATCACACTATCCTGCTTCTTTTTGACACTGGGCTTGGTTAATCACCAACATCATTCTCCCACATGAAAAGCGACCCAGCACTGACTTCTAAGTGCACAACACTTTATTACTGCACTGATTCAGCACAGTTCTTATTGAGAATGGGCACAGGAGTAAAGGAAAAGGAAAACATCATCTATGTAGCCTGGTGTTTGAAATAAAATGGTTAAGTGTCTACAATCAGTTCTGTTTTTGAATATTGGCAATACAGATTCATTTTACAGTATTCAGAAGTGGTGAGAGTGGTTTGTATCCATCTAATTTTATTGGAATCATATCCTCCAGGCTGTTTTCATGTATTGTCTATGTATTGACTATACCTCTGGCTTTGTCCAGGGGGTTCTCTCATGAGGATGACTTTCATCATATTGGTATTCTGCACACAAACTTCTCCCACCATAATTTGTCACAGGATCTAAAAATAGGGCTTTGCCTGTTAAATCTCCATCTTGCAGGGCCTGCCCCTGTGTTTGCTCAGTGCCTATGGCACATTCCTTAGCTATGTTTCAGTCTGTTTTCCTGGATCCTAGGCAGAGTGAGCTTTGCAATCACCACCCGTAACACGCACTCCCTTCCCCTCCAAGCTCTCCTTCTCACATGGTCTTATTGGGAATGAAACGGCCACCCAAAGACAGGTTGTTTGCATGCATGTCCCTGCAAGCTTAACTCTTGGAAGAATAACTAGGCATCCAGACAGAGAAGCTCTCAGTGGAGAAACTGCGGAATGAAATAATTGTTAAAAGCTACGCACACACGCACACTCCTACACACCCTTTGGAGAAATAACTTAGTTCAGACAACACTGTGGAAATCAAGCAGCCTTCCTGTCCTGGGTGAGTTTGCGTGTCAGTTTGACTGCGCTGGGGATACCCAGGTAGCTAATAAGACATTATTTATGGGTGTGTCTGTGAGGGTGTTTCCAGAAGAGACTGGCATTTGAATCTGAAGTGAGTAAAGAAGATCTGCCCTCACCTGTGTGGGTGGGCACCATCCAATCCATTGAGGACCCAGATAGAACAGGGAAAAGGCAGGGAAAAGGGAAATCAGCTCTCTCTTCTAGAGATGGGTGTCCATCCTCTCCCTCAGACATCAGTACTCCACGTTCTCAGACCTTCAGAGCCCAGGACTTAGACCAGTAGCTCTCCCCTACCCACCACCAAATACGTGAATAGTTAATGGTTCTGAAAACACTGAACAAGAAGGACCTTTGCATGAATAATTACAAGCAGTGTAATACAAAAAATTTCCAACAAAAATGGAATTAGGTGATTTTTTAATATAGTACTTGATAAGTACAAAATAATGTACCTCACATATTGTTATAAAATGTGATAATAAAACACTTGTAATTTAGCTGGGTGTGGTGGCGCATGCCTGTAATCCCAACACTTTGGGAGGCTAAGGCAGACAGATCAATTGAGCTTGGAAACTCGTGACCAGCCTGGGCAACATGGCAAAAACCCATCTCTACAAAAAATACAAAAATAGTCAGGTGTGGTGGCACATGCCTGTAATCCCAGCTACTCAGGAGGCTGAAGTGGGAGGATCACCTAAGCCTGGGGAGGTTGAGGCTGCAGTGAGCCAAGATCTTGCCACTGCATTACAGCCTGGGCAACAGAGAGAGACCCTGTCTCAAAAAAACAAAATAATAGGCCAGGTGCGGTGGCTCACACCTGTAATCCCAGCACTTTGGGAGGCTGAGGCAGGCAGATCACCTGAGGTCAGGAATTCGAGACCAGCCTGTCCAACATGGCAAAACCCCATCTCTACTAAAAATACAAAAATTAGCCGGGCGTGCTGGCAAGCGCCTATACTCCAAGCTACTTGGGAGGCTTGGGGGAAGGATCTCTTGAACCTGGGAGGCGGAGGTTGCAGTAAGCCCAGATCACACCACTGCACTCCAGCCTGGGCAACAGAGTAAGACTCCATCTCAAAATAATAAATAAATAAAATAAAGTAATATTATATAAAATACTTGTAACTTGGCCACTCAATTTAAGAGCTAGAACACTGCTAACCATTATATCTACTTCTATATTCCTTTCTCACCCCAATATAACTACTTGTTTTTAACATTCCCTTGCTTTCTTTAAAAAAAACCACAAAGTGATTTGGCTGTGCATGGTGGCTCATGCCTGTAATCCCACACTTTGGGAGGCCAAGGTGGGCAGATCACTTGAGGCCAGGAGTTCGAGACCAGCCTGGCCAACATGGCGAAACCCATCTCTACAAAAAATACAAAAATTAGCAGCCGTGGTGGTGCAAGCCTGTAATCCCAGCTCCTCAGGAGGCTGAGACACAAGAATCACTTGAACCCAGGAGGGAGAAACTGCAATGAGCCAAGATCATGCCACTGCACTCCAGCCTGGGTGACAGAGTGAGACTCTGTCTGAAAAAAAAAAAAAAATGATTTGTATGTATTCCTAAATACTATATTATTCACTTATGCTTATTTTAACTTCATAAAAGTGGTATATTTTTAAATTTTATAAAACTTGCTTTTTTGTGGAATATTATGTTTCTAAGATTCATCTATATTAGACCCTGCATGTGTAATTTACTTATTAGTACTTCTTAAAATTCCACTAGGTGAATATATGCCATTGTCTGTCAATGGACAGTTGGGTTGTTTCCAATTTGTTAAAAATGATACTGCTGTCCTAGTTCATTGTGTTACTATAAAGGAATACCTGAGGCTGGGTAATTTATGAAGAAAAGAGGTTCATTTGGTTCTTGATTCTGCAGGCTGTACAGGAAGCATGGCCCCGGCCTCTGGTGAGGGCTTCAGGAAGCTTCCACTCATTGCAGAAGGGGAAAAGGGAGCAGGTGCATGACGCTCACATGGCAAGAGAGAAAGGAAGAGAGAGAGGGGATGGAGGTGCCAGGCTCTTTTTAAACAGTCAGTTCTCATGAGAACTGATAGAACGAGAACTTACTCATTACCTTGGGCGTGGCACCAAGCACCCCATGACCCAAACACCTTCCATCAGGCCCCACCCTCAACACTGGGGATCCAATTTCAACCTGGGATTTGGAGAGGACAAATATCCAAAGTATAACAACTGCTATGAACATAATCATACGTGTTTCCTGTTGCACATGTCCATACTTACTAAATATGTCCTGTGATCTAATAGAGTGAGTCCCTACAGTTTGTTCTTCTCCAGGAGTGTTTTGACTTTTGAGTCTTTGTACTTCCTCATGGTGTAAGAAAGGATTTGTCAAATCCATTTTTTTTTTGACTTTAAGAATGTTTTGTTGGGATTGTATTGAATCTATAAAGTAACTTGGGAAAAACTGACATCTTTAGGATGTTTAATCATCCTATCCATGAACATGATATATCTCTCCATTTATTTAAATCTTCCTTACTGTCTCCCAAATTGTATAATTTGTAAATTGTCATAAAGGTTTTATATTTCTATTATTAGATTGATTTCTAGGGTTTTTTTTGTTGCTAGAGGAAATGGTGAAGGGTTGCTGTTATGTCTTTTATTTGTTGCTGGTATATAAAAAGATACATAAGTTTTCTGCATAGATTTTTAAATTCTAGCCACCTTGCTAAACATTCTTAGTAATCCTAATAGTTGTACTACTCTTGTGGATTTTCTATGTACACAGTTATATTATCTGCAAATAATGAAAGTTTCATTTATTTTTGAATCAAATTATTGTATTTATCTTATTTTTACTGGCAAAGGCCTTTGGTAAAATACTGAATAGAAAAGGTGATAGCAAGCATTTACTGCATCTGTATTTAAAATCACTGGTCCTGACTTTAAACAATCCTAACTTTTGATCATCATCATCATCAAAAATAATGATTGTTTAGATTTTTGGTAGATACAGTTGGTCTCATATTCAAAGTTTATTAAGAAGTTTCATCATAAGTGGTTTTTGAATTTTATCAAATGAATTCTATGCACATATTTAAATGATCTTTCAATCTTTTAACATGATAAATTATATGATCAGTATTCTAAGGTTAAACCACCCTTGCATTCCTTGGAATAAACCCAACTTGATCATGGTGTCTTTTTTTCTAAACTGTTAGATTTGGTTTGCTAATATTTCTTCTAGGATTCTTGTAGCTACACAAGTGAATAATATGGGCTTGTGTTCTCCCTTTTTTTCTCTCTTTCTTGTACTATATTTATGACTTTATTATCAAGATTATTTGCCTTATAGAATGAGTTAGGAAATGATTCTTCTATTTCCTAGGAGAGTTTATGTAAAATTATCATGATTTCTTCCTAGAATATTTCATTGAACTCATCTTTAAGATTGTCTGGGCTTTGTAATTTCTTTATGGCAAGTTTTTAATCACTGGCTCAATTTCATAATTGGTTATAAGGTATCTCTGCTTTTTATTTTTACTTAAATAAGTATTGGTAATTTATATGATTTAGAAAATTGTCCATTTCGTCTATATTTTTAAGTTATTATAATCTCCTTTTGTGTTTTCAGTCTCTGCTGTTTCTAAAGTTATGTATACCTTTGAGTTCCCAATGCCATTTATTTTTGCCTTCTACACCTTTTACTTGGCCAGTCTGATCAGAGATTTGTCTATTTTACTAGACTTTTCAAAAAACAACTTTTGCCTTTATTGATTCTCACTGTGGTTGACTTGTTTTATATTTTATTAATTTATACAATGATCTTTGTTGCCTATTTCCCGTGAATTAATTCTGTTGTTCATTTCCTAATGTCTTCAGTTGAATATTCTAAACATTAATGTTCAGACTTTCTTGTTTTCTAATATATGCATTTAGGCATATAAATTTTTCTTACTTTCTATATGCCCTTTAATTTTTATATTTAGAATTTCAATATCACTCAGTCCTAAGTACTATCAAATTTCCATTATGGTTTCTTCTTTGACATTTAGAAGTGTGGTCATATATTCCAAAACGAGGTAATTTTTAAGTTCATCTTTTCTTATTGTTTTCCGTCCTGTGCATGCAAAGCTCACGATTATATCAATTCATACACAGAATCTGGAAATCCTCTTCTCCAGTTCTCTCCTCTGTGAGATCCACCCCTCCCCCCGGTCGGCCCCCACTTTCAGCTCCCGGGCCTCCTTTTCTGATACTTCTTTCTCTAAAGCCAAGACTTGCTCAGCATTTGAGCCACCTGGGCTGCTGCATTGTTTTACACAATCGGGGCCACTCTTAGGGTAAAGCAGTCAGAGGAAAGAGGAAAATGCAGCCACAAACTCTGGTCCCTGGAATTCCCCTTTCCCAATACTCGGTCCAAAAAGACAGGCTCTCTCTCAGTTTTTGGCACCTGTGTCACCGCTGCACTGCAGAGCAGCTGAGGACAAAGGCTGCACTCAGGGCTGGTGGGGAAGTCCTCACACTCAATTAACGGGGATTCCCACTCCCGTCTCTGACTCACAGCAGCACCTTTTCCTGGTCCTCCGGTTAGAAAGGCAGGGTTTCTCTCTGAGATTTTCTTGCCAGCACTTGTTCTGCATTGGGGCCCCAGTTCTACACTGGGGCCACTCTCAGGTTAAAGCCAGAAAATAAAAGAGGAAGGCAGAAAAATTTATCCTCAGACGATTCATTCCTCAAGTTTTGACTCCCTTCTCCAATCGTCCTGCTATTGTGAACTTTCTAGAGTCTTCAGGTGGTTTCATTTTGTACATTGTCCAGAGGCCTCAACTATACTTGGTGGGAAGGAATAGGCGTGTTATTCCCTCTTCACCAGCCCCAGAAGGCTCATCTCTTGCTTTTATTGAACTCAGGTTTAATTCAAATTATGAATTTTGTACTTTTCCAGCATTGTATTATATTTTAGCTGAGGGTCCTTCATCTGCAGACAGACATGACGCTGGAAGCAGTAATCTCCCACTTTCTTTTCTAATGACTCACAAGCAATCTTTTTATTTAACATTAATAATACATTTCAGACATGGCCAATGAACGATATTAAGCTGTTTCTGTATGGTTCTCTAAGTCTACTCTTTTCACTTAACCATAAGTACTTGCTGGGAACCTCCAATGTTGAAGCACTGTGCTAAATGCTAAGGAATATGGAAATAAGACCAATAGATCCTCAGGGCATTCACAATTCAGCAAGGAAAACAGACACATATAACTGCTGTAAAACACTCTGATAAGTGCTGTGATAGGTCACTGAAGTGTTATGGTGGCCTGGAACTCGATAGTTCCAGCAAGAGACTGGTTGGTCACAATGTGCTTTGGAAAGGAGACCACACATTAGTTAGCTCTTGAAAGATGAGCAGCATTTTACTATGGGAAGGGCATTCAAGATAAAGGAGAGGACAAGCACTGTCACAAAAATAGAAATGCAAATGGCAACTACCATTAACAACAATGCATTATATACCCAAAAATTGCTAAGAGTAGATTTTAAATGTTCTCACAACAAAAAAATAAGTGTGTGAGGTAATGGCTATGTTAATTAGCTAGACTTAGCCTTTTCACAACATACACGTATATCAAAATATCATGTACACCATCAATATGTATAATTTTTACTTGTCAAATACATAAAACGAAAGGTAAGACATTTTGTAATTTTCCAGCATTGTGTTATATCTTAGCTAAGGGTCCTTCATATGCAGACTGACATGATGATGGAAGCAGAAATCTCCCACTTTCTTTTCTAATGACTCACAAGCCATCTTTTTATTTAATAATAAATTCAGACATGGCCAACGAACAATATTAAGCTGTTTCTGTATAGTTCCCCAAGTCCACTCTTTTCACTTAGCAAGTACTTATTGGGAACCTCCAATATTGAAGCACTGTGCAAATGCTAAGGAATATGGAAATAAACAAGACAAATAGATCCTCAAGGCATTCACAATACAATAAGAAAAACAGACACCTATGACTGCATGCTCAAAGGAGATCAAGATCAGGTTTTCCACGTTTTGCTCTTCACCAAATGAAGCATCTCTTTTTCCAGAAAGTACTTTACTCACAAAATAACCTAGTTCTGGGAGCCTTTATGATGATGTCCCTGATATGGAACATAAACACCACACACACACACACACACACACAGAGATGTCATCTTGGCAGTTCTGCCTTGCTTATGAGGCTAACTCAGTTGGTTTTATTTTGCTACTTTTCCAAATTCAGTAAAACATCACAGTTTTAAAGACTGGACTGGGACCTAAGTCAATACGTAAGACAGGAATTTTTCTGAAGAAAATTATCAATTTACCCCAGAAATACTTTTTAATATTTTACTGATAGGCAAACATTAATATTCTTTTTTATCCTTTTTTAAATGAGTTCTGATATAAAAATGAATAAAAATTGGAAAAGCATCCATGAGCATTTACTTAAATCTTACTTATTACATAAATTAAATACTCCTCTTCAAATGGCACTACGGAAAGGTATTTTCCTCTCCCTATAGAAGTCAGTAAGTGTATTGAGTTTGCTGCCATAACAAAGTACCACAGACTGAGTGGCTTAAACATCAGAAATTTATTTTCTCACAAGGCTGGATGGTAGATGTCTGAGAACAAAATGTGAACAGGGCTGGTTCTTCTGAGACCCCTCTCCTTGGCTTGTAGATGGCCATCTCCTCCCTCTGTTCACATAATCTTTCCTCTGTGTGTGTCTGTGTCCTAATTTCCTCTTCTTATAAGGACATCAATTATATTGGACTAGGGCCCACCAGTATGACCTTATTTTAATTTGATTAACTCTTTAAAGATCCCATCTCAAACATGTCACATTCTGAAATACCGGAGATTAGGACTTCAGCATATGAATGTGGGGGTGGGGGTGCACAATTCAGCCCATAATAGTACACTTAAGACAACCTACACAAACCAAGCCAATATTATTAATATTTCCCCCAACAAACAGACCCACCACATATTTTGGATCACTTTGTTTTATTGATTAAATAAAACCATGATATATTCATATAATGGAATAGTATAATTGCCATAAAATGGAATAACCTTAAAATCATGCTGGAGAAAAACATTTATATTTACCTATGTAGTTACTTTTTCCAGTGTTCTTTATTTCTTCATGTGGATTTGAGTTACGGTCTAGTCTATGGCCATACCACCCTGAACACACCTGTTCTCATCTGAGTTACTATCTAGTGTCTTTTTATTTTAGTCTGAAGGACTCCGTTTATTATTTCTTGGAGTACAAGTCTGCTAGCAACAAAGTCTCTCCATTTTTGTTCATGGAATGGCTTCATTTCTCCTTCATTTGTGAAGGATAATTTTGCTGGATATGGAATCTTGGTTGCCAGTCTTTTTCTTTCAGTGCTTTTAATAATGTCTTCTCATGGCCTTCTGGCTTCCATGGTTTCTAATGAGGAATAAGCTATTAATATCATTGAAAATCACTTGCATGTAATGAGTTGTTTATCTTTTGCTGCCTTCAAGATTCTACCTTCATCGTCATGTTTCAACAGTTTGATTATGATGTGTCTCAGTGTGAATCTCTTTGGGTTCACCTTACTTGTGGTTTGTTAAGTTTTTTAGATGTATAGATTAATGGTTTTCATTGAACTAAAGACTTTCCAGTCATTACGTCTTCACATAATCCTTCTGCTATTTTCTCTTTATACTCTCCTTCTGGAGCTCCTATTATGCGTACGTTGGTATGCTTGCTCTGTCCCACAGGTCTCTGAGGCACTGTTCATTTTTCTCCATTCTTTTTTCTTTCTATACCTCAATAATTTCAACTGACCTATATTCAGGCTCACTGATTCTCTTCTGCCAGCTCAAATCTGTTAAGTTCCTGTAGTAATTCTTTTCTTTCATTTATTATACTTTTTACTTCAGAATTTATGTTGGGATTTTACATGTAACTTATTTTTATTATTGATATTCTTTATTTGGGGAAACAGTGTTTCCCTAATTTCCTTTTGTTCTTTAGACATGGCTTCTTTTAGTTCTTTGAACATATTTCAAATAGCTGATTTAAAGTCTTTCTCTAGTGAATCCAATGCCTAGGCTTCCTCAAGGACAGTTTCTATTGACTGCTTGCCTTCCTGTGTATGGGACATACTTTCTTATTTCTTTGCATGTGTCATAAATTTTTGTTGAAAACAGGCATTTTAAGTAATATAATGTAGTAACCCTGAAAATCAGATTCTCCCTCCTTTTCAGAGTTTTTTGTTGCCATTGCTATTTGTTTTTTAGTAACTTTCCTGAGCTAATTTTGTAAGGTCTGTACTTTTTGTGTATATGGCCACTAAAGTCTCTGCTCAGTTAATTTAGTGATCAGCTAATAATTAGACAGATTCTCTTAAGAGCCAGTAACCAAAAATCTCCCAGTCTTTGTCAAGGGTCTCTATGCACATGGTGGGACGTGCCTTCAACATTCAGTCAGGCACTTTACAACTGCATTAACCTTCACCTCCTACTTGCACAGAGACTCGGTGTCAACCAGAAGTGAGAGCTCAGGGCCTTCTCTGGTTTTTCTTGGGCATGTGCACAGCCTTACACATGCATGTGGTCTTCTAGTTTCTCAGGAATATGTCAGAGCTTTCCAAAGCTCCCTGTGAACCTCTTTCCCCAGAATTTCTTTTTGTTCTTTGATTAGCTTGCTATTTTCCCCAACTGTTATCACAGCCCTATTTTCTAGCCACTTTACCATAAACATGTACTTCCTTGGTGGAAAAAGAGTTATTGGATCACCTTTTCCTCTTGACTTCCTGTTTGTTTCTCATTCTGAGCCCACATATCACTGCCATCACCTGTCTTCACCCCACCCTCAAGCACAGATAAAGAAAATAATTCAGAAGAGAAACGTTGTTTGAGAAGTAAAATCAAATCAGTGTTGACCTTTTTTTTCCTAATACCTAAAAGCCCTGCAATGTTTGTTTTAGAGGCATAAAGGCGGGGCTTCTGTGGGTCATTCAGGGAAACATTGAAAAAGGGTCACATTTCGGTTTTGAGATTAAGAGGAAGAGCACAGAGCTGGCGTGAGGGCTGGTGCTGGCTCAGGCTCTGACAGCTGTAGCTGAGTCAACCACATAGGTCCCTGGCACCCCAGTTTCTTCTTCTAGACACAAGGAGCAAATGCAGTGCTGCAGGAATGTTGTGTAGCTCTGGATCCTTCTGTGTAAACATTCACAGGTATTCTCTTCTCCCTAATCCACCTGCATTCAGCACAAAGCAGCTGCGTAATACTTATTGGTGGTCCTAACAGATGACATACTGACTGGCTGGCTGGCTGCTCTCCTGAATGGACACAGGGCCACAGTATTATATTCATGAGTCCCTGGTGAGCTTGCCTTTGTAAGCCCCTTGCCCCATTAAAAAAATGTTTTAAGTTATATTTTACAACTGTGTTGGCATAAAGATAAATATATTACCATTCCATCTAAAAGTTTATCTTTTTCTGATTTTAAAAGAGTTAAAACATTTTCACGGGCCTCTAAAAGTATCATGGGCCATAGACACCACGCCTTTTTGCCTAATGGAGAAGTCAGCCCTGGATTAATGACTGAATGAATGTTTTCATTTCCTGAGAATTTGTATAAAAGATTTCTTTGACCTCAGAAAAAAATTTTAAAAAACCACACGTGTCATTTCTCATATCTTATGCCACACTTGTTGCCTATTTTTATTTTCCAAGGAGGTGGCTGGACTTTTCCTCATTCTGCCATTTCATATTTAAGAGAAAGCTACTTCCTGACTCCAGGGCTGCTGGTAGCTCACGTGGTGCTTTTATGCAAATTACAAAAAGGCTTCTTATCTTTAAGAAAAGGGAAAAGTGGCCAGGAGCAGTGGCTCACGCCTGTAATCCCAACACTTTGGGAGGCTGAGGCAGGCGGATTGCCTGAGCTCAGGAGTTCATAAACAGCCTGGGCAACACGATGAAACTCCGTCTCTACTAAAATACAAAAAAAAATTAGTCGGACATGGCGGTGTGCACCTGTAGTCCCAGCTGCTCAGAAGTCTGAGACAGGAGAATTGCTTGAATCCTGAAGGTGGAGGTCGCAGTGAGCCGAGATCGCACCACTGCACTCCAGCCTGGGCGACACAGCGAGACTCCATCTCAAAGAAAAAAAAAAAAAAGAAGGGGGAAAAGCTTTTAAAGTAGTTATGATTGCACAGTCTGAGCAACTATGACCACTGGGCCTAAGTAAAGTGCAAATTCAGGTGGGTGACCCTTCCAACTGCATCTGGAGCCACAGTCATGGCCTGTGTGTTAATGGCAGGTGGGAGGGTAACACTGATCTGTGGCCTCTAGCTTAAAAGCAGCCTAAGTGTAGTTCCATATATGAAATTTCATTCTAAGTCTGTGGCCAAAGAGCTCAAATCCCATTAGAACCCAGGCTAAACCTCCAAGAGCAGTAGGAGGCCAGAGTCATGGCTTCAGGGTTCTCCCAGAGCAGAGTGGACCAGACATAGCCATGCACATGCGAAAACTTGTGTGCATTTGCACACTTGATTTCCTTTGCATGTGCATGGCCATGCAGGCAAATGTGGCTTGATGTGGGCCAGGACTCTCTCATTGTTCCCCAGGACTCCCTTAAGAGGCCTGGAATCTCCATGGCACATTAGCATGTGTCTACAACATGAATGACACCTACTAAGTGTGGCATCGTATGCAGGTCAGTCTCAACAGCTGCATGCAGTACTCCTCCTGGCTCTCTGTGACTCCTTGGCCATGGAAAGCCCACACTTACATATGCTAAAGCCTCCATTCTTCTCTCTGCAGGGATGACATGCCAAGCTCGAAGCTCCTACATCACCAGTGAGATCCTGTGGGGTTACCGGTTCACACCTGTCCTGACCCTGGAGGACGGGTTCTACGAAGTTGACTACAACAGCTTCCATGAGACCTATGAGACCAGCACCCCATCCCTTAGTGCCAAAGAGCTGGCCGAGTTAGCCAGCAGGGCAGAGCTGCCCCTGAGTTGGTCTGTATCCAGCAAACTCAACCAACATGCAGAACTGGAGACTGAAGAGGAAGAAAAGAACCTCGAAGAGCAAACAGAAAGAAATGGTGATGTGGCAAACCTGGAGAATGAATCCAAAGTTTAGTGCCCTAGCTGGGCAAACCCTTCTCTTCTCCCCCCAACACAATCTTTCCTTGTCTCTCATTCTCTTTCTTTTTCTGTCTCTCTTGCTTTGTTCTTTATTTGTTTATATTTAATTTTTACATGACCAGAAAACAAATCTTCAAGGTGTAAAATATCTACCTGCCCTCTCTCAGTTATTCAGATTGACAAGGTAGACATGGATTTGATGAAAGTGCAAAGTGCCCTCATTTGTGGCCCAAGCCTGGTCTCCTCCCAAAATACTACACATCCAACTCCTGGAGATTTCAGTTACTTACCTGCATGTGTTGTACAATACCAGATCACTCAAAAAGGTGTGTCAAAGATTTTACCTGGGATATGACAAGCAAGGTTTCTGGTGCCTATTTATTCATTCAGTGAGACACAGAGTGGAGCCCTCAGTTTTATGGATCCCAATTCATTTCATCTACTACAGGGTGAGGTGCTTGCCCCCATGTGGGTGTGGCAGTTACAGGGCCCAGGTGAGCTGAAGACAAACCACTGTACATATATATGCCTTATGTAATTATTTTCTTTTTGTAATTAGTAATAAAACCCAGCATGTACAAAAGTACCATAGAACAGAACTGCTAAATACTGTACATAGATGTATCATTAATGTAGGTTTAGATATATAACTTTAGAAATAAGAAGCAAAAAAAAAAAGAAAGAAAGAAAGATTCCTAACATGCAGTAGGCATTTCTGTTTTGATGTCTGTGTTTTCCAGGTTATTTTGATCCAGTTGACGGCTGGCCCTTCAGTGCATGGCCTTTGTTTGTGTCTCAGACTGGCAGACGTTAGGGTACCTCACTGTTCCCACACGGATCCTTTCATTGAATCCAACAAGCCATAGGTCTGGGGGAAATTGAGAGGTCTGGTAGATGGCAAAACCCACCACCAATATGCTGATATACTGTGAAATGTTACAAAACAGATGTCTTTTTTTAAAAGATAACAAGGGCCTCACTAACTGGCCTGGAGGAGGGGGAATACCAGGAAGGAAATATTCTCTAGCCTGTCACCAAAGGTATGTTTTTACTTTTCACATGAGCTCTTGCCCTTTGTAGTACAATAATTTAGGAAACTTTTCTGCAAAACCATTGATTCTCCAGCTGTAGTTTCTCTACACTCTTACAATGAGACATGGTAAGTTAGCAGAAGATGGTTTGGGTCTAAAGCCGTGAAATTCACAAAGGCATGTAGTGAGTGGCATGCATTATAATCATCGACCTCTCACTTTGACTCTATCTGGCTTTCTGAGAATGACATCTCGCCTGTCCCTGGGGCTTATCCATCAGCATTTCTTGCATTGTGATCTTTTATTATTTTGAAATGACCAGAGTTCAGTATTCAAAGATTAGATCAACAATCTTGATGATTGTCTAAGAAATGTCTCTAGAGTATGCCACAGGCTAGAAATCAAATCCAGTGTCTGTCAATCAAAAGAAAACAAATAAAAAAATTCCAGCCTTAATTCACTTTAATCTGCAAAAAGGAAAGAAGGGAGGAAGGGAGGGAGGAAGGAAGGAAGGAAGGAAGGGTATTTGTACTGGAAATCTGAATTTTAAAATGAAAAAAATAAGGAAACAAATCTTAGATCAAACCTCCGGGGCAGGTGGAGATTTTGCACTGTTACAGATCTTTCACATTCACTTTGCATTTATAAGCTGTTTGTTCTTTAACACAGTTGCCCATCATAAATATTCATTGAATGGATCCAAGTTTATTTTCAGCTCCTACAGCTGTGCTCAGTTTGAGGCTCTGCACCATGGAGGTCAAAGAGATCAAACTAGCTGTCCCTCTTTGTTTCCCTTGCCTTCCCTGACCTGATCGCACAGGCCTTTGGTGTAGTCTGGGGACCTTGTCTACTAAAAAAGAAGTCCCAGGATAAGGAAAGTGGCTCCTAAATATAACCTCGGGGCCTCTCTTCTCCCATCTCAGAGACCTTGGATCAGGACAACTGCCTCTTGGCACTGACTTTAAGGAAAACAAAACTGTTGGCTATAGCCCTTTCCTGTTTGCCAGCATTTCCTTTTTTGCATTGAATCTCTGTTGAATCATTTCTTTATTTCGCACACTCTAAGAAGGAGGTGGTGGTCCGGGAGGAGGAAGCTCGATACACTCCCCTTGAGGCTGCGGGGAGGAGCCATGGCTTGACCTCTCTGCAGCCTAATGAAGGGCACTCTTGGCTTGGGGAGCTCCCCTGCAACCTTGCCAGGGTCGCAGGGCAGGCCATGGCAGGCACAAAACAAGATGGAATAGGGGCGGCAAAATGTCTTCTAATTTAGCTCTTGAAGACTCACTGGGCCTTTTTAATTCCATTGCTAAGGTTTAAAGGACAGCGCACACCCCCGTGTCTGGTTGGAAGAGCAAGCAGCTCAGGGCCTCATCCCTGCTTGCCTGCCCTTTAGCACAACTGAACGAAGAGCCTTGACAACACGTTGGCCACGTGCACCTGTCAGTTCTGTGTCTGTGACGGGCACCCAGATGTGAGGTCTCTCCCTGTTTCTCACTGTCTTTGTTGTCAATGTAGTTGGAGACAGAACTTGAACCAAATCTCGTTTTTGTAATGTGAGCCTCTGAATCTTTACATGGGGATGCTCCTGAAGAACCTTTTACTAGAATGTCCCTATCAAACATGTCTATTTTTCTACAGTTGTTAACACAGTTTAACAGTGTATTTTGTGTCAACTGTTAAAATTTGGAACTGAAAGTTCATTGAGACTGATTTTCTAAGCAGCGAGTAGTGAGTGAATGGTGTTTTCCATTAAGACAGCTCAACAAAATTGACCCCACAATTTCCACTCATTCTATTCCGCAATATCCAGTCCTCATTCCCTCAGTCACTCCATTAGCAAACCAAGTGCAATGAGAATTTTTTAAAAGTCTCTTTTAATACAACAGTATCCATAACTAATGAAGATCACTCTCAACTAGATCCTTTGGTCTGTTTGGTTAATGTATTTGAGTCATTTTTCCATAAAGCATGGTGGGATCCGTGAGCCAGATAAGAATTTGGAATTTAAGGGTTATGGTTTGCCACAGTTGACCCCAATTTGACAGAACAAAGTGCTCCTGGATGGAAGGGCAGGTTCAGCTGCAAGCATGACCCCCCACCACAAGGCTGCTGAGTTCCTCGGATTCTCACCTCCACCCACCCCAACGTGCTCTCCAACTGGAAGAGCACCCATTCATTTATAAATCAACTTTATGGAACCAATAAAATCATTTCTGTTTTAGCTGTCCCCTGGGTAAGCTATACTCTTTTACATTAACATAGCAAATGTCAACTTTTCTGTTCCTTCAAACATGGCCTTCCAGCCTGGTTGTTCCAGCATATATCCCCTCTATGTCCATGAGGCAGAACTCTCTCTTCCCCCACTCCGTTCTTCCATCTATCCCCATCCTTTGCTGTTTCCCTGGTTCTCCAGTTCCAATTCTATTGTTTTAGTTCAGTACCTTATGTTCCCTAACAGAAATCCAGCTGCAAATGTCAACCTATTTCTTAAGCACAATTTTCTCTTGCAGGTCTAACCAAGCTAGGGCTCTGAAATGTCTATTTTTCACTGCACTCCAATTTAAAAATTATTCATGACTTCATTTAATAGTCTAAATTTTGAATTCTCCAGAGCAACATTCTTATGCTTTCCATCCCTACATTTTCTTACATTTCAGTTTTCTTACTTTTTTCCCCTTTGCTTTTTTATTTAGATTTAAGCCAGTGTCTTTGGGATATTTAGAAACTGCTTACAAAGGTGGGAACTGGTGGACAGAGAAAGGGGGCATAAGAATGCTATTAGAAAACTACCTGAACTCACCAGAAGAATGGGAAATCATTTGATTTGCTGAGAGAATACAATTAAAATACTCATAGTAAATCATTTCCAAAACAGTTTGCTAATAGTCTGGCTACTCTTCAGTCTTTCTTTCCTTGACTTGGGTGATACTCTGTATGATTTAAAAATGTCAGGAAGGTAGTTGAAAGTTCAGTGTCCTCTATATATTGTAAACATTATCTTCAAGGATGATTTCCTTTCAATGGATGGCTTTAACATTGAAAAACATAGGTAACATATACATAATAGATGATTCATTGATATTACTTTACAATACACTAAAATAACATTATCTTGTTTCTGAACTTTATGGCCAACCGGTATCTAAGAAAATGTTAGCCTTTAATTTAAAATTGAGTAAAGCACGCCTCTTCCTAATATTTCTGCCTTTAATGTCTTGAGTGCTTTAGATGCAGAGTGTCATCTAGAAGTCAAAATTCTGTCAGAAGGCTGCTAAGAGATTTTGATAAATCACAGAATATATAATAATAACCCAACAATATTTTACCCAACATGGTGTGGTGTTTGAGAGCATTAAGAGCACTTGTACAAATTATCTTATTTCATTCTAATTCACCATGAGAGGTTGAGTATTATAATTTACATTTTATAGAGGGAAAACTAGGGTTTGGGCAAATTGGCCAAGTTTAAAGGCCAGTGAATCATAGCTCCTTGTCTCAAATCCAGGTCACAGGGCCCTAAGCTGTGGGCTATTTTTACTACAAAAAATTTCAGCAAACCAAATCTGCTAAAAAAAAAAAAATCTGGCCTGCTGCCTGTTATTGTACCACTTGTGAGCTAAGAGCAATTTTTACATTTTTTAATAATTGGGGGAAAAAAAAGAAAAGAAGAATATTTTGAGACATGTGAAAATCATCCTAAATTCAAATTTCAATGTCCACAAACAAAGTTTTATTGGAACACAGCCACAGCCATTTGTCTGTGTATTGCCTATGGCTGCTTCCACATGCACTCACAGAGCTGAGTAATTACAACAGAGACCGTGTGGCCAGCAAAGATTGAAATATTTACTATCTGGCCCTGTATAAAAAAAGTTTGCTGACCCCTGTACTGTACTGTTAAGTACTATTGGTACTATTAAGTACTAGTAATAGTACTATTAATAATAGTATGTAAGAGTACTAAGTACTATGAAATATTGTACTGTACTCTTAAGAGAGTCCTAGGCAATATAGAAGAATGACTTTTTTTCTAGCATAAATTATTGAAGTCACTCATAAGTCTGTTCAAAATAACATAACTCTTTTTTTTCGGTTGTCAAAGAGACAACTGCTTCACAAGACTTAGAGAGCCCAGTCATTCAGTTAGGGTCTCAAAGGAAGAATCCTTCCTTTTCATGCCATTCCTCCAGAGTGGCAAATAGAGTCAACAGCCAGCCAGGATCTAGCGGTCAACTCAGAAAGTGGATACAGTAAAATTACTCCTTAATGAACTACAGAGAAATGGGCATTCCCAGCCCAGCCGCTGAAATATTGCTTCAGTGGCACCCTCAGGCGTTGGATGATGTACATAGCTCAGGCTGCCAGTCTCTGCTCAGCAAAGCAGCCCAGACCTGCAGTGGTTGCCACACATCAAACCCGCCTCGCTCCTCCACATGGCTTCTCTCTTAGGCTCTCTTGGAGGAGAGTTAAATAGGTGGCCCAGATGTCTCCCTCTGTTTTCTTGCTAGTTTTCTCTAGCCTACAGTTTACAACTGATCAAGGTGATGAACGTGAACCTGGAACTAGCTCATGTTTAATTGCGCTAGTTTTTGCTCTCTCTAGCCACTAAGCTAGAAGTTTAATGTGTAATTAAAGAACTAAATGCTTCTTATGGAAAACCAAAAGGTCCTTTGAAAAGAGCTCAGGGAGACACGGAAGTATAGTAAAGGGTTGTTGGATTTCTTGCGCTTTCTGAGTCTGAAGCAAAGACAAAGATTGGTAATTACAGACATAATGGATGGAAAAAGTCCAGACCTTGGGGTTTTTAGATGAGTCAATATTAAATGGCATTCTTTGTGTCACTAAGCTGAACTCCCTTGTCTTCTAAGGAAGCATTTCTAATGCCAGAGGTAGTCAGCCAAGCTAGGTTCCTTATCTTTTTAGTTCTATGGAAAAACATATCAAGTTCTCTTATGAGTGCTTTCCTGGAAATCAGATGAGAAAGAAAAAAAAGTAACAATGTAACAAATCATTGTGATGTTGTTATATTGTCGACAGATAAAGGATGGATTTGATCCTGCGTCTGAAACTAAGTAGGTAATGGTATCTACAATATAGATCATGCAAAAAGCTTGTGACCCTTCAACTGCATGGAAGAGTGGGAGGAAACAACTAAGTGGGAGGAAACAAATCTCAAAGTTCAACACCATAAAACTTAAATAAATGTAAAAGGAGTCAAACTTTTACTTGGCCTCATTGCCTTGGTAAAAGAAAGCTTCATGTATCCACCTAATTCAATAAGAGAGTCCTAGGAAAAGGAAGGCAAAATACTTTAAAGGCACACAAAAATATTTCACTGGGGTGGTCAACATGATTAAGTGATGGAGATTAGATTTATCACTGATGAAAACAGTATTTATAGAGTTATTTTTAGACACTATACCCCCTAGATGCAAATCCCAACATGCACTGTGGTTGGCCGGAGAATTGTGGCCACATAGTAAACAGATCTTGATTTCAGAGAATGAAATGTTCCTACCGACTTTGTGTAATTGCCCATTTCAAGATTAAGGCTCAGTGCCCATTGTTTTAACACCGATCATCAATACTGTGATATCAACTAAGCCAATCTTTATAAGAATATGAAGGGCTGTTTTTCTCAGGCAATGTAAATATCTGCTACCAACAAGCACTAGTGAAATAAACATGTAATCATCATCGTTTCTAAAACTCTGATAGAAATCACAAAACATTCAAGCAAAAGGGCAAGGTCTTCCAGGAGCCTAGGAGCAGACTTTTGGCTACAAAGAGCCTAGTCCAGGCTGAATGCCTTATGGAGTATGTCAGTCTTGGGTCTTATCACTAAACACAACTAGTAGAACTCGATCAACTGGAGTGCAGAGATCAGAGTTTCGGTCAGCCGTGCATTACCCAAACCTCTGGGTCTTCAGCCAGTCTTCTTAGAAGAGGGGAAGGAGCACTGTCCTCAGATCCGGCCATCACGGGCATCGCCCTGACATCATCTCTCAGCATTGCTGACTGTGGGCATGGGTATGAGAAATACCCTCCCGTAGCTCAGACTTGGGCAGAACAAAATCCTCAGCCATGCCCACCCACTGAGGTCTCTCTAGGGGAGCTTCTCCCTGCAGGGTCTGGCTCTTGCCCATCTGGACAATGACCCCCTAGAAGTATCTTCCGGGGGACCCTGTATCTTTCAAGCTTAACTTGCCCCACACCCTTGACCCCACAGAGCACCTCCCTGGGTCAGGAATGATGACTAAATTAAGACCTTTAGCATCTGCTAAGCACAGGGGTGCCCTCCCATGTGAAAGTCCAAGTAAAATAAATGGAGTCAGGGTAAGGAAATCCCCAAAAGTTCTGATTTTCTCATGGTGATGATCTCAGTGCTTTTCTTTTTCATGACATATCTAATTCTCTTTTCTCTAGGAAGTCTCACGTTTTGGTATCACGATGCCGTGGGCACAGACTCAGTCATCGGGCCAATGGCAGAACTCTCTCCAGATAGTCTGACCTGGTCCCTCTTTTTGAGTAAGGCTGGGAGTTTGGTTTGTTTGAGCCACCCCACAACCAATAGAATCCCACCCTGGCTAAGAAATCTCACAAGGCCGGGTGCTGTGGCTCACACCTGTAATCTCAGCACTTTGGGAGGCCAAGGTGGCAGATCACCTGAGGCCAGGAGTTTGAGACCAGCCTGGCCAATATGGTAATACCCCGCCTCTACTAAAAATATGAAAAAGTTAGCTGGGCATGGTAGTTCCTGCCTGTACACCCAGCTACTCTGGAGGCTGAGGCACAAGAATAGCTTAAACTTGGGAGGGGGAGGTTGCAGTAAGCTGAGATCATGCCACTGCACTCCAGCCTGGGCCACGGAGCGAGACTCAGTCTCAAAAAAAGAAAGAAAAGAAGGAAGGAAGGAAGGAAGGAAGGAAGGAAGGAAGGAAGGAAGGAAGGAAAAAAGATAAAGAAAGAAGGAAGGAAGGAAGGAAAGAAAGAAGGAAGGAAGGAAGAAGGAAAGAAAGAAAGAAAAGAAAGAAAGAAAAAGAAAGAAAAGAAAAGAAAAGAAAAGAAAAGAAAGAAAGAAAGAAAGAAAGAAAGAAAGAAAGAAAGAAAGAGAAAAGAAAGAGAAAGAAAGAAAGAGAAAAGAAATCGCACATCCCCACCTCTATCAGGGTCACCAAATGAAGGCATCAATTTCAAGTCCCGTTATTATCTGCAAGGAACTCTGCATTGCAGCACTTACAGACACAACTTATGCTGTCTCCTGGTGCCCACACAGCTTTCGGGTGATGGCAGATTGTCAGCCAACCATTCCCCCCAGCTGCTCTCTCTTAATTTGCTCCCTCATCTCACCACGAAAACTTCACTTTTCCTGGCACCCCCGTTGGAAGGTTAATATCATTTTTGAGCATCCACAATCCAGCAACCTATTATTGGGGTTAGTCCTATTCCTTACCACTTAATAGCCACCACCAATTTTAACCGAGCGTATATGTTCAGAGTCTAACCATATATATATATATATATATATATATGTACATTTTGTTCCTGCTTCATAATTGCCCAGAGAGTCTATGAGTGATGGTTGGGCGTATACATGGTCTCAGCCCGGTAACTGACGAGAGCAGCATAAAGTTAGGTCTTGTGCTGAAAGGACAGCTGGACTGGTCCAGTGGGATCTTCTTGTCCTTTGCAGCATGCCATTAGGGGACCAGCTTGCCAAAGAAGCTCCTGAACATCTTTATTCAGCCCAGTGCTTCCTCGTCTTAACCAAGAGCCACACAGAGACAACAGTGAACTCACAAGTTCATAGGATTCCAAAATGATTGACTCCCCAAGTGTCTGCCTGTGTTGGCAAAGTGCTCTTTCCTTTCCCACTGTCTGCACAGACTGTACTCTGGGGAAACTCCCAGCACTTGTGGGTGCCTGGTTACCGAGGATGTGCTTGGCTGCCATGGTAACTCCCAGCCTCTCAGTGTGGACCACTCTCCCGCAGGCTCGAGGAGACCTGGCAGAGGCCCCATGGGGCGGAGGCTCCCTAGGGCTGCTCCACCTGCAGACAGCCTTGGGAGAACCCAAGGTAATGTGGAGTAGGACCCAGCACACAGGAGCTCCCTCCGCACGCCAGGTCTGGGGTATTCCCATCCTTTCTTCCTAAGATGGGATGCACTTAGGTGGCCAAATTGCTTCTTAAAAGGCTCTTCTTCAAGCCATCATCCTCATATCACACTCATGCCCACACTCCAGTCACATTTGCCTTTAAAAAATTTTCAAAATTATTTTTGTATTATCCCATGTAACAGATGTCCAAAGAGTTGCCATTTTCTTAACACTAAATAAATTCTGCCTAGAAGATTAAGATTGGTCCAGAACAGGGAGTGTTTTAATAAGCACAAATATAAACAAAAGCAATTTTAAAATTTACTTATGGATTCTTTCAGAAAACCTGATTTCAAATCAGAAATACTCATTTTTGCCCCCAGAGCAAAGTTCCAGAATACTATTTCTTCTTGAACTTGCCATTTTCCATCTGGCTTTGAACTTGAGAATAGACTCCCCTATATTGGCATAAAAGGTAAAGTGGAATTTACCACTGAAACTTTCAGAGCTCAATTTAGTCTGGCCCCATGGACCAGGCAAGAATAAACTCTGCTCACCAGTAACAATTCTGCAGCCACCGTACTGAACACAAACCCTGGAGAAATTCTGGACATGGTACTGCTTAAGAATGCTGGGTACTCGGGAGGCTGAGGCAGGAGAATGGCGTGAACCCGGGAAGCGGAGCTTGCAGTGAGCCGAGATTGCGCCACTGCAGTCCGCAGTCCGACCTGGGCGACAGAGCGAGACTCCGTCTCAAAAAAAAAAAAAAAAAAAAAAAAAAGAATGCTGGGAATGTCAGTCGAGGGTCTGATTTCAGAAAGAGGACATTAATATTCAAATCCCTGAACCATGCCCACACTGTGGGAGTCAGGCCTAACAAGATCCCAGGGTCCATAGTTTACCTGGTCAGCTTGCTGTGTCTCATGGGGCATTAGAGGGTAGATGAGAACTTTCCGCAATCTCGACAACTGCACTGTAAGAATTTCTTCTGTGTATTTTCTAATTCTGTGACAACAGGCATCAACAAAACATGTGGCCTGTTATCACATGGTTCCTCCCTGTGTGCACCTTCATAGAGATTTTTTCCTTTTCTAAAAGAATGAGGATTCCTCTGAATGTTACACTATGCAACAATAATGTCCCCAGTCCTTCATAAGTAACACAGTAACAATATAAGCACCCTCTCCCTACATAACACACACACATACACACAAATACACACACAGACACATGCATACACACACACATACACACAGACACATGCATACACACACATACAGAGACATGCGCATACACACACACGCATACATGCACATGCATACACACACCAAGACATGCATACACACACGCATACACAGAGACACATGCATACACACACGTGCATACACACACAGACATATGCATACACACACGCATACAGACATGCATACACACACATGCATACAGAGACACATGCATACACACACGCATACACACACACGCATACACAGAGACATGCATACACACATGCATACAGAGACACATGCATACACGCACACAGACACATGCATACACACACACGCAGACACAGACACATGCATACACACAGAGATACACGCATACTCACACAGACACAGACACATGCATACGCACACACAGATATACACACACACACACACACACACACTCTTATCCTTTCCAATCAGTTATGAGTGACACCACAAAAGTAAATTTCCAGAAATCAAAGCCTTAAGATTGGCGTTCCTCCCCTGCATGCACTGTGGCATTATTTTAAAAATGTACCATACACTTCCCTGAACCTGCAGGCAACAGCCTTTCTTCCAGTGTTTGGTAGGAACCCTGGATTCAGAAGACCAGGTTTTGCCCCCAGATGAGCAATGTCGTCCTGGGTATATCATTTCACTGGTCGGAAATAGCTTCCTCCACCCCTTTTTTAAAAACTTGATAAATTTTATTTTTTAGAGCAGCATTAACTTCACAGCAAAATAGAGCAGAAATTACCAAGAGCTCTCATTTACCCCCGGCCCCCGCATGCATGGCCGCCCCCACGAGTGATATGCCAAACCACAATGGTACATCTGTGGAAATGGATGAGTCTACACTGAGACATTACTATCACCCCAGAGTCCATTGTTTACAATGGTGTTGTACATTCTATGGATTTGGGCAAATGTATAAAGGCATGGATCCACCATTATAGAATCATACAGGATAGTCCCACGGCCCTAAAAATCCTCTGTGCTCTCCCAATTCATCTTGTGTCCTCCCAACCCCTGGCAACCACTGATCTATTTACTGTCTCCATAGTTTTGCCTTTTCCAGAATGGCATATAATTGGACTCATGCAGTACGCAGCCTTATAAAATTGGCTTATTTCACTTAGTAACATGCATTTAAGTTTCCCTCATATCTTTTTATGGCTTGAGAGCTCACTTTTTTAGCACCAAACACTCATCCATTTTCTGGATGTACCACTGTTTATTTATCCATTCACCTACTGAAGGACACCTTGGTTGCTTCCAAGTTTGGTCAGTTATGAATAAAGCCACTATAAATATCTGTATGCAGGTTTTTGTGTGGACATAAGTTTTCAATTCATTTGGGTAAATATGATATGTTAAAGCTATATTTAGTCTTGCAAGACACAGCCAAACTGCCTTCCAAAGTGGCTGTACTGTTTTGCATTCCACTAGCGATGAATGAGGGTTCCCGTTGCTCCATATCTTCACCAGCATTTAGTGTTGTCAATGATCTGCATTTGGGCCATTCTAAAAGATGTACGGTGGTGTTTCATTGCTGTTTTAATTTGCAATTCCCTAATGACATGATTTGGGACATATTTTTATATGCTTGTTTTCCATCTGTACATCTTCTTTGGTGAGGTGTCTGTTCAGGTCTTTTGGGCATTTTTTTAAATCGGGTTGTTTTCTTATTGTTGATTTGTTAAAGTTCTTTGTAAATTTTAGATAATAATTCTTTATCAGATGTGTCTTCTGTAAATATTTTCTCCCAGTCCGTGGCTTGTCTTCTCATTATCTTGACCTTGTCTTTTTCAGAGCAGACGCTTTTAATTTTACTGAAGTTCAGCTTATCATTTACTTCTTTCATGATCATGTCTTTGGTGTTCTATCTAAAAATCTATTGCCATATCCAAGGTCATCTAAGTTTTCTCTTATATGTTACCTTCTAGGAGTTGTATAGTTTTGCATTTTACATTAGATCTGTGACCGATTTTGAGTTAATTTTTGTGAAAAGTGTTTGTTAGGTCTGTATTTAGACTCTTTTTTTTTTTTTTTTTTTTGCCTGTGGATGTGCAAATGTGCAGCTATTTCAACACCGTTTGTTGAAAAGACCCTCTTTGCCGCACTGTTTTGCCTGTGCTCCTTTGCCAAGGATCAGTTAACTATATTTGTGTGGGTCTGTTTCTCAGCTCTCCATTCTGTTCCACTGATCTATTTGTCTATTCCTTCACCAACACCACATCGTCTTGAGTACTGTAGCTTTCTTTCTCCATATAAACTGCAGACTCAGTTTTTTGGTACCAACAAAATAACTTGCTGAGATTTTTATTGGGATTGTATTTAATCTACAGAGGAAGCTGGGAAGTGACATCTTGACAATATTGAGTCCCTCCATGAAATGGAATATCTCTGTATTTACTTAGTTCTTCTTTGATATCATTCACCAGTTTTGTAGTTTTCCTCATGTAGATCTTATACATATTGTTAGATTTATACCTTAAGTACTTCATTTCAAGGGATACTAATTTAAATAATCATGTGCTTTTAATTTCAAATTTCACTTATTCATTGCCGGTATATAGGAAAACAATTGACTTTGTATATTAACTTTGAATCCTAAAATCTTGCTATAATCCCTTATTAGTTCCAGGAAGGTTCTGGGGCTTGTTTTTGTTTTGTTTTTTGGTCAGTTATTTCAGATTTTCTACATAGATGATCATGTCATCTGTAAACAAAGACAAAGTTTTATTTCTTCTTTCTTCCCAATCTATATATTTTTATTTCCTTTCCTTGTCTTATTGCATCAGCCAGGACTTCCAGTATCATGTTGAAAAGCAGTAGTGATGGGGACACCTTTTTTTTCCTGATCTTAGTGAGACAGCTTCAGGTTTCTCACCATCACGCCATTTAGTATGATGTTAGCTGTAAGGTTTTTTTTTTAGATATTGTTTATCAGGTTGAGGGGCTTCTCCTCTATTCCTGCTTTACTGAGTGTTTTTATCATGAAAGACTGTTTGGATTTTTCTGCATCTGTTGATATGATCATGCAATTTTTCTTCTTTTGCCTGTTGATATTCATTACATTAGTTGATCTTTGAATGTTGAACCAGCCTTATATACCTAGGACAAATTCCACCTGGTCATGGTGTTTAATTATTTTCATATATTGTTGGACTTGATTTGCTAATATTTTGTTGAGGATTTCTGCATCTATGCTTATGACAGGTATTGGTCTGTAGTTTTCTTGTAATGTCTTTGTCTGGTTTTGGTATTAAGGTGATGCTGGATTCATAGAATGAGTTAGCAAGTGTTCTCTCTGCTTCTAGCTTTTGAAAGAGATTGTAGATAATCAGTATCATTTCTTCCTTAAGTCTTTGGTAGAATTCACCAGTGAACCCATCTGGGCCAAGTGCTTTCTGGTTGGGGAGGTTACTAACCATTGATTCAAATTATTTAACAGAGATATACCTATTCAGATTGTCTATTTGCTCTTGTGTGAGTTTTGACAAATTCTATTTTTCAAGGAATTGGTTCATTTCATCTACATTATCAAATTTGTGGGTATAAAGTCATTCATAAAATTCCTTCATTATCTTTTATTATCCTTTTAACCTCCATGGGATTGCTAGTAACGTCCCCGCTCTCATTTCTGATAGTAGTAATTTGTGTTCTTTCTCTTTTTTTCTTAGTTAGCATGCCTTGAGACTTATGGAGCTTATTGATCTTTTCAAAGAATCAACTTTGTTTCTATTTATTTTATTGATTTCCTATTTTCAATTTCGTGAATTTTTAATCTAATTTTAATTATTTCTTCTCATTGGCTTACTTTGGGTTTAATTTGCTCTTTTTTTCTACTTTTTTAAAATGGAAACTTAAATGATTGATTTCAGATCTTCTTTTGTGCTATCTGCATTCAATGTTATAAATTTCCCTTTAAGCATTGTTTTTATTGCATCCCACAAATTATAATAAGCTATGTTTTTATTTTCATTTATTTCAAAATATTTTTTCACTTATCTTGAGATTTCTTCTTTGACCCATGATATTTACACGTGTGTTGTTTAATCTCCAAGTATTTTGGCATTTTCCAGCTACCTTTCTGTTACTGATTTCTAGCTTAATTCCATTGTTATCTAAGAGCAAACATTGTAGGACTTGTATTCCTTTTTTTTTTTTTTTTTTTTTTAAGACAGAGTCTCACTCTGTTGCCCAGGCTGGAGTAGAGTGGCATGATCTTGGCTCACTGCAACCTCTGCCTCCGGGGTTCAAGCGATTCTCCTGCCTCAGCCTCCCAAGTAGTTGGGACTACAGGTGCCCACCACCAAACCTGGCTAATTTTTGTATTTTTAATAGAGATGGGGTTTCAGCATGTTGGCCAGGCTGGTCTTGAACTCCTGATCCCAAGTGATCTGAGAATTTCTATTCTTTTAAATGTGTTAAGGTATGTTTTATGACCCAGAATGCAGTCTAACTTGATGAACATTCCATGCAAGCTTAAGCAAAAAGACTAATCTGCTGTAGTTTCCTCATCTTTTTCAACAAACATTTGAACCCCATAGTCTCTGCTTTAATAATTCTAGTATCCATTCCAACCTACACCACCATCAGTTCTAGACTGTACCTCTACACTAAATGACCCCAGATGGTTCAGCTTTAAGTCTCAGCTGTTTTCATCATTTAACTGATTCCCTTGCTGGCAGCAGGGAAATTAACTACCAGCCACACACTTGTCTCCAACAGCACCCACCGACCACGTCCTGCTCCCCTGTCATTACCACCACTAAACCCGGTAGCAGAGAGATGAGCTGTGAGGTAGGTGCCTTCTAGATAAATGAGGTGCTACTGGACATGCACTGTGGTCTTCTCTGCAGTAGAAAAATGTCCAAGGAAGGTCAGCATCATTGATAGAAAATAAATGTGAGGCTGCATCTCGCCAGCTCATCCATGAGCAATTCCTTCAGCTCCAGCAGGCTACTGACAATTTGCTTTTAACCCAAATCCAGCTCTACCCTCCCTAAAGCATGCACCTAGGGCCCCAGTCAGAAAAACAAAACAAAAACTAAACCAGACAGGATAATTAAGGAGGCAAAAAGCTTAAACCATAATATTTTAATTAAGCTGATTTATTTTAACCGTAGCACTACTGCTTTATTTTAGTTATATACCAGTAATGGAAAATAGTGGCCACTTTTCATTATTAATCATAAGATAATTCATTGTATTTGTCTTTCCTAATAAAATGGCATTATATTAAGGCCCAAAATGTTTACTATGGCCCAGTAAAATATAGGGTTGTTCTGTGAGCTATTTCTTAGGATAGAAAATTATTCCAGAAAGCTATTAGTTCAAAAGTCTCTAGCAGTGCCAAGGTTTCAATAGTCTCTTTAATTTTGAATCTATGCGATTGAAGATAAGACTGCATCTAGTTTGGGGGTTGCATGTTTGTGGACATTCATGTTTCTATGTACCTGGAACTTCTTATTCTCACCATCACACAGAATTTTCAAGAACTAGTTAAGCAAAGAAAGCAAAGCCCAGCAGGTGTCAGAATTGGGTCCCCAAGCTGAGGGTCATTAGGGTGCATGTCAGTGTGCCAACTCCAATATCCACACCTAGAGAACGCACATCTTCCCAAAAGAAATGAAGCACAGATGATACTTGATCCTCAACTTTGTCTCCAGAAATTTTTTCAGGAACTTGAGTTCTTTATCAAATGCTCACATCCTACAGAGAAATAAAGTGTTCCATTTTCAAGGTTCATGAAGCTCGTCAATGCTGGGAGCAGGCACACACTTGTATTTTTATACTCAGGGATCCCAACAGGCAACTAAAACTAGACAAGGACAAAACTCCACTCAAAATATTCTGAAAGTTAGCTGATGCCCCATATTTTATTACTCCAAATGTGTATTCACTTGCCTGAGTGCTGGCCATGAGCACTCAGTGAACACTTGCAGTACAGTGAGTGATGTCCTTGACAAGTTACTATGAAGACTCTGAGAAAAAGTAACATCCCCCACTGTCCTCAACAAGCCTGTAATCCCATGGCTGCCAGCCCTTACCATGCAACAACACTGCGCTAAGTGCATCGAACCACACAAAACCCTGTGAGAAAATACTGCTTCCCACTTCACACGTGAAGTAACTGAGTCTAGTTTTAGAAATACCTAAACGAAGAGGGACAGGCACAACAAATTTGCTGGAATGTAAAGAAAGTAGATCAGTTTCTGCGTAAGCAGTAAGAAATGGCCTCATGAGGAAGAAAGGGACATTTGCCCTGACATTTCTCAAAGACTGCTTAGGTTTTGGAGACAGAGATCCAAGGGCAGGCAAGCACAATGGTTCATGCCTGTAATTCCAGCACTTTGAGAGGCCAAGGTGGGAGGATTGCTTGAGCCCAGGAATTCAAGATTAGCCTGTGCAACACAGCAAGACCCCATCTCTATTTTAAAAAGAGAGAGAGAGATCCAAAAGCAAAGGCATTTCAGTTTGCAAGGCCAGCATGGGAGAGGGTCTTAAAACAGAAACACACAAGGTAAGATTGGGGGATGGTACCTAGACCAGCCTAGGATCATAGGATTTGATAAAATATGCATTTGGAAAACTGGTGCTAATTTATAGAGACTTAGAATTTCAGGCTAAGGACAAGGACTAAGAAACGAATAGCATGAACAGTATTATTGATAAACCCATCATTGCATCTTAAAGGCTCTGAAGTCTTTAGTATTGAATTAAAAAATAATTTTCACTGGACAAAACCAAAAGGTCTTTACACAACTGTCAAGCACTTTGAAATGATTCAGCAAAAAGCAGAATAAATCACTAGTGGAATTTCAATAGCATGTAGTTGTAAACCATCATGTGTCCAGCAAAATCACAAAACAAGAGTTTATTTTAGAAGGGACTTAGGGATATTAAGAAATATAACATACAAAATAACTAAAGTTTTCTCCAAGCAAAACCAATGATCCTTTAGGGATGAACAGAAAGAAAACAAGAAATGCTTCTTTCAAAAGTTGCTACCAAGGCTTCTAAGATTTCTTTGGAATAAAGTCACTAAGATTTGCTTCTGAGGTCAATCTTGCCAACTTTTCCACCATGCTTTTTAGGAAGGAACACCAGGTAGGGCTCAAGTACTGGTTTGGCTCCTGTCCCATTTTTTGGTCCTTTTGTAACTCCCTTTACTCAACTCCAAGTATGTCTGTGCACGGACAATGAGACGAAAGCATGCTCAATGCGAAAGCACAAATTATGTATTGAGAAATCACTACAATGCCAAATTTTTTTAAAATAAAAAAAAAATATATATATATATATATATCTTTAAGAACTCGCTGTGTTAGGGAAACTGTTTACATATTGAGGTGTTCCTCTTTTTTTGACTGGAACAATAAAAGAAAAATTTGATATGGCCTTGGTTTCTTTTTTATGTGTGTCTGTGTCCAAAGAAGTCGGCCTTTTCTACAAGTGAGAGCATGAATTGTTTCAAAGCGCAACACCCTGCCCCAGGGCCACTCAAGATGTCAGGCATATCAGGCATAACCCAAGGATAGTACCATGGGTTTGGAGTGATCTTCTCTCTTCTTCCCTCCCACTCTTCCTCTCTCTCCATCTCTTTCTTTCTCTCCCTAACTCTCTTGCTCCCTTTCCTCCTTCTCGCTCTCCCCCTCCTGTCTCTTTCCCCATCTCTCCCACAATGTTCTGCCTATGGCCAGATCCCAGCAATGGGTCAGCTCCGCTCCTTTCCACACCTACTGACCCAAGTGGGACTCCTTTGATACCTGTTTGTACCTTGCACTTCATGGAACTTGAAAAAAACGAAAGGGAATTAGGGACTTGCAGAGCAGTTGATCCTGCCCCTTGTCACAGCTCTAAGAGTCTTAATAAAAGGAGTTTGATCATTCATGATAAAGTTCCATGTTGGACTAAAGAAACATTCCGTGAGAGTTTTTCGTGTTCTCAGTGGTCCATTTTGCATGGGTTGGCTTTGCCAAACTCCAGTGCCTCGGCTCGGCTCTAACTCCTCCCCACCAGGGAATCTCGGGCTGGTGGCTTAGCCAGCTGTCCCTCTCTACCGAGGCGTGCAGGAAGCCAAGGTTTAAAATGACACGTGAGTTGCCTCATACTGTAACATGAACAAAAGTCATGTAAAAATGTGCCTAAGATAAATTCTTTCCCAGAAGCTAGTGTTTGGTGAAACAAACCCTGGGACATCGTGTGTATTTCGTCCTGATTTTCCTAATGTGCCCCTGCCAATATTACTGTTGTGCCTGGTGGAATTATTACCCTGTCCTCTGTGTCCCCCAGCCCCTGTGTGTCTGTCGCACTTGGCACCCATCAAGCCCCACGCAACCCTGTGGAGATGCATCCAGGGAAGAGCCCCATCTCTGCTTTTCTCTGGCCACTGAGGCAACCCTCTGCATTACCCCCAAGGGATTGGCTAAAGCGACTCCCTGGTCAAAACCATACTGACACTTCTTCATCTATTCCGGTAGTTTTCAAATTAAAGAAACTATGCTCTGAAGGAAAGCTCAAGCAGAAGCTCGATATTTAACGCAGACAAAGTGGAGAGCTTGGTTGCAGCATGGGTGGAGGCTAAGAGCCCTACCCCTCAAACCCAACTGCCCCAAGACTCTTGCCACCGGAGCACAGGTTAATGCTCACTGCTATGCAGCATTCAGTCCAAACGCCTCAGCTGAGCCTCTCAGCACCAGCAGGTTCTGGGCCCTGGGCCCCTCTGCAGACCAAAACTCTCCCCTTTTAGCCTACCTTATCAAATGTCTACTTTCCCTAGACAGGGCACACCCTCTTAGGCCACTTCGGCTTTGACAATATTGTTCCTTTCTTTCTGGAATGTGAATTCAGAGCCATCCAGGGAACTCAGACATCCTTCCCTAACTCCCCTGGGGAGCCAGTAGGCTTCCAAGTATGGGTCTTCAAAGATCTGTAAACTAACGCTGCCCTGTGTGTTCACTCCTCTTGTCTGTCTTCCCCAGTACATGACAAGCTCTCTGTCAGCCAAAGGTGGTCTCACTCATCTTTGTTCTCAGCACCTTTTGTAATGCTTGGAGCTTAGTTGGTGTTCAGTACTTATTTATTGGATAGATGGATGGATGGATGGATGGATGAAGGGGTGGCTGAGTGGAGGGGTGGATGGATAGGTGGATGGGTAGATGGGTGTATGGGTGGATGGGTGGATGGGTGGATGGGTGGATGGGTGGATAGGTAGATGGGTGGATGGATATATGGATGGGTGGATGAATGCATAGGTGGATGGGCAGAAAGGTGGATGGGTGGATGAGTGGATGAATGGGTAAGTGGATGGGTAGAAGGGTAGATGAGTGGATGGGTAGAAGGGTAGATGAGTGGATGGGTGGATAGGTGGAAGGGTAGATGGGTGGATGGGTAGAAGGGTGGATGGTTGAATGGGTAGATGGGTATATGGGTGGATGGATGGGTAGATGTGTGGATAGGTGGGTGTGTGGATGGGTGGATGGGTAGATGTGTGGATGGATGGATGTGTGGATGGGTGCATGGGTAGATGGGTAAATAAGTGGATGGACAGATGGGTGGATAGGTTGATGGGTGGATGGGTAGATGGATGGATTGTTGGATGGGTAGATGGGTGGATTGTTGGATGGGTAGATGGGTAGATGGGTGGATGGATGGGTACATGGATGGATGGGTGGATGGGTGAATGGGTAAATGGGTGGATAAGTGGATGGATAGATGGGTGGATGGGTGGGAAGGTGGATGGCTAGATGTGTGGATGGCTAGATGTGTGGATGGGTAGATGGGTGGATGGGTAGATGGGTGGATGGGTAGATGGGTGGATGAGTGGATGGGTCAATGGATGGGTGGATGGGTAGATGGATGGTTGGGCGGGTGGGTGGAGGGATGGATGGATGGATAGATGAGTAGATGGGTGACTGGATGGGTGGCTGAGTGGGAGGGGTTGGATGGAATATTCAGAGTTCGCCATTCAGGTGACTACAGCAGCCACTGAAACCTTTATTATTGCTTTCACAGTTGCATTATATTGTGAAAATTTCATTCTTTGAAATTTCATTCTTTGCCAGCTGGGAATTATTGGGTGCTTTCCATCTATAGTAGAAATGTTTAATCTACCAAATTATCTCATATTTTGACAAAACACAACGCACTACTTACATCAGCTCTTACAGGTGATTTCTGTGAAATTAATTAGTATACATTAACTAAAGGAGTCCTTTTATCCAATTATTGCTTGTGGCTGTGACCCAGGTACTTATAACCAGTAGGATACATTTAACCACCTAAGGTCAGTATGTACCCCAGAAAGGCAAGCGCTTCCACATTCACCACCTAGGCAGGGCCCCTCAGGATGGACAGATGTTACACCCAATGGGACTCAAAGAGCACAGTGGAGGAACTCGGAACAGCACGTGTCTCCCACATAAAATATATGTGTATATTTTATGGCAGCTGTCCTTAGCCAGCACGAATACACACATCCTTTTATATGTTTGCTCATATAATATGATCTTTCTTCCCTTATAAATAAATATGTCACTTTGGGTCTTCCCAACAGCTGCTTGATTTACAGTTTTCCTAAATCACAGCTCCATGTTTATTTTCTCTCAAAATCCTGAAATCATCTCCAGAGAGAAGACATGTGGGCCACCTTCCATCCCCCAAGGAGGCTTGGAGCAGATCAGTCTCTGCCTCCCTGTGCTCCAGCATCAAGGAAATCCCAAAGACAAGAAAATGGGAAATGTGGCTCCCCAAACCATTGCTTTTCACTAGTACAGCGGGGTAAAGTGAGGACAGAGTAGCCTTGCCAGAGGCTATGGTCAATACATTTCAGGTCTCATTTCCAACTTCTTTCTTGTCAAGCCAGTCTCAAAAACCATTGTTTTTTCACTTTTATAGACTCAAGGTGAACAGATGACTCCTTCCCTTTGTGGACTGTATCACAGCACAACCACCCCAACTACAAACACCACCACTCATTGGCACTTTTATGTATAGGTGCAGGGCATTCTTTATACATTATCTTATTTAATCCTTATAGTCCTGCAAGATCAGTAGTATCAGTAGCTATTTTCTAGCTGAGGAAACAGAGGCTCAGAGATTTAAATATTTAGTCCGAAATTACATCACAAATGACAATTAGTATCACACAATTATAACAATGAATGGAAAGTTATACTGCTGGTTACATAGTGAACACTGTGAGATGATCTAATGTCTGGGTCCTTTTGTATTGAAAGGAAGAAATGAACACCAGCATTTACCCCATCATTAGCTACACGGTGACAGAGTCAGTAGGCTAGAGCCAGAGGGGGTATAAGAACGTTAATCAACCCCTGCCAAGGCTGGCAGGGGCACAACACTGGCTAATGATGGAGGAAACAGCTGACTGGGGGTGAGTGACCTCCTAGCAGGGTCACTCCACTAATACTAGGTCCTGCTGGGTCTCTCCCAGCTGGCCATCAAGTGGGCACCCCAGCAGCATTGCATCAGCTGGGGGGGATGGCATGTACAGGCCAGGGATTGAGCAGGTCTGAAGACCATAGAAAGTTGCATAAGTGGAGGTAGGGGTTGCAAACTCCTGGCATGCTTAGTCTCATTTCACTGCTACCCATTCCTTAATCCACTCTTAAGGCCTCATGGGAAGTTCTCTATGACCAGTTACCTGGCGAGAAAAAAAAGGGGCCCAATTTACTGGTAGCACTGCCAACCACGTATGCCCCAGCCAGCAGTGGGACGAACACTGCAGCATTACAGCCAGTGTTGAGCTGGAGCCGGCTGGGACCAGTTCACAAGAGCCAACCGAAATTCTTCCAGGAATTTTGCAGGCTGGTTGTTAAACACAACCACTATTAAAAACAAAATTATATAAACTTACAATTAAATAAATTATGTTTTAAAACAAAGATTTAAAAAAAATACTCAAAATTCATCTCTTCTTCATCGCTTTATGTATTTCACTATTATCTCTGTTCTTGAGGTCACTGACATCTATTGTATATGCCTGGTGGAAATGCTATCTAATGGAAGACAATGGCACCTCTCTTCCCAACTCTGCAGTCAGTGACGTCAAGCCAGTAGCTTGAGACTGGTGACTGTGGGAATATTTATACCACAGAAATTGGCAAATACTACAAATTACAGCTTCTATTTTTCCAGAGAGCCTGTTGTTAAACATTTCCCAAAACAAACCAGAGATGATTCTGAAAGATGGTGGAGAAGGTAAATATTTTTAGTAGACATAACTTCAAGGGTTCTCTCATTGTCTACTTTGCCTAGGGGAAGAAATAGCTAGACCAGAACATAGGCAGTGACTATTGGTTTGACTGGGCAGCCAGGGTCTTGGAAGAAGCACAGTTGGATGATTGGCGTCAATAAATTCAGAAAGAAGACCCTTAGGAATGAGCGCTGGGTGTGCGAATACCTGTGGTCCACGCAAATGCTCACCAATAAGTCTTTACTGCGGAGAAGGGTCCCGATCATTTGTATTAAGGCCCTGCTACCTATGACTGTCAATCACCAACCTCCCCAACCATCATTGTGCTTGCTTGGGAACCCAGCAACAAAGGGACCATGGTTTCAGGATGGATCCTATTCATGAGCTCAAAAATACAGACAGCTCCTTCTCCAAGGCTGACTCAGCTGCTACACCACTGAGTACTTAATTTTCCAATGCAGTAACCACGTGTGAACACTCAATTCTAGACCAATATGGCAGCTACCTGGCAACCAGTTGTTTCACTGGGACTCCATCACCCCAGCAATACATTCTCACTGGAAGAGACTCTTACTCTGATTTCGGCTTGCTTTTTCCAACACCCTCACTTATACCAACACCATCGCACATGGCCCTACTGGTCACCTTTCTTACTGTCGCAGTATCAGACATGACACTGCTTCTGAACAAGGATTCACTTTATCACATTATTGGTATCACACCAGCAGAAGAACTAAGGCAATGACCAGGTGCCTATGGAATTCACAAGCCTGACCATGTACCCATTATTCACAATCAGCTAGGCTCATGAAGAGGCCTACTGAAGACTCAGTTACACCATCAACTGGGAGGCTACACCCTGCAAGATTGAGGGCCATCTCACAGGATACAGTGTGCATGCTGAGCCAGTGACCTGTGTGATATGAGACTATTTCTCCCATTACGGGAAGACATGGGAATGGGAAGAAGGAGAGGAAGTGGAGATGGGGCATCTCAGGACTACATCTAAGACCCATTTGCAAAATGTTTGCATCTTATCCTACAACCTATAGGGTCTGCTTGTTTAGAGATCTTGGTACCCAAGGGAATAGCACTTCCAACAGAGGACATGACAATGAGTATATGCAGTTCAAAATGTAGAGTTTACTTCCCAACCAGAGTTCAAGCTTTCTTATTTGCATCCAAAATCCTTGAATGATACAGAAAAAAAGGGAAGGCATGTTTATGAATTGAGTGAATGAAGACTTAAACGGGACTTCACAAAAGTTCACCATTGAATCAGGAGAAAAGAAAAAGGGAAAGAAAATGAAAGAATGGGAGAAAAGAGAAGAAAGTGAGGGAAGAGCAGAGAGTAAGGGAAAGGAGATCTAGGGAAGAATTCCCCAGAGCAAATATATGAGCCAGACATGCATTTCAGTGGAAGCCATGCCTTGTCCAGAGTAAGCATTCAATCTATTCTAGCCAACGAATGGATGAGTGCATTTTAAAGATAAGCAGAAGTATTGAGAAATAAACACGGTGACACTTGTGTTGTGAGGACATGCGAATGATTCCCCACTGTTTGTGGGGCTGGAGATGGGAGGTCAGCCTGCATCACCAGTGCCACTACCTTCTACACTCCCCTTTGCATCTCAAGGAAGCCAGGAATTACCTTTACCAACTCTCCATCCCTGTCTGGTTCTGGGTGAGTCTGTCCATGAGAGGAACTTGTGTGAAGCCTAGAAAGAGGAGAGAAGGAGAAGCCCCTCTTGTCCCAAAACAGCTGCAAGCAGACACATGAGACTCCACGGCCATCTGGTAAACTCTTCGACATCGCCTACTTTGCTGCTGCAGTTGGAGAAAGTTGTTGCAAACTGCCCAGAGACCCTGGGAGTCACTCCAGTTTTCTGAAACCCAGATATTTCAGTGCCTCAGGAGAGACAAGTCCTGACCTTCTCTCCTCCAGCTCTCCCAGGAGATAGGCAAGCCCCTAACTCCCTAACTAAGCCCTTCAGACCTGAAATCCATTGAGTGGCTTCTTTACCCCGACCAATACAGAGGCCATCAGTTCTTGGTGCATTACAGTTCTTGGGCATTTTAGTGCCTAAAATTCACCAACTCCAGGGACTGACTGCTAAGAAACCCTGGAGCTTTCTGTTTCCTTATTCCCAATGTTATGAGAGGAAATAAAGCAGAGAAAGGAAGCTGGAGGGGAAAGGGTGCCATCTTGAAGTAGGGTGGTGGTGGCAGGCAAAACAAGGGGCCCCTGCATGTAGATTCACTTCCTAATCTTCAGAACCTGTGACTGTTATCTTATATGGCAAAAGAAGTGATAAGGTAGAGATTCTTGAGAGAAGGAGCTTATCCTGTGTTATCCAGGTGGGCCCTAAGTGCCATCACATGTAGCTTATAAGAGAGAGGCAGATCCAGAACACACACAGAGGAGAAGGAGGCAGAGATCAGAGTGATGTGGCCGCAACCCAGGAAGGCCACAGGCCACCAGAACTGGAAGAAACAAGGAAGGGAATTCCCCCCGATGCCTCCAGAGGGAGAGGGGCTCAGTTAACACTTTGATTTCAGCCCAGTAGTACTGATTTCAGACTTCTGGCCTCCAGAACCATGAGAGAATACGTTTCTGTTGTTTAAGCCACCCAGTGCGGTGCACAGTTGACCCTTGAAGAACGCAGGACCCCTACACAGTCAAAAATTCACATATAAGTTTTGACTCCCTAAAAATTTGACTAATAGCCTGGAAGTTATTAGTAGTATAATTGACTGGAAGCCCATAACATAAACGGTTAACACACATTTCATATATGCATTACAGACTGTATTCTTACAGTAAAGTAAACTAGAAAAAAAGAAAACATTGTTAAGAAAATCATAAGGAAGAGAAAGTACATGGACAGTGCTATGCCCTATTATCAATACCATAAGTTTATGTCATCTGTTTACAAGCTGGATCATCTGTCTGAAATGGCAGCAACCACAGCGGCAGGCCTCAATCCGAGTTCTGTAGCAAGTCAACTTTTCCTTGGCATGTCATGACTTTTGTCTGCTTCTTGGGAGCACTTCCAGCACCACTAGTGGAACTTCGCATGGGTCCCATGATGTTATTCAATGTTTACAATATTGCACCAGACACGACATAAAATACACAGGACACTCGAGAGATCACTTTTTCCTGCGATGCACGATCTCCTGGAGAAATGAACTGCTCACACAGACAGGATGAGCATCACATGGCATTTTAAGCAGATCCTCACAACACTTGGGCTCACCACAATCACAACAGGAGGTGGCTCTGAAATTAGTGCAGTGGTACAGTGTGTATGCAGTTGTGATTAAATAGCACACCTTTACGTTCGCTTACATTTCTCTCTACTGAATGGCTCCCTATATGGTCTATAAGTGTTTGTGTGCATAAGCTTTGATAAACTTTAACCTTTTATAATAGATTTGTGTATATTTTATGGCAGTAAAGGTTAAAATAGACTAGTATCTGCATATGTTTTATGCATTCATGACATACCTTTTTCTTAATTTTTCAATATTTCTATGCTATGCTGTTCATCTGCAAGTTTTTTCAAATTGTTGCAAATCTCCAAAATTTTTAAATATATTTGTATTGAAAAAATATGTGTATAAGTGAATCCATGCAGTTCAAACCCATGTTGTTCAAGTGTCAACTGTATTTATGACACAACAGCCATAAGGCAAGTGTGACTGGGACGGTGACATTTTCTGAACCAGAAAATGGAAGTGTGCAGAGGAGAGACATGAACAGAAGGGAGGACTGGAAAAAAACAGAAAGAAATTAGTTCAAGAAAGAGGTGAGTGAGAAGGGCTTGGACTCAGGAGATGGTGGACGTTCTTAATATCCGTGGAAGGCAGAGAGGCAGCTGGATTGTGTGAGAGTAGGGAGATGAAAAGGGACATCAGAGACAATGCCCAGGTGTTCAGAATGGTGTTTCCATTTGCTGGGGAAGGAGCAGGCTTGCCAAGGAGCTGCCAAACTTCCACACACGATTCTGCAGCCCTCAAGCAGACCAACGTGTGAGTGTTCCTTTGGAATCAGTGTTTGACCAGCCCAGGAAGCTGGACGCGAAGGGAGGTTCAGGGGCAAGCCACGTGGCCCTTGGGGTGATCAAGGGGTGAGGAGCTACCCCAAGAACCTCACTAAGATGCCCACAGCTTTATCATCCCTGCTGGTCACACTGTCCCCTTAACACTGACCACAGGTTCCTCACACAGAAGCCATGAATGAATACGAGGAACGGGCCGACCACACACTGTTTGAAAAATGTGCCCATGCAGGCATGAAATCAGACAGAATCAAATCTCAATCAGTCATAGAAATGATGATGAACTTCCCAGCTCATCCCACTGCTGCTGGAGAGTTGGTGATAACATCGTAACGCACACGTCCAGAACAAGAAAGAAACAGAAGGAAGTTTCAAATTAGCTCCCCATAAGTAGCTTTGATTAAACTATTGATATGGTTTGGCTGTGTCCCCACCCAAATCTCATCTTGAATCTTAACTCCCATAATCCCCACGTGTCGTGGGAGGGACCCAGTGGGAGGTAATTGAATTATGGGGGTAGTTTTTCCCTTATCATTCTCACGATAGTGAATACGTCTCATGAGATCTGATGGTTTTATAAAGGGAAGCTCCCCTCCACATGCTCTCTTGCCTGCTATGTAAGATATAACTTTGCTCCTCCTTCACCTTCCGCCATGATTGCGAGGCCTCCCCAGCCACGTGGAACTGTGAGCCCATTAAACCTCTTTTTTTAAAATAAATTACCCAGTCTCAGGTACGTCTTTATTTGCAGCGTGAGGGTGGAGTAATACAACTATTGATTAAAACATTTGTGAATTGTCTTTACATTAAGTTTATCCACTCCCTTTTAATTCCCTATTATTAAAGAAATCTGAGGTTTTATTTTATAAACGTGCAGTGCCCTCCTGAGCCCAGGACAAAACCCACAAGCCCCAGGATAAGATGAGCCTCCTCCTGAGGAAAAGTCCTTGGGGCTGCGTCTCACACCATAAGGCACAGGCTGCTGGGCAGAGGAGGCACCACGTTGTGGGGGATCTTCAGCCATTCCTTCTTGCCCAGTAACAAAAACTGGCTTCAGTGAGTCAGGAGGTGTTTAAAATGCTTGTTTCCCGGTGCCGTAAAGAAATAGCACTTGAGCCGGGCGTGGTGGCTCACGCCTATAATCCCAGCACTCTGGAAGGCCGAGGTGGGCGGATCACGAGGTCAGGAGATCCAGACCATCCTGGCTAACACGGTGAAACCCCGTCTCTACTAAAAATACAAAAAAATTAGCCGGGCGTGGCGGCATGTGCCTGTAGTCCCAGCTACTTGGGAGGCTGAGGCAGAGAATTGCTTGAACTCAGAAGGCGGAGGTTGCAGTGAGCCGGGATCGCACCGCTGCACTCCAGCCTAGTCGACAGAGCAAGACTCTGTCTCAAAAAAAAAAAAGAAAGAAAGAAAGAAATAGCACTTGAACATAAATTTAATTTTTTTAGCAAGGCCATTTTTATACTTTCTGCAGAAAGGGTACACTCGCCAGCAGTTTTGCCACGACAATACACCAAACAAAGGAGACGGGATCATTTATAACCTGACGCGTCCACCCTACTGCTGTGTCCGGTTTCCACTGGCTGGAAGGGAACCTCACATTCTGTATTTGTCTCGATTGGCTAGCAACTTAGAACTTTTTAAAACAGGCAAAGGCAGAGGAGAACAGAGGAAGGAGGAAGTAACTTTGCGGAATGCTGAGAAAGGTAAAACCACCTTCAAATAAGGAAGAGGAACAGGCTATGACCTAATGCTTGCTTGGACCAGTATAAGCATGCCAGGGCAAATATTTAGGCTAAATTGTGGGAGCTAAGAACATAAAGTATATTGATTTCTTTATTACGGCTAGCAGATATTTAAGAATGTTAGTGCAGGTCTTTGAATAAATTTTGCTTTTAAGAGAAGTTACTATTTATTCCTAATTAAATGGGGAGAAAATCTTTGAAGAGGAACCTCTACTTTACTTTTTACAGGAGGGCTCAGGGCTACTGCCAAGGATAACAAAGACGAAGGGAAAAAGATCAGGGCTTAGTCCCTAAACATGACTCCCTGTTCCTCGAGGGAGAGGGGTCTCAACAAGTGGTGCCTCAAAGCCCCTAAGCAAATCTCACCTGTATTTATCCACCTGGATTCAGGAGGTGCTCATGTCATGACCCAGCTATGATACCTTGATGGCCATATTGCTTCCATCGCTAAGACTCCCCAGAGGAGCATCCAGAGAGGTACCAGCTAAGGGAGGCTCTTGGTGGAGCAGCCACCATCTGGGTTGCACTCCCCACTCTGAGTGACCCATGGAAACCCGCCTGCCCCTCCCAGGGATGTGCAGGGATTTCTTGGGACGTGCCACTACACCGTCAGTTGCTGAGGGCCCAGGTCACCTGTTTGCTCCTCCTGTCTCAGCAGGCCTGTGGACACGTAATCGGGATGCATTTGCTAAGTGGGGAGATGAACGTTGAGCTTCCCAGCAAGCGGACAGTGAGTTGCTCTTGCTCAGTCCCCTCTCACACCCAGAGGCAGTGAGATGGGGGCCTCCACCAGGCTGCACAGGAAGCCAGAGTCCTCACTGGGCCCTGCCAGATGCCCCTCTCTTTGCCTGGGAGAGCCGCTGAAATCCCCATCCACCAGGCTATTGGGCAGCTCATCTTACAACCTCATCCGCATCCCAGCCTTGTCTTGGCTGGATGCTCCGGTGATGTGGTTGCTCCATAGGCAGCCTCCCCACACTTCAAGGCTTCAAATCATCCTTTATTTTCTCATTATTTTACAGGTCAGGGATTGGGAGGACAGGCACAGAGGATGTGTCTCTGACCCAAGCACCATCAGCGGGTGCCTCAGCCTCCTTGTCTTGCTCTGTCTCCGCAGCCCCCAAACTCCACAAGATGTGAGCTCTTCCCAGTCGGGAAGTCTCCAGGTGCCCCTCCTTACAGGACGGCAGCTTCCAAGGGGCTAGAAGCCAAAGCACCTCAGTTAATGTTAATGTCTGTCAGTGAAAAGAGCCAAACTCTGCCCATAACACAGCCCCAGGAGACCCTGAGAACATGTGCCCAAGGTAGTCAGGGCACAGCCTAGTTTTACACACTTTAGGGAGACACTAGACATCAAGTTCATGTTGGATAAACATTGGTTTTGTCCAGAAAGGCGGGACAACTGGAAGCGGGGAGGGGACTTCCAGGTTATAGTTAGATTTAAATTTTTTCTGATTGGCAATCGGTTGAAGGAGTTAAGTTACTATCTAAAGACCTGGCATCAATAGAAAGGAGTGTCTGGGTTATGTTAAGGGGTTGTGGAAACCAAAGTTTTATTATGCAGCTGAAGCTACCAGGTAGCAGGCTTCAGAGAGAAGAGATTGTAAATGTTTCTCATTAGACTGAAAGAGCCTGTTCTATCAGTCATTCTGAAAGGGAGGAGGGGATAGTGAGGCATGTCCAGCCCCCGCCCCACATCGTGGCCTGAACCAGTCCCTCAGGTTAGCCTTCCAATACCCTTGCCAAGGGGAGGGGTACCTTCAGATGGGGAGGGCGGGGGGCGGGGTTAGAATTTTATTTTTGGTTTACCTATCCACACGAGGAACGGAGTGATTTTTCACCATATTCCGATGCTCCATGCAGTCGGATTCCAGGATTCCACCACGCAGAGGCTCCACCATCACAGGGTGGCAAGTTCACAGAAGACCATAGGCGTGGCAACAGCTTTGTAGTTAGCTTTGGAAAACCACCTGCCACATGAGGCCTCACTGCCATTTCCCTTCCACTTCTGCGGACGCTGGGCTGGGAAGGGGCCTGGTGAGAGGGGTTAACTCCCTCAGCCCAGTTTCCACACTGTCCCCTCCCTCTACAGCACCTGCCCAGGGCAACGCCCACCCGGCCCTCCTCTGCTTCCTTCTCCGAATTCACACATCACTTCCCCGCCAAAAAGTAGCAACAAGGAAGACAGAACCACATCATATTCACGGCATTCCAACGAGAGGGTCACAGCAGCTCCCTGATGAAAACACAACTGTCAGGATCGCTATTCACGTCATCCCTTGGTGTGCACCCATGCTGAAGCCACGAAGAGCCGCCCTATGAAACCCTCTGAGCCACAGCAACAATCTCACTGCTAATTAGCTCTGGCTAATGCACCCTAACAAGTCCTGGAAGTGAGAAGACTGCAGTGGGAAATGCAGGCGGACAGCTACTTAGCCGGCACTCAGACACAGGGTGACCGAGATAACTGGTGTCAAATGGAATCTGAACAAACCTTCTCCGGGGGTTTATCCGTACCTCGAAATGCTGAAGGGAGGCTGCCAGGGCCAAAGATCCAGGAGAAACAAATTAAGTGGAAACCCACGGCCCCACCCTCCCCCTCACCTCCATTGCCAGCAGCTGAAGGTAAACCAAGACGTGGGGCTGAGCCTTCACCCTTCATGGGCCACGCCAAATTAGACACTCATTCTGCAACTCGCGTGTCTGTGCACAGAGCAGTAAGCCTCTAAGTGGGAAATTCTTCCTCCAGGCATCGCAGCGCTGCAGAAGCCGTAAGGCACATAAACAGAGAAGCACCAGGGCCTGAAAGGAAGGCAGCGCTGGCTGTGATCACTCACTAGAGCCTGATCCCTTAGGGCTGCCAAGAACCCAGAAGTCTGTTCCATGTGTACAAAGCAGGCAGGATGCAATCCTGACAGAGCCCAAGGGGGTGCAGGAATTGATAACCAAGTCGAGAGGGGACAGACAGAAAGAACTCAGTATGAGCATTTTTGCAGCCCACCACCAATTTCACGCATTTACCTATTGTACTTTCTCTCTCTTTTCAAATTAAAAATAGTTTTAAACAAATGATTGCTTTAACGTTTAGAAAAACGTTTGCAGCCTAGGCACGGTGGCTTGCGCTTGTAATCCCAGCATATTAGATGGCTGAGGCAGGAGGATCATTTGAAGCCAGGAGTTCAAGACCAGCCTGGGCAACATGGCAAGACCCCATCTCTACAAAAATTTTTTTAAAAAGCCGGACATGGTGGCTGTCGTGGGTGCGACTGGCTGGGGCCAGCATCACAGGTGGTAGAAGATTTTACCAAGACAGTTGTAAGTAAAGAAAGGCCAATTTATTAGGTAAGGTACAGAGAAATGTTGCAAGGGTTTAATGGACAGCACAGCAGAGAAAGGGCTGTGTGCAGAGAGGCAGGGGCTGGAGGGAAGTTTTATAGGTTCACACTGGAGGGGGCTATGTGCAGAATGAGGTTGTGCTGCTGGCGCTGTGTGGCGCGAGGTATTTGGGAACAGGATGTTGTGCTAGTGGGTTGTCTGTGATTACCGGTCTCTCAGAACAATGGCTGTCCCCACAGGGGGCCCCTTTCTCATTGTTGCTTACTAATTTGGACTCCACAGTGGTGCATGCCTGTAGACTCAGCTACTCAAGAGGCTGAAGCGGGAGGATCAACTGAGTCCAAAGGATCACACCACTGCACTCCAGCCTGGGTAACAGTGAGAGATGCCATCTCTAAAAATAAAAATAAAAAACTTTACCCTCTCAATAACCACAACATTCAGACCGTGGCTTTGGTTTGATTGCAGGCTACTTGAGATATAGGAAAAAAAGATGCAGAAAATAAAATAGGGCTGAAAAAAGAATCGGGGAAAGCTAGAAAAAACTCCAGGGCTGCCCTGGGTGCTGGAGGAGGGGAGCAAACAAATGTCCTCCAGCCTGGTCAGTGTCAGCAGGCTTGTCCCCAAAGATTAGGGGTCATGAGGGGTCATCTGGGGCGGGAGCAGGGCTCACCAGGTCGGGACCAGGACTCTCAGGGCCTCCTGTCTCAGGCCTAAAGGAAGGAGCTTCCAGCCACTGTGGGTGACTACCTTGCTACCACATGCTGAGCCCAGTGTGAATGCCTGTAAGGGGTTGAATAGTATCCCCCAAATTTCACATCTACCCAGAACCTCAGGATGTGACCTTATTTTAAAATAGCGTCTTTGCAAATGTAATTAGTTGGGGGTTGAGAGGATGTCAGGCCTCTGAGCCCAAGCTAAGCCATCATATCCCCTGTGACCTGCACATACACATCCAGATGGCCGGTTCCTGCCTTAACTGATGACATTCCACCACAAAAGAAGTGAAAATGGCCTGTTCCTGCCTTAACTGATGACATTATCTTGTGAAATTCCTTCTCCTGGCTCATCCTGGCTCAAAAGCTCCCCTACTGAGCACCCTGTGACCCCCACTCCGGCCCGCCAGAGAACAACCCTCCTTTGCCTGTAATTTTCCTTTACCTACCCAAATCTTATGAAATGGCCCCACCCCTATCTCCCTTCGCTGACTCTCTTTTCGGACTCAGCCCACCCACACCCACGTGAAATAAACAGCCTTGTTGCTCACACAAAGCCGGTTTGGTGGTCTCTTCACAAGGACGCGAGTGAAATTTTGGTGCCGTGACTCGGAACGGGGGCCTCCCTTGGGAGATCAATCCCCTGTCCTCCTGCTCTTTGCTCCATGAGAAAGATCCACCTACGACCTCTGGTCCTCAGACTAACCAGCCCAAGGAACATCTCACCAATTTTAACTCCGGTAAGTGGCCTTGTTTTTACTCTCTTCTCCAACCTCTCTCACTGTCCCTCAACCTCTTTCTCCTTTCAATCTTGGCACCACACTTTAATCTCTCCCTTAATTTCAGTTCCTTTCCTTTTCTGGTAGAGACGAAGGAGACGCGTTTTATCCGTGGACCCAAAACTCCAGCGCCAGTCACGGACTCAAGAAGTCTTCCCTTGGTGTTTAATCACGCGGGGACACCTCCCTGATTATTCACCCACGTTTCAGAGGTGTTTTACCACGGGACGCCTGCCTTGGTCCTTCACCCTTAGCGGCAAGTACCGCCTTTCTGGGGGCAACAACCCCCCAACCCCTTCTCTCTGTGTCGCCACCCCTTCTCCGCTTTTCTGGGGGTCAAGAACCCCCCACCCCTTCTCTCCATGTCTCTACTCTCTCTTTTCTCTGGGCTTACCTCCTTCACTATGGGCAAGCTTCCACCCTCCATTCCCCCTTCTCCCTTAGCCTGTGTTCTTAAAAACCTAAAACCTCTTCAACTCACACCTGACCTAAAACCTAAATGCCTTATTTTCTTCTGCAATGCCACCTGACCCCAATACAAACTTGACAATGGTTCCAAATAGCCAGAAAACGGCACTTTCAATTTTTCCATTCTACAAGATGTAAATAATTCTTGTTGTAAAATAGGCAAACGGTCTGAGGTGCCTGACATCCAGGCATTCTTTTACACATCAGTCCCTCTCTAGTCTCTGTTCCCAATGCAAGTCGTCCCAAATCTTCCTTCTTTCCCTCCTGCCTGTCCCCTCAGTCCCAACCCCAAGCATCGCTGAGTCCTTCTAATCTTCCTTTTCTACAGACCCATCTGACCCCTCCCCTCCTCGCCAGGCTGAGCTAGGTCCCAATTCTTCCTCAGCCTCCGCTCTTCCACCTTATAATCCTTTTATCACCTCCCCTCCTCACACCAGTCTGGCTTACAGTTTCGTTCCGTGACTAGCCCTCCCCCACCAGCCCAGCAATTTCCTCTTAAAAAGGGTGGCTGGAGCTAAAGGCATAGTCAAGGTTAATGCTCCTTTTTCTTTATCCGACCTCTCCCAAATCAGTTAGCGTTTAGGCTCTTTCATCAAATATGAAAAACCCAGCCCAGTTCATGGCTCGTTCGGCAGCAACCCTGAGACGCTTTACAGCCCTAGACCCTGAAAGGTCAAAAGGCCGTCTTATTCTCAATATACATTTTATTACCCAATCCGCTCCCGACTTTAAATAAAGCTCCAAAAATTAAATTCCAGCCCTCAAACCCCACAACAGGACTTAATTAACCTCACCTTCAAGGTGTACAATAATAGAGTAGAAGCAGCCAAGTAGCAACATATTTCTGAGTTGCAATTCCTTGCCTCCACTGTGAGACAAACCCCAGCCACATCTCCAGGACACAAGAACTTCCAAACGCCTGAAGCGCAGCTGCCAGGGGTTCCTCCAGAACCTCCTCCCCCGGGAGCATGCTACAAGTGCCAGAAATCTGGCCACCAGGCCAAGGAATGCCTGCAGCCCAGGATTCCTCCTAAGCCGCATCCCATCTGTGCGGGACCCCACTGAAAATCGGACTGTTCAACTCACCTGACAGCCACTCCCAGAGCCCCTGGAACTCTGGCCCAAGGCTCTCTGACTGACTCCTTCCCAGATCTTCTCGGCTTAGCAGCTGAAGACTGACACTGCCCAATCGCCTCAGAAGCCCCCTAGACCATCACGGATGCCGAGCTTCGAGTAACTCTCACGGTGGAGGGAAAGTCCATCCCCTTCTTAGTCAATACGGAGACTACCCACTCCACATTACCTCCTTTTCAAAGGCCTGTTTCCCTTGCCTCCATAACTGTTGTGGGTATTGACGGCCAGGCTTCTAAACCTCTTAAAACTCCCCAACTCTGGCGCCAACTTAGACGATACTGTTTTAAGCACTTATTTTTAATTATCCCCACCTGCCCAGTTCCCTTATTAGGCCGAGACACTAACTAAATTATCTGCTTCCCTGACTATTCCTGGACTGTAGCCACATCTCATTGCCACCCTTCTTCCCAATCCAAAGCCTCCTTTGCGTCCTCCTCTTGTTTCCCCCGACCTTAACCCACAAGTATAGGATACCTCTACTCCCTCCTTGGCGACCGATCATGCACCCCTTACCATCTCATTAAAACCTAATCACCCTTACCCTGCTCAATGCCAACATCCCATCCCACAGCACGCTTTAAAAGGATTAAAGCCTGTTATCACTCACCTGTTACAGCATGGCCTTTTTTTTTTTTTTTTTTTTTTTTTTTTTGAGACGGAGTCTCGCTCTGTCGCCCAGGCTGGACTGCAGTGGCGGGATCTCGGCTCACTGCAAGCTCCGCCTCCCGGGTTCACGCCATTCTCCTGCCTCAGCCTCCCAAGTAGCTGGGACTACAGGCGCCCGCCACTACGCCCGGCTAATTTTTTGTATTTTTAGTAGAGACGGGGTTTCACCGTTTTAGCCGGGATGGTCTCGATCTCCTGACCTTGTGATCCGCCCGCCTCGGCCTCCCAACAGCATGGCCTTTTAAAGCCTATAAACTCTCCTTACAATTCCCCCATTTTACCTGTCCTAGAACCAGACAAGCCTTACAGGTTAGTTCAGGATCTGCGCCTTATTGACCAAGTTGTTTTGCCTATCCACCCCATGGTGCCAAACCCATATACTCTCCTATCCTCAATACCTCCCTCCACAACCCATTATTCTGTTCTGGATCTCAAACATGCTTTCATTACTATCCCTTTGCACCCTTCATCCTAGCCTTTCTTTGCTTTCACTTAGACTGACCCTAACACCCATCAGGTTCAGCAAATTACCTGGGCTGTACTGCCACAAGCCTTCACAGATAGCCCCCATTACTTCAGTCAAGCCCAAATTTCATCCTCATCTGTTACCTATCTCGGCATAATTCTCATAAAAACACACGTGCTCTCCCTGCTGATCATGTCCTACTGATCTCTCAAACCCCAGCACCTACAAAACAACAACTCCTTTCCTTCCTAGGCATGGTTAGTGTGGTCAGAATTCTTACACAAGAGCTGGGACCGCACCCTGTAGCCTTTCTGTCCAAACAACTTGACCTTACTATTTTGCCTAGCCCTCAAGTCTGCGTGCGGCGGCCGCCACTGCCCTAATACTTTTAGAGGCCCTTAAAATCACAAACTATGCTCAACTCACTCTCTACAGTTCTCATAACTTCCAAAATCTATTTTCTTCCTCACACCTGACACATATACTTTCTGCTCCCCGGCTCCTTCAGCTGTACTCACTCTTTGTTGAGTCTCCCACAATTACCATTGTTCCTAGCCCGGCCTTCAATCCAGCCTCCCACATTACTCCTGATACCACACCTGATCCCCATGACTGTATCTCTCTGATCCACCTGACATTCACCCCATTTCCCCATATTTCCTTCTTTCCTGTTCCTCACCCTGATCACACTTGGTTTATTGATGGCAGTTCCACTAGGCCTAATCGCCACTCACCAGCAAAGGCAGGCTATGCTATAGTATCTTCCACACCTATCATTGAGGCTATCGCTCTGCCCCCATCCACTACCTCTCAGCAAGCCGAACTCATTGCCTTAAGTCAAGTCCTCACTCTTGCAAAGGGACTACACGTCAATATTTATACTGACTCTAAATATGCCATCCATATCCTGCACCACCATACAAGAGGTTTCCTCACTACACAAGGATCCTCTATCATTAATCCCTCTTCAATAAAAACACTTCTCAAAGCCGCTTTACTTCCAAAGGAAGCTGGAGTCATTCACTGCAAGGGGCATCAAAAGGCATCAGATCCCATTGCTCTAGGCAATGCTTATGCTGATAAGGTGGCTAGACAAACAGCTAGCATTCCAACTTCTGTCCCTCATGGCTAGTTTTTCTCCTTCACATCAGTCACTCCCACCTACTCCCCCGCTGAAACTTCCACCTATCAATCTCTTCCCACACAAGGCAAATGGTTCTTAGACCAAGGAGATATTCTCCTTCCAGGCTGGACCTGGGCAGGACCAGCCCGGTCATCTACAGCTGAGGTGAGGCCTGGGCAGATTTCCCCTCACAGCCCCAGCAGGAACCAACCCCAGGGACACCTCAACCTTGGACTTCCGGCCTCTAGGAAGATCAGTAAGAGATTTCAGTTGTTCAAACCACCCGGCCTGTGGCAGTTTGTTCCAGCAGCCCCAGCCAACTCCTGACCTGAAATATGTTTATTTGTTTACATTTTCTTTGCTGCTTTTTAGAGTCTAAGCCCCACGTGGGCAGGCCTTTTTATATTTTAATCACTACCCTATCCCAAGTGCCTGGACGGTGTTGTTGGTGTAAAGCAGTTGCTTAATAAATATTTGTGGAATAAATGAATGAATGTGTTCATTGCTCACTCTGTGGCTGGCACCACACATAAGTGATGTATCGTCCATACCCAACCTGCAAGGCAGGCAAGATGATCCCTGTGGGAGGCTCCGAGACTCTCACAGCACACCTGTGCCCAGCCGGTTCAGGATTCAGGGCTGGGTGTGTGACTCCCTTCCCTACGTGGTGCCACTTTCACAGCCAAACAACTGGTTCTTGAGCAGAGGGAGAAGAGGGTAAGGCATGAGGCAGAAGGAGCTCTGTTACTGACACTGGGCTAGGACACAGCATGCCCTTGGGGACAGTCATCTTCAGAGTAAGGTGCTCAGGTGCTCAGGACTCTTAAGTCACACATTAGGGTAGGGTCAGAGTTGACTGCTTCATCTCGCTGGATGGTGCCTCTACTTCAGAGTTTTCACACCTGAAACGCTGAGTTTACCAACAGATGCTTTAGGTTATGTTAAACCCGTGGAGATTTAGAAAGAGACAAATACCACACGTTCTCACTTATCAATGGGAGCTAAAGGATGTGTACACATGGACAGAGACTGTGGATTACTGGACACTGGCGACTATGAAGGGTGGAGGGTGGGAGGGAGGTGGATGAGGAGAAATGATTTAATGGGCACAATGTACATTATTCTGATGACGGATACACTAACATCCCAGACTTCACCACTACTCAATATAATCATGTAACAAAATTGCACTTGTACCCCTTAAATTCACCCAAATAATAACAAATTAAAAATAAAAAATACGGCCAGGTGCGGTGACTCACGCCTCTAATCCCAGCACTTTGGGAGGCTGAGGCAGGAGGATCACGAGGTCAGGAGTTCGAGAACAGCCTGGCCAATATGGTGAAACCTCATCTCTACTAAAAATACAAAAATTAGCCGGGCGTGGTGGCACATGCCTGTAGTCCCAGCTACTCAGGAGGCTGAGGCAGGAGAATCACTTGAACCCAGGAGGCAGAGGTTGCAGTGAGCAGAGACCGTGCCAATGACTCCAGCCTCAAAAAAAAAAAAAAATTACAAATAAAAATAAAAAATAAAAGTCAGTGATGCAGGCAGTACTGATTTCAATGTATATTTATATAAATTAAGAGAGATCTTGTAAATAACTTATAAACTTTTTAAATGGATCATGCATTTAGTGTTGTATATGTAAAATCTCATCAATAGACCTAAGGTTATGCAAATTTTCTTCTAGAAATTTTATAGCTTTGCATTTTATTTAAGAGAGATCTTGTAAAAAGTGTACACGGAACATTCACTATAGACCATATCCAGTGTCAGAAACAGTTTCAATAAATTTTAAAGGATTTATATCATACCAAGTATGTACCCTAACTACAATGAAGTTAAAATACAAGCCACTAAAAGAGATATCTAGAAAATCCACAAATGTTTGGAAATTAAGTAGTACATTTCTAAGTAATTCATCGGTCAAAGAAGAGATCACAAAGGAAATTAGAAATATTTCAATGCGAGTGAATGAAAATATAATATCAAAATATGTGGGATGCTGCCATGTAGTCAGAAATGTATTCTTTATTGAAAAACAGGAAAAGTCTAACATCAGTTATCTAAGTATCAACCTAAAGAAATTAGAAGAAAAAAGAGGAGTAATATAATATCAAAATCAAAAGAATGAAGGAAACAGTAAAGAGCTGAAATCAGTGAAATTGGAAGTGGACAAATAATAGGAAAACTTACAGGAAATCAAAAGCTGGTTGATTGATAAACTTCTAAATAGACTGATTAAGAAAAAAAAAAACTGAAGAGACAACACACAGATTATCAATATCAGGAATAAAGAGGGCTCATTACTATAGTACCTACAAATAGTAAAAAATTAATAAAGTTATATTATAAACAACTTTATGCCAATACATGTGACAATTTAGATGAAATGAACAAATTCCTTGTGAGACACAAATTATAAACCTAGGAGAAATCGCATCTACATATATATATATAGTGAGAAATTGAATTTTGTAATTTTAAAATTTTCTCACAAAGAAATTACTCATCCCAGATGGTTCCACCAGTAAAGTCTATCAAATAGAAATAAAAATACCAATCTCTTTCAGAAATATAGTAGGAGGAAACTCTTCCCTACTCATTTTATGGCAAGAGAAGATAAGAGAAGAAAATGATAGTCCAATATCCCTCATGCAGTTAGGTCCAAACATCTTTTTTAAAATACTACCAATAATAACAAGGGAAATATAAAAAATACATCATGACCAATGGAGTTGATTCCAGAAATACAAGGTTGCTTTCCCCCTTACACTGGTAAGAAGGGAAAATTGTATTTGTCCTGACTGCTTCTGTTCAACTTTGAAATGGAGACTTCAGGTGATCCTTCAGGAAGTTCTGAAGCTGGGATGGTCCTTCAGAGACGTCCAGCATTAACCTGTGGGGCTGGGCTGTTTTATCCCCACATCTCCTAGTCATTAAATCAGGACTGTCACTGGGCTAAGAGGATAGCATTTGGCCAGGCAGCTCCCAGCAGCAGCTAACATCCTGACAGGTCGAAAATGGAAGGGTCTTCAGCACTCGCAGCATCATTACAGGCAGACTTTACAAACGCTGGACGCGTGGGCCCTATGACCTCGCACTTTCGCTCTGTGCGCACCAAAAGGCATGTACCAGAATGTTCACAGCAGCTTTATTCATAATTGTTCAAACATGGAAATTACCCAGACACTTGTTGTTGTTGTTGTTGCTGCTGCTGTTGTTTGTTGTTGAGACAGAGTCTCGCTGCGATGCCCAGACTGGAATGTGATGGCACCATCTCGGCTCACTGCAACCTCCGATTCCTGGGTTCAAGCGATTCTCCTGCCTCAGCCTCCCAAAGTGCTGGGAGTACAGGCATGTGCCACTATGCCCAGCTAATTTTTGTATTTTTAGTAGAGATGGGGTTTCACCATATTGGCCAGGCTGGTCTCGAACTTCTGACCTCTAGTGATCTGCCTGCCTTGGCCTTCCAAAGTGCTGGGATTACAGGCATAAGCCACCACGTCCATCCTACCCAAACATTTTTAACACTCAAATGGATTCATATGAAAGTAGGTAGATACATACATTGAAATACTAAATAGAAATGGGAAATAAACAATGACTGCTGCACGCAACATTATAAGCGAATCTTGCAACTTTATAATCAAGTGAAAAAAAACAAAAACCAAAGAGTATATGGTGTGCGACTTCATCATATAAAGTTCAAAACAACACAAAGTTACTCAGAAATCTGCACGGTGCTTATCTTGGGAGTGTGGCAGGTGCTAGAATGGTCAGGAAGTAGGGCAAGTTGTATTCCAATTCTTGGATCTGGATGGTTACATGGGTGTAACAATTCATTGAGCTCTACATTTATGATTTGTGCATTTTTATGAATGTATATAACTCTATTTTAAACTTTTTACTTATAAAAAAGATAAGATACAGATGGGAGAAGATATTTGCAAAGCATATAACCGAAAATGGGGATTCCTATTAGGAATATATAAGGCAACCCTGAGAATCAGTAAGGAAAAAAGTCCAACTAAAAAATAAAAGGGGCCAGGCACAGTGGCTCATGCCTGGCACTTTGGGAGGCCCACAGTGGGAGGATCACTTGAGCTCAGGAATTCGGGACCAGCCTGGGCAACATGGCAAAACTCTGTCTCTACAAAAAACACAAAAATTAGCCAGCCATGGTGGCGTGCACCTGTAGTCCCAGCTACTCAGGAGGCTGAGGAGGCAGGATTGCTTGAACCTGGGAGACAAAGTTTACAGTGAGCTGTGATCCCGCCACTGCACTCCAGCCTGAATGACAGAACGAGACCCTGTCTGAAAACTAAAAATAAAAGGCAAAAGATATCAACAGACCATTCAGAAGAGAAAAAAAATACAAGGCCAAGAAACATAAAAAGATGTTCAATATAGCTACTAAATAAGAAACTATGAATCAAAACAGTATGAAATGTCATTTCATAACCATCAAATGGAAAATATTAAGAAGACTAACAATCTCAACATAAGTGCAAATATAGAGCATGAGGTCTTCTTACCTCTGGAGATTTGAAGGGTAATTTGGTACAATACCTCTGGAAAGAAAACATTTGCTCTTTGATCCAGCAGTTCCACATGTAAAAAAATAATAGAGAAACTTTTGCAGAAGTTCCATAGGGAAAATGGCACAAGAAAGTTCATTGCATTATTCATAATAGAAAAAATACATACAGCATGTCATCAATAAAATAAATTTTGAAAACATGTAAAAAATGGATTCACACATGGGATGTTAGTGGAATTTTTGAATGCCATTAAAGGTACACACAAAATTGGAGCTGATGGTTACCACTGGGTGAAAGACAGGGAAGAGAAAGGGTCGTGGAAGGGTATTTTAGGAGATTTGACGGCATATGTATTGTTTTGCTTCTTAATAAAACAGAAAGCAAGTGTGACAAAATGTTAGCACTCAAGAGAGTTGGGTGGGGAATGTGTTGTGTGTTATAAACTTTTCTGTGTATTTGAAATATTTTATATTTTAGGGAAACCATTCAAAGGTATGCCTCTTAATCTCAGGACTTTCTCTCTCTCTCCAGGAGAGTGACTCTCACCAGCCCCACCCTCATTGCCAGAGGACGTTGCACGCTGCACCTGTCATGCCTCACGCTTGTGCTGTACGTGCCCAGGCCTCTGTAAATGGAGAGAATGGGGTGAGCTGACACAGTTCTTCAGGCTCTGCCCAGCAGAAGATATTATGAAAGGTCTTCTCATCTCTTCTTGAAATGGGCTACCTCCCACTGACCACTAGGTGGGACATCAGCTTGCCAGTTGCCCAATAAATGCAATGTCTATAGAATTCTTGAAACAGCCTCTGTTTCTGAGAGGGGCCCATGCTCAGAAGACTGTCCATGGACCGGCCTAGTGGTGCACTTCCTGAGTCTGGGAGCAGCACCTCTTTGAACTCCTGCTGAGGACACTGATTTGGGAGTGCAGTGCACATAAATGTAATTTACATTTATGCTTCTAATTTACATAAATGTAAACAGGGATTCAGTGAACTGGAATTTTCTTTGGTTCATAACTGGTTTTTTTCTGGCTAACTATGGGTTGGGAGAAGGAAGAGAAGAAATGGAAAATAGCATTTATTTGGGGTCTGTTATGGGCCAGGAAGCAAATTACAGCTTTATCTCATATAACGCTCATGTCTATCCGTTGAGAGGGCATCATTTCCCAGTTACAAATGAGGAAGCAGTGGCTCAAACATGTAAGATGCCTCGCCCAACGTCCAGTGAGCAAGCAGCAGACAAAAGGTTTGAACCATCTCTTTCCGCCAACAAAGTCTGGTTTCCACCGCGTGCCCTCTCCAGAAAACCTTTGGAGTAAAACTCAGAGAGACACAGAGAGAGAGAGCAAGAAAATATTTGGTATAATTTAAACACTTTCAGGTACAGCCATAATAGAAACAGATAAGAAAACAGATAAAAGACCAATCACTTCCTGGTCTTTGTCGTGCCTGTGCCAAAATAACAGAAAAAATAAAATAAAAATCACTCTACCTTATTCTTTCTTGTTCTTTCCACAAAATGTGTTTTTTGTTTTTGTTTTTTGTTTTTTTTTGAGACGGAGTCTCGGAGTCTCGCTCTGTCACCCAGGCTGGAGTGCAGTGGCACGATCTCAGCTCACTGCAAGCTCCACCTCCCGGGTTCACGCCATTCTCCTGCCTCAGCCTCCCTAGTAGCTGGGACTACAGGTGCCCGCCACCATGCCCAGCTAATTTTTGTATTTTTAGTAGAGACTGGGTTTCACCATGTTAGCCAGGATGGCCTTGATCTCTTGACCTTGTGATCTGCCCACCTCAGCCTCCCAATGTGCTGGGATTACAGGCATGAGCCACTGCACCCGGCCCAGACATTTATTTTCTCACAGTTCTGGAGGCTGGAAGTCCAAGATCAAGGTGTCTGTAGTGGGGGTTTCATTTCATTTCAGTCTGAAGCCCTTCTCCTTGGCTTGCAGATGGCGTCTTCTCCTGAGTCTACACAGGGTCTTCCTTTTGTGTCTGTTTGTGTCCTAACCTCCTCTCCTTACAAAGATGCCAGTCAGTTTAAATTAGAACCCATTCCTGTGACCTCATTTAACCTCAGTCACCTCCTTAAAAGTCCTATCTCCAAATCCAGTCACATTCTGAGGTACTGGGGGTTAGGACTTCAACAGATGACTTTTGGGGGACACAGTTCAGCCCTTGACAGAGAAAATTCAAGGTGTCAAGGAACCAGATCAGGCTTTTGGGGGGTCTTTGCAAACAGCCATAGATGGTGTGTATGACCTTGTCTAGCCATCAAACTGAGAGAGAACCATCCTTTCCAGAAATATCTCAGTTGACTGGCACCAGAGGTGGATAATTAGTAAACTATTTTTTTCTTTTATAGTCTTTTGAACATAATTATGACAAGGATTCTGGGGAGATTATAGGGTTTAATAATTTAATCTCCTCAAATTTCCTTATAAAAACAGACTGAATAACTAGCATATCAAAATCAAAGACTTTGTACTTCTACAACAAAATCAATGACCAGGAATCCCAAAGAATCTCACAGTAAGAGTGTGTGGCACAAACCACCAACAGCTGCAGGACCCACGTGGTATGAGGATCTGTGTAAAGGGAAACAACTGGCAAGTTGGGGAAGTCAACTGGGATTCCAACAGTCCAGAGGACAGGAAAAAACAACACTGCTGACCTGTGTTCACTGAAAGCACAGAGCTCCAATCCGAGAGTGGCAGGTTGGGAGATGACTCTACCGGGTTCAGTTCCTGAGTGGGTAAAGGAGACCACAATACTATTCTGACCACAGTGAAGCAGTCTATAAGTCTTCAAAGCTAGCAAACAAAATGCCCAGATAAGAGAAATGACTTAGAAGAAAATGCAGAATGGGGATCAGAATGTCAGATCTCAGAAAACACAGGCAGTATTTTTGAAATCATTTTGGAAAAACAACAGAAGAGGGAATGTAGACCCATGAAGTTTGAAAACCTGTCTTGACCTATGCCTCATCCTATGAACAAAGAAAAACTTGTTTCACTTTAAAAAAAGCAATAAAATGGATGATAGCCAAATCTAATATAAAGTTATGATAAGAGAAAGCAGAATAATAACATATTAATAACAACAATAATATTGGCCCTACAGACAATGAAAATACAACAGAGAGGTACACATTCAATGAAGATGAAAATGTAACCTAATATTTGAAATGAGGTAAAAAGAACTAGGAAAATGATAGGTGTCATTAAAGTATCTTAAAGTATCATTTAAATCATAATTAGAAACATTTAGAAATATAAGATTTGAAAGACAGATGAAGATGACAGAACACAAAACAGAATTAGAAGTATAAAGGAAATTTTTCAGAAATAAAAACTAAATTAGAAGGGACATCAGAGCCAATAAACAAAACAAATAATGCCTTAAAAGAAATGTAAAATGCAAAAATGAAAAAAAAGGAGATTTTACAAAATTAAAAAGATATTAAGTGTTTCAACTTCTGGTTAGGATGTAAAAAATCACAAAAGACCACCACTCCAGCAGAGCAAGGATAAAGCACTGGTAAGCTATTAAATTGTCTTTTTCTTTAAAACTATTTAAAACCTATAGATTCGAAATCCAAATAAACTAAATTCCAGAGATGGATGAGCCCATGTCAGGTGAGAAAACTGGTCCCTTCCATTCCTGTGGTAAGTTGTCAAGCATGGGGTTGTAGATGGACAGAAAATCAAGTCTGCTACAGGCAAATAAAATTTGGGGGAATAAGGAGAAACTAACTGGAAATTTTACAGCTAGTGTTAGACTTGAACCTGGAGGAATCCCAAATACAGCATTGGACATCTCTGTCCGTCTTCCAACTCTCTCTCATAGAAATTTATTGAATAAATGGTGTCCAAGAAGTCAGGAGATGACACAGAAAAGCAGAGAGAAATGTTGTGGTGTCATGGTGCTTAGATTTCATAGCCTTCCTGGAGAGAGGGTGATCTCACACTCAAGATATTTGAAACCAGAGGTGAACTAAATCAACTGGAGTGGCAACCTCAACTCTAATTCAGCTCAACTAATTATTAGATTGAAGAGATCAGATCCTAATCCAAGATACCTGACACACAAAAGGGCAAGCACTTCCTAGAAAAATTAGTACCTTCTTTCAGTCTCCACTGCTATGGTATACATAAACTGCAGCATTCAATAAAAAAACTACAAGCCAGCTGGGCATGGTGGCTCACGCCTGTAATCTCAGCACTTTGGAAGGCCAAGGCAGGGGGATCACAAGGTCAAGAGATCAAGACCATCCTGGCCATCACGGTGAAACCCTGTCTCCACTAAAAACACAAAAATTAGCTGGGCATTGTGGGCTGTGCCTATAGTCCCAGCTACTCGGGAGGCTGAGGCAGGAGAATCACTTGAACCTGGCAGGCAGAGGTTGCAGTGAGCTGAGATTGCACCACTTTACTCCAGCCTGGTGACAGTGAGACTCCCTCAAAAAAAAAAAAAACAAAAACTACAAGCCATGCATATAAACTGGGAAGTATGACCCATAATCAAAAGAAAAAGCAGTCAGTAGAAACAGGCCCACAGATGACCCAGAGTTGGCATTAGCAACTAAAGATTTTAAACTAATTAATACATATGGTGACATTTTTAGAGGGAAATATGGGCAAAATGGGTGAAAATATAAAGAATTTTAGCAAAGAAATCAAAACCCCAAAAAAGAACCAAATGGAAATTGTAGAACTAAAAAACACAATACCAACGTAGAGAATTCAGTGGGCGGGCTTAATAGCAGAATGAACAAAATAAAGCTTTGGTAAACTTGAAATTCTCAGTAGAAATTCTCTAAATTGAAGCATAGAAAGAAAAAAGTATTTTTTAAAAAGCAGAGGGTGAGAGAAATGTAAGGTAATACCAAATGGTCTAATACACATGTAATTGAAGTCCCAGAGAAGAAGAGAGACAAAATAGGTCAGAATAAATATTTGCAGTGATGCTAGCTGAAATTTTTTCCCAAAACTGATGAATGACATCAATACACAGATTCAAGAATTAGACCACTGTCTCCACCTACTTCAGTTTCCCTCTATCACACTTCCCCTCATGACTGGTGGAACTGGAGTGGCTGCCGTGATTTTTGTGTTCTGGCTCAGGGGTGGGATTAAGTTTAGTTTGGGTTTAACAGGATAAATGTATGTGCTTCACAATTACTTCCACATGAACTTATCACCAGCTAGTCTAGTGTAGAAATGACCTCTAGGAATACTCTTCCTACACACTCTTCCAATTCACCCAGCTTGGTGACACAAATATCACAATATATGGGCATTGAACATCTCATTTCTTTGACTCATAGGAAAAGTATCTGCCTACACAGGACCTAAAGTTTTAACTACCCTGATATTCTGCAATAGTTATATGTGGCAGGGGGGGCAGTTCAGGTTCATTGATGGAGTATTTTAAGCACACATATCAACTGGATTTTTCTTTGATGGGTCTAATTACAGAGATGTCCTTATAAACCTCTCCAACCTTTGAAACATGGTTATAATAGTATTATGAGGATTCTAGTATATGTTATTACAGATTCAAGAGAGGGCCAGGTGTGGTGACGGGTGCCTATGATCTCAACATTTTTGGGGGCCAAGGTAGAAGACCACTTGAAGCCAAGAGTTCAAGACCAGCCTGGGCAACATAACAGCACCTATCTCTACCAAAAAAAAATATATATATAGCCAGGTAGAGTGGTACATGCCTGTGGTCTCACCTGCTCAGGAGGCTGAGGAAAGGCAATCACTTGAGCCCAAGATTTCAAAGCTGCAGTAAAGTATGATTGCACCACTGCACTCCAGCCTGCATGACAGAGGGAGAGAGAAACCCAAACACAACAGGAATGCCAAAAAAAATTTACTCAAAATGTTGACGAAGCTTGAATATGTTAATTTAACTGTGATTTGAAAAGATGTTTTGGAATGTTTCGATAAAACATGGGAGAAATTACAGACTCTTTATGTAGACATGCATAAAAAGTAACTTTTTGACAATTTAAAATTTGTTAAAGGGTTAAAAGAAAAAAATAGAATATTTTAAAAGCTATAATGATGAATAATGAAACAACAGAAATTATTTCTATATTAAAAAAGGAACTTCAATAACAAAAAAGTTTACACCAAAAGCAGTAAATCATTAATAGGAAGATAAATTTCTAATAGAAATAATAAATAGTTTCTTGAATGATTTGATATCCAATTAATAATAAGAAGTGGGCTAGGTGCAGTGGCTCACTCCCATAATCCCAGCACTTTAGGAGGCCAAGGCAGGAGGATTGCTGAGCCCAGGAGTTTGAGACCAGCCTGGGCAACATAGTGAGACCCCTGTCTCTACAAAAAAAATCAAAAAAGTAGCTGGGTGTGGTGGTGCGCACCTGTAGTCCCAGCTACATGGGAGGCTGAGGTGGGAGGATTGCTTGAGCCTGGGTAGTTGAAGCCACAGTGAGCCATGTTCATACCACTGTACTGCAGCCTGGGCAACAGCACAAGACCCTGTCTGAAAAAAAAAAAAAAAAAAGTGAATCATAGGAACACAGTGAAATAAGATTCCAATTTTTTGCTTTTGTGGCACTGAATACTGACACTGATAATGAAAAACTCATAATATAGGCAATCTTGACCATCTGGATAATGAGGAAATGTTGGTTCAAAGACTACTTAAGCATAGTCAAGAAAACATGAAATGCCTTGAACACTTAAAGCCCATGTGTGAAAGAAACTTGATAGAGGTCTTCCCAATTTTAACAACAATTCTAAAACTTTGCATGACATCATTACCAATAATGAGCTGTGAGGCTAAAATAAATAAATAAATAATGTCTCACCTGTTGATAATAAATAAATATTGATTCCAGATGCCAGGGGAAAGACCAGATTACCAATCCATTCTCTTTTTTAGAAAATTTTAAAAATTTCATCAAATGAAGAGGAGAGCAAAGAATAGGTATCCCCCACCCCCCAAAAAAAATATAGTTAGTTAATATAAATAAAATACTAGGTTACTTTTCTGGATCCTTTTATGTGTGTGTTATTAAATTTATAATTGATGGTGATTGGTGTCTCTTCTAAATAGATAGTCACTTTTATACCTAACTTCATATTCATAATTTCCTATTATTAAAGTGGGCCCCCAGAATCATATGTTTTGGACCCCACAAACCTAAATACACCTGCATACAAAGTCCTGGCCATGTTTCAATGACATCAGTCACAGTTCCTGGTGATAGTGAGGTGGAGGTGGTGTGAAGACAGGCCCTCAAAGGTCTTCAAATAAATTAACAATGTCTCTTAATTTTTATTAGCTTTTTTTTATTCTTATGCTTTGCCTTTTTTCCCTAAAAGTGTGGTTCAAAGGAAAGAATTTTTCAATTTTCTCAAGTTTTTCGATCTGGTTTCACTGTTACTCATGAAAGCCAGAGGGCAGGGCTTTGGACAAAATGGTGTCCAATAATCAGAAAAAAATGTAAATACAAATCTAGGACCACAGGATTAAAACTAACGGGAATGGTATAAAATAATAGAGAAAATGTGAGTTGTGCTGTGTAGACGGGGATCAAAGGGTAACAGAGGGGGCGGGGAGGAGATGTCATGAGGCGGGGACAGCTGGGGACACCCAGCCCCTGGCAGAACCGCAGAGCTGCCACGCCTCCATGCAGTCACTCCTGGATTTATTTTTAATAGTTTGCATGAATGAAGGAAACAGCAAAACCATCTGTTTTGACAGCTGGGCCCATGCACCAGAAGACTTCTTGCGGAGATAAGGAAACCTGGCCTGATCCTAGGAGACCAGAGGACACCCGTGTCAGCCGTGGTGACAACGAGGCTCTACAGAGGGCGGACTCTGTGCCTTACACTTTGCTAGGGGCTTGATCATATTTCGTCAAATGTAATCCTTCCAGAAACCTCAGAGGTAGGCACCACTGTTATCCTCACACAAGGAAAGAAAGGCCCTGAGAGATGCGGGTGGGAAATGCAAGAGCTGGCGACAAACTCCCACCCTGTGTTCTTTCTTCCCAGTGAAAGCACTGGGTGAAGCCTGGGGTGGCATCTACAGACATCTTCCATGTTCTTCTGGATGGACCCCACATTTCCTCAGGGGCTGATGAAAGCAGCTACGTGACCAAGACACCAAAAGGAGGTGGCCTGGAGAGTGGAAAGGTAATGCCACCGGAGTGAGAAGACAAGGAGTCTAGGCTCCGATGGGCTTCTGGCCAGCTTGGGCCTAATTTTCACCCCCTAAATTTCTCTTTCCCTGTGAGCAAAACAAGAATGACAATAGGCTGCATTGATGCGGCCCAAATAATGAGCTGGGACTGCTCTCAGTGCTTTCCAGACACTCTCTTTCTCTTCACCCCCAGAACCTTGTCACTATCCCTACTGCAGATGGAGACACTGAGTGGAGAGTTTCAGTCACTTGCCCCTGGTCAGAATTTGAGCCCAGGGAGGCCAGCTCCAGTCTGCGCTCCTAGCCACTGAGCACTGATCTGCCTTAGGCATCTGCAGGGGTCCTGCTGGGCCACCGAGGACCCTTAGCGCTCTGGTTCTCCAAGTGGGGTCCTTGAGCCAGCAGCACCCGGGAACTTGTTAGAAATGCAAATTCCCAGGCCTCATCACAGGCAACTAGATCAGGCACTTCGAGCGCCTGGGGATGTGACCCAGCCATCTGTAACGAGTCCTCCAGAGAAATCTGAAGCTTGCTAAAGTTTGAGAACCACTGTTCCAAATGTTCTCTAAGGTTCTTTGCAGAGCTGAGCTAAGAAGGAGGCAGGGCCAGAAATGCAGGATATGACACAGGTGAGGCAAGGGGGACTCAGGGCCATGGGGACGTGTTTCTTAGTAGACAGGCAGGTGTCTGTCCTGATGTGGCCATTCTTCTCCCAGGAACGAGCCCAAGGGCATGCTCTAGACATGCAGGGTCTGTGAGGCCAGCCAGAGGCAGAACTGACCAGAACACAGGAACCACGGGTTTGAGGTGTAAGCAATGGGGGAAACACAGCAGATGTCACCCCTCCCGCAGCCTGGCCTTGCCAGGGCTGCTTGCATGGCCCTTGACTCTTTCTACCCCAAGATCCCAGCTTCGGTTACATGAAAGAAAGGAACAGCCTTCCCAAGTGGGGGAAGTCCCACCAAGACCACTCAGAAGCAGAAAGTCACAGAGGTTCACCCGCCAGTCAGAAGGGCCCTATGGAAAGACAGCACCCAAAACACGTGCTCCCTGTGAGAAATGCACTCTACAGGGCCCATCCTGAAAGAAAAAAAATTTTTTTAAATTTTTTGTAGAGATGGGGTCTCACTGTGTTGCCCAGGCTGCTCTTGAACTCCTGGGCCCAAGCAATCCTCCCGCCTCGGCCTCCCAAAGTGCTGGGATTATAGGCATGAGCCAGGGCACCTGGCCAGAAAATGAATTTTTTTTAAAAAACAGAGAGAAAGGAGCCAGGCTGCCCAGAGAAGGGGTATCCTGAGAAAGAGCCTAACCCCTCGGGCTTCCTGGGTAGGGAGGGGGACCCAGAGCTGTGGAGAGTTAATGAAAATTCCCCCTGAGAAGAGAATTTTGATGAGAGGAGACAGATGGGGGTTTCCACTGGATGCATCCTTCCCACTCCCCCTCCTGCGGAGCATTCTGACAAACAGCGTGGCCAAACAGCCTCCCCAGCAGCAACCAGTTGGCCATCCTAGAGAAGCTGGGACCAGATCAGTAACTCATCCCCTTCCATGAGTTTCCTTCCTTCCCTCCTCAATCCCTTGAGCTCTCGCTCTGGCCTCTCTGGGATTTTCACGTACACCCCAGTGAAGTGTTAGCTCCCTACATCTGTTCTTCAACTTATTTATTTATTTATTTATTTAATTTATTTTTGAGACAGAGTCGACTCACTCTGTCACCAGGCTGGAGTGCAGTGACACGATCTTGGCTCACTGCAACCTCTGCCTCCTGGGTTCAAGCGATTCTCCTGCCTCAGCCTCCTGAGTAGCTGGGACTACAGGCACATGACACCATGCCCAGCTAATTTTTGTATTTTTAGTAGAGACATCTCTACTAAAGACCCTACTACATGGGGTTTCATCATGTTGGCCAGGATGGTCTCGATCTTTTGACCTCATGATCCGCCCACCTCGGCCTCCCAAAGTGCTGGGACTAGAGACATGAGCCACTGCACCCAGCCTGTTCTTCAATTTTTAAAAGGTGCATCAAGAAACTGGAAAGGTTAGACATAAAGTGTGTTAAGAGAAATACTTCAGCTGAATTAAGTTTAAAGGAGTTTAATTGAGCAATGAATGATCTACGAATCTGGCAGCCCCCAGAATCACAGCAGATTCAGAAAGACTCCCAGGGTGCCTCGTAGTCAGAGCACATTTATAAACAAAAAGAGTAAAGCGATGTACAGAAATCAGAGGCGAGGTACAGAAACAGCTGGATTGGTTATGGCTCGGTGTTGGCCTTATTTGAACATAGTGTGAACACTCAGCAGTGTTTGAGTGGTTGAAGTACGGCTGCTGGGATTGGCCAAGATTCAGCTATTGTTACAGGTGTGCATACTCTGAAATCAGGGTCTCAATCTTGTCTACCTATGAAGTTAGTTTGCAGTTCATCCACAAGGACTAAAATATAGAAGTACGGAGTCCTTCTCAAGCCATATTTAGTTTGCTTTAACAAGGGTATAACATTTGAATAAAAGTTCTGTCAAAACTTCACTCAGCCATGGAAAGTGTGATAATTATAGAATCAGACAGCAGTTTCTTCCTGTCCTAGAATGCCTGGATGTGAAGAAGGGCTTGGGAATTAAGTCCAGTGTTCTAGAAATGCAATAGTTACCACAGAGGGGCAAAGACCAAGAGAGGTCTGAAAGCGTGCAGGTGAGTTGAATTAAGATGGGATTTGGCAGGGCGTGGTGGCTAACGCCTGTAATCCCATCACTTTAGGAGGCCGAGGCAGGCGGATCACAAGGTCAGGAGTTCGAGACCAGCCTGACCAATATGGTGAAACCTCGTCTCTACTAAAAATACAAAAAAAAAAAAAAAAAAATTAGCTGGGCCTGGTGGTGGTGCCTGTAATCCCAGCTACTCGGGAGGCTGAAGCAGGAGAATTGCTTGAACCCAGGGGGCGGAGGTTGCAATGAGCCGAGATACCGCCATTGCACTCCAGCCTGGGCAACAGAGCAAGACTCTGTCTCAAAAAAAAAAAAAAAAAAAAGACGGGATCTAGTGAACAGTGAGCAAGGAGTTTTGCAAATCTGGATGTAAGCAAAATAAATGCAAGTTTCAAGGGAATGGTGAAATTGGCTGTGGCTGAAAATGATGGAAAATTGTCTAAATCAACTTTTCAGAACTGTGGAAATTAACTAAAGGCTTGCAACAATTCCTGGAGATTTATTCAAGAAAAATGACTGAATCTCAGACAGAACTGTGAGCTGTGCAGCATTTTAACTTGCCCTGTTGCCATCTCCTTCTTCCCAGCTCCACAGCAGTTGTAAATGCAAAAAGCTGGCAGCCGCTGGACAGGGGAGCCAGGGAGTGAAACTCCCCGAAAGTCCTACTCTTAAAGATTGTTATTGTCTAACCTGTCTGGAAGTTCCCAGAAACTCCTCGTAATCATCTGTGACAAAGAACATAGACTTTACACCCTTTATCCAGGGAAATTATTCAATAAACAGCAGAAACAACAAAGCCTGGGGAGATGTGATTTCCAGAGTAACCACATTATGTTATGTCATATGTCCAGTTTTCAACAGCAAAAACAAGGAGACATAAAAAGATACGTGACATATAGCCCATACATGGGGGGAAAAAGACAGACAGAAACTGTCCCTAAGGAGGCCCACATGTTGAACTGACTATGTAAAGATGTCAAGTCAGCTATTACAAATAACGTATGGTCAGTCCTCCTATCCACATTCCTGCACTGCAATTTTCAATCCACGATCGGTTGAATCCACAGATAGGGAGAGTCAACAGACTTTGAGCATCTACAGATTTTGGTATCCCCAGGGGTCCTGGAACCAATCCCCCGCAGATATCAAAGGACAACTGTACGTTCAAAGAATTAAAGAAAGCCCAATCTAAAGAAATAAAGGAAAGTACGAGACCCATGTCTCACCAAATACAGAACATGAATAAAGAGACAGAAATTAAGAAATTGTCAAAATATATATCTATAAATTTTGGAGCTGAAAAGTACAGTAACCAAAATGAAAAATTCACCAGTGGCTCAACAGCAGATTTGAAGGTAGGTCCACTAAGATTATCCAGGTTGAAGAAGGGAACCTGTCTTAGTCAGTTCCAGCTGCTACAACAGAATGCCACAGACAGGGTGGCTTCAGCGATAACTCTGTATTTCTCACAGTTCTCAAGGCTCAAAGTCTGAGATCAGAGTGGCAGCATAGTCTTTTCTTAGCTTTGGTCCCAAGCTTGCAGATAGCTGCTTCCTTGCCATATCCTCACATGACAGAGAGAGCTCTGGTCCCTTCACCTCCTTATAAAAGCACCAATCCCTTCACCGGCTCCACCTCGAGATTCATTCAAACCCAATTACCTCCCAAAGACCCCGCCTCCAAATGCCACCACATTAGGGATTGGGGTTTCAACATATGAATTCGGGGGTTGGGTCACAAACATTCAGTCCATAACAGAAAGGGAAAAAATGATTTTTTAAAATGATTTATTGGCCAGTGGCTCATACCTTTAATCCCAGCACTTTAGGAGACCAAGGAGAGAGGATTGCTTGACTCCAAGAGTTTGAGACTAGCCTAGACAACAAAACAAGACCTCATCTCTACAAAAAATAAGAAATTAGCTGAGCATGGTGGTGTGCAACTGTGGTCCCAGCTACTCAGGAGGCTGAGGTGGGAGGATCACTTGATCCCAAGAGTTTGAGGCTGCAGTGAACCATGATTGCACCACTGCACTCCAGCCTGGGCAACAGAGCAAGACCCTGTCTCTAAATAAATAAATAAACAAACAAAGCCTCAGAGACCTGTGGGACACCATCAAGTGTCCCAAGACATTCACAATGGAAGTCCAAAAGGGTGTTTTCTGCCACAAGACCTTTGCACTAACCGCTCTGCCAGAGTCATTCTACCCTTATATATCAACAGGGCTCACTCTCTTTCCTCTCCCAGGTCTCTCTCTATTCAAATATCACCTCCTTACTGAGGCCTTCCCTGATCTCCCCATGTAAAAAGCAACTCCCTACCTCCTCTCACCACAAGCACCTCCAATCCTGCTGCACTGCTTTATTTTCCTGTGTAGCTGCCTTTCATCTGATAGTCCGTGTGTCCATTTGCTTCTTTGGTTGTGGTCTTCTCCCACTCCTAGGGGTAGGTTCTAGGAAGGATAAGAGGTCACTATGAGTCACTGTCACACCCTAGCTACCAGCACAGTCTTGGCACCCTACAGATGCTCAACAAATACTTTTTTAATGAATGAATTCAATCACCCATAAAAATGTCTAAATGCGACCAGGCAGGGTGGCTCATGCCTGTAATCCCAGCACTTGGGGAGGCTGCGTCAGGCAGATCACTTGAGCCCAAAAGTTCAAGACCAGCCTGGGCAATATGGGGAAACCCTGTCTCTATAAAAAATACAAAAATAAGCTGGGTGTGGTGGTGTGTGCCTGTAGTCCCAGCTACTCGGGAGGCTGAGGTGGGAGGACTGCTTGAAGCCGGAGGTCAAGGCTGTAGTGAGTTATGATTGTGCCACTGCACTCCAGCCTGGGTGACAGAACAAGACCTTATCTCACAAAAAAAAAAAAAAAAAAAAAAGTTGAAATGCTTTCATCCAGTAAATTCACTCCTGGAGGATTATTAAGCAAATAATTCAAGAGAAGAGAAAAGTTATATGAATGCAAATGTTCATAAACATAGTTGTGTTTGTCAAACTTCATTTTACCAAGGGCATAGGGAAGGCTCATCAGGAAAAATCAGCACAGGGAGTCGGGTTTTCAGGAAACGTTCCTGAGATGAGAGAGTTTGGAACAGAATCTTAGAGGAAGTGGCAAATTTGGTTTAGCAGAAGAAAGACACAAGCCAAAGTCCCAGGAAGAAGAATAGGTCCTCACAAATGAAACCTGAAGGGCACCAGTCACCTGAATCCGCGGGACCCTCAGGAGGAGTACAGTTAGGGGCCCAGAGCAAAGCTGGTGATGAAGTGAGAGGCGCGGTCAAGAAACCCACCTGAAATTCGGTATAAACACAACTGAGCTCTTCTCAGTAAACACTGGAGAACTTCAAAATACTGGAAAAGTAATGTTGGCATCTTACAGAAACTGTTTTAAAATACCTGCAAATGTGCAAAATATCTGAGATTTGCTCTTCCAGATCAGGAAAGTTATTCTTCAGCTCCTGGCAGATCCTGTCAAACAGACGCCCACGGAGTCTCTAACACAGAACCAGCTCAGATCAGCAAGGGCAGGACCCCTCTGTCTGGCGAACACTTCCATGCCTATTAAGGATCCTGTATCAGATCATTCGGGAGCTGTCAGTGTGTTTGCAACTCTGTCAGAAAAGATTTGAGAGTAATTTCAACAGGAAGAATGAGAAGTAATTCTTCTACATGTGAAAAGTCCTCAGACAGGAAAACTCTCCAGGCAAAAATATTTGAGAACATGACAATAATGACAATGACAATGACAACAGTCTTGAGGCATAAATGGATCAAAGGACATTTATGGGGTTTCTCTTTTAAGCGATGGGCAAGTTATTTAGGCACACGTAATCTGAGTGACAGTCATGGGAAATTGTAAGTACTAACTTGCTTGTTTGGCAAACCTTTATGGAGACCTGTATCACATCAGGCACAGCTTTGGTCCCAAGGCTGTGTGGTCCTGGTGTCTCACCACACCCTCGAGGCCCTGCTGGGAGGCACGAGGTGTGAGAGTCGGTTCTAAAATATCTTCTTCTCCTTCCCAGACCTCAAAAGCACTCCTTTTCCCCCTCTCCCACCACTAAACTTGTGGCAAAGTCTCTTCAACAAGCTCAGACTCACACAAGGCTGGACGAAGGGTGGTCTTCAACCAGTTTCTTGAAGCAAGGACATGTGAAGAGTACAGCTATCTGCTCAGAATGGGCATGGGGAGGAGATAGAAAAAAGAGAACAAAACACTAATAAACTAGCCTGTCTCATTAGTATCACGGGAAACTACAAGCCATTAGCAGTGTCTGAACAGCAGAAAAGAAAATGATCGAAAAGAATGCTGTCATCGGCTGAGCGCGGTGGCTCACACCTGTAATCCTAGCACTTTGGGAAGCCAAGGTGGGTGGATTGCCTGAGCTCAGGAGTTCAAGACCAGCCTGGGCAACACGGTGAAACCCCGTCTCTACTAAAATACAAAAAATTAGCTGGGAGTGGCAGCGTACACCTGTAATCCCAGCTACTCAGGAGGCTGAGGCAGGAGAATCACTTGAACCTGTGAGGTGGGGGTTGCAGTGAACCAAGGTCATACCACTGCCCTCCAGCCTGGGTGACACCACTGCCCTCCAGCCTGGGTGACAGAGCAAGACTCTGTCTCAAAAAAAAAAAAAAATGCTGTCATCAAATTATGCTTCTGGCCGTGATGGAGAACCAGAGGAATCCTTCTGCTGCAAAAACAAAAAATTTAAAAAAATTACTAGACGAAATACATGAAAAGCTTGTTTTCATACAATTGGATGTGAGCAGGAGCTTCAGAGTGTAAGCTAAAAATAAAATCCTAAGTCCTCCCCACAAATTAAACGAGCCCTCTCTTGGCCAAAGGGACCCCTGAAAAACCTTAAAAATTGAGTTCCCAGCCATGACAGGATGGGCAGGCAGACATGCCTCGTTAATGCCTCCCATTTTGCGGTTTAGACACAGCTGATGAGCATTAATGCTAAAATAGAGATCATAGGACAACAGATTCTGTGACAATAAGATATCACACTATAAATAAGACATCAAACTATAAATAAGACCTATGGCCACGCCAGGTGTCAGGCTCACAACTATGCCAAATGTCACACTTGGGGTCAGGTTCCAGCCCATGCTGAGGTCCAAAGGGAGTGGGTAGATGAGCAGAAAGAACAGTCATGGGGTGGTAGGCAGGTGAATATGGTTTTATTCAACAGCAGCTTTCATCAACAGCTTTCTCACACTGTCCGCCCTGTCTCGGCTGCTTAGTCTGGTAGCTCCCACACACACAGCTGCGCAGCCAGCTCTCCCTTGCCTTCAAGGTTGGCAGCTTAACTCTGTCTCTCTCTGGGCGCCAGTGAGCCAAGCTGTGTCCTGGTTCCCCTCTGTCCATCTGCAAAGATGGACAGCTCTGGCTCTCTCTCTTTCTCTGGGTGCCAGCACCTGTACAGTGTCGGCAGGGCAATTATACCTTTTACAGACAATAGTGGCTTAATGCCAAGGGACGGCCTTCCCATGTTATGGCTCCGTGGATGCGATAACAAGTGGAGTTATACGCCTGCGCTCTAAACTCCCTGAGTCACGCAGGATGTAAACATCCCACCTTGGCCTATCCTTGACCAAAGCACAACCATGTTCCTTACACCAAGCAAGGGTTGAATCACTCACCTCTATGCTTAAAGAATAAATTCTGTTCTAACAGCCACAGAATTTTTCTTTTTCTCTACCGTCTAAATAAGCACTGGTCTCAGGATAAGCAATATTAAAACAATTTGCAGCTCACGCAGATAAGGCACAGACTAACTGCCCAGCCATAACTACACCTTTGATTGTACAAGACACTGATGTCAGTAACTTTCTCTAGATGAGACACCACCAATCCAATCATGAACTAGTCCTAGCCAGTTTACAGAGGGTGCACACTTGAGTGCTTTTGTGTCCCAAAAGGAACTTTTGACCTATAGGGGCTAATTGTAATACATTCAAATGTTATTTTCCACCCCAAATGAACATGGGTTGTATGTTACATGCATGTTTGTTCAATATGCATGTGTCAGGACCCCCTTCATAAATACTCACATCTCCTCTGATAATCTGTTGAATATGTACATTTGGTCAACATGTTCAACTTAAATTTCTGACTTACCCCTTCTTCCCCCAGAGGGCCTGTCTCTGGTCTTTGAAGGAGGCTCTTCCCAGCCTACAGGATGGCCACCCTGCAGCCTATAACCCCTTATAAGAAATAAAGTCTCCTCTGCAGGCGTGGGGGCTCACGCCTGTAATCCTAGCACTTAGGGAGGCCGAGACAGGAGGACTGCTTGAGGCCAAGAGTTCAAGACCAACCTAGCCAACATAGTAAGACCCTGTTGAGGCAGGAGAATGGGGTCTAGAAGCAGGGAACCTAAGGCCAACTCATGTTGACTTCCTAGAACTAAATCAAAAGGAAAACCCCAACTTTCCACAACAAAGTAACAAAAGGACCAGAGATAAACCCTCCATACTTTCCCATTTTCTACAACCAGACAGACTGATTGCAGGCTAAGTCTTTGTTTACATAGAAGTGTAACTTTGTAACTTCACTTTAGCCGCTGATTGGTTGCTTTCCACAACTAATCAGACGTTTGCATAGTGTGTAACCTTTGTAACTTCACTTTGTAGTTACAGTAGATTGCAAGCCACTACTTCATTTGCATGGGTGTACAGCAAGTGGCCAATGGGAAACCTCTAGAGGGCATTTAAACCCCAGAAAATTCTGAAACCAGGCTCTTAGTCCCTATGCTCGGGTCTGATCCCATCTTGTGGAGTGTACTTTCGTTTTCAATAAATCTCTGCTTTTGTTGCTTCGTTCTTTCCTTGCTGTGTTTGTGGGTTTTGCCCAGTTCTTTGTACAAGACGCCAAGAACCTGGACACCCTCCACCAGTAACACTGTCTCTATTTGAAAAAAAAAAAGTGAAACTCTGTGTCTACTAAAATACAAAAATTAGCCAGGCATGGTGGCGGGCGCCCATAATCCTAGCTACTCGGGAGGCTGAGGCACGAGGATCGCTTGAACCCGGGAGGCAGAGGTTGCAGTGGGCCGAGATCGAGCCACACTGCACTCCAGCCTGGGCGACAGAGCAAGACTTTGTCAAAAAAAAAAAAAAAAAGAAAAAAAAAAGGAAGGAAGAAAGGAAAGAAAGAAAGTCTCCTGGTCCAAATTTCTAGATTGTGTGATTTTCAAGTTAACAAGAGACAACCTGGTCTTCAAAGCCTGACTGCCTGCAAGAATATTGGGATGGGGGGAGGACGCTGCAGACACGGACGGTCACATGGCCGCTGATACTGACTCACTCAGGGCAGACAGATATGGCAGGGAAAAGCAAATATTCATCCTGGGAAATGCTGAGCTTCAGGTGCCCAGAGGACAACCAGGTGATACCAAGCAGTGGCTGGGGATGTAAAAGTAAGGCACGAGAAGGAAGAACACCACGCCTGGGTTTGGAGGTGCACTGGAATAAGCCTGTTCTGTAGCATCTTCGCGCCTAAATACTTTCCCTCTCCTCCACGTTCATCTAGTCTCCTTTGCCTAAAAAACCATTTCAAATGGAGCCATTAGGAGCCAGCTCCTGGACTCCCGCAAGCAAAGTAAATAGCTTTGGCACCCAGCATGACTGTGCTAATTGAGGTCGAGTGGAAAGGCTGGGCTGGGAAAAAGTCTGAACTCCTGGGTCAGAATGACCTGGATTCAAATTTCAACCCTGCCACCTACCAGCTGTGCTTCCCCGAGTCATTCACAACCTCCTGAGCCTCAGAATCCTCTTGAGTGAAACAGAGATAAAACTCGTCTCATAGGGTAATGAATTTCACAAACCAGTTCCTAACTGGAGGCACTCGGTGGTGGCAGCTGCGGCGTTTGCACTGTAATTGTTGATGGGCTCCCTTTCTCTCTCTCCCCCTCCTAGACTCAGCCCCACTGAGCAGCCCCGGCTTCCACAGGCCCCCATGAGTCACACTGGTGCCTGGCGCTGCAGAGCTGGAGGAGGCTGTGGGGAAGGGAGCTCAAGCTGGCCACCCCAGCAGGGCTCATGGAAATCCTGGGCATGACTCAGCTGTGACGATCTGAATTCATATTTGTGATTTGTCAGACACACAGGAACGACGACAGCATCAGCCTGCCACCTTCTGCCAGGAAGAAGATAACCAATGCTAGCAACTGTGAGTCACCACAGAGGTTTCGCTGCAGATCCACCTGGGGGGTGCACGGGGGTGAGGGGCTGTCCTAAGGTCCAGTAGACGTTCCCCGGGGGGACAGGAGTGAAAAGCAAGTTGGGAATGGGCTTGGATGTCGTGGAGAGGGGACATGGCCTCTGCAAGGATCTTCCCAGAAGGGTGCCCTCAAGGCACCACGACGTCACGGGCAGTAAGGACGTGCACCCTCGGAGCAAGCCTGTTTTCCTCCGGAGCAACTTCGGAGCTTTAGGGCATTCGCTGGAGGGCCTCATGAGGGACGGCTGCCCTGCAAGTTGCTGGGGACCAAAGGACGCAGGGCGCGAAGCTCAGCAAGCAAAGGTGACCAGCCCTACCGAGAGCCGGTAGCAAATACCCGAAAAGCTACTCTGGGCCCACGCCTGCGCGCTCGGAAGACGCCATGGCAACCGCAGCAGCACCGCCCCCCGAAGCCCGGGGCTGGCGCTTAGGGCGTGGCCAGGGAGCTCCCAGTCAATCGACGCCGCGGACGCACAGTCACGTGGTCGCTGCGGACGCGGACGGGGACGGTCACGTGGCCGACAAGCGGGCTGCGTTCTTTCGCCTTGGGCCCCTCGGAAGCGTCCGCAGCCCCCTGGAACCCTAGCGGTGGGGTCTTCCAGCTGGAGCGGCCTACGCCGGCGGCTCGCGGCCCCCGCCGCCGACAGCCTGCAAGCGTCCCGCTTGGTCCCGCCGCAGCCCCGAGATGGCGCTGCGTTCAGAGGCATGCGTGGGGGCTTCCGAGCCTGCGATTTCCTGGCTTTTGAGCATCTTTGTCTCCACTCTCCACGTCGTCCTCTCAGGAAAACTTGAGGCCCGAGAGAACGTTCCAGCAGGAAATCTGCGGAAATCGGATGGGAGCAGTGCATGCCAGGAACTCGCCAGCTGCTCCCAGATACATGTCTGCTTCCTGCAACTACCCTGCGGGGCGGGCTACCTGGTCCCTGCCTTAGAGATGAGGAAACAGGCTCAGATGGCATTGAAAACCTTCCCCGAGACTGCACAAAGCCAGGCTTTTCCCACCAGGACACCCTACTCGCTGCTTCTGAGTGACCATCCTCGTGCCACACTTCAGGTGTGAGGGGAAGGGCTCAGCTAAGCTCAGTGCACTGGGCCCTGTCCCGGAGGAGCCAGCTGCCGAACCCAACCTCGTGTCTTCAGGACAAGACAGCGTGTCACCAGTGCCAGCCAGAGTCCCCGGCCTTGGCACTGCGCTGGGCTCAGAGGAAGGAGGAGACCTACCAGGGACTTCAGCTGTAATGAGGCTACTCTGGCTGCGATGGGGCCACTTAAGCACAGAGCCGGCCAGGCGTGAAAAATGGTCTCCCTCACATACACTTAACCGAGCCAGCTAAGGAGATACCAAAACTGTCCCAACTTTTTTCATGTCAAATGAATGAGGTTTGTTTCAGTCCCAACAGCAAAATAGAAATGCTGTCTTAGTAGAATCAAACTAATAGCCACTAATGGTAAATCCAGCCCTTTCTACCATTTAAACTCTCCCTGGAAATGCCTGAAATTCCATTTTAGCAGTTCTCGGATTCGGAATCATCTTCTTTGTATTCATTGATAGATGAAATGCACATAACCTCTAAATTTCCAGTGGGAGAGGAGGTCAGACAAAGCACTGGGCCCTAGGGAGAGGGAAGTGGAGATGCAAAAAAGGGAAGAAGGGCCCCCCTCCTTTTGGAGAGACTCTAAGAGGGGCCACTGGATCCACTCGGTGCATGTCACTGAGGAAGCTCTAAACCCTGGTTTGTCCAGTTCAGCACTCCCCAAGCCTTAGAAGGTTGTTTGTCAGCCCCTTGTGGGGTTCTGTTCCAAAGACTGCATGAACCCACTGAATGCCTAGAGCCACATGTGGCCATATTCACAGGGATATGAGCAAGGAACTCCAACATGTTCTTCTGGCCACGCTTCCCTCTGAGCAGCCGTGTCATCAAGAGAGTAAGAGTTCAAAACTAGGCTCTACTCTCCCAGGATTCACCAGAACCACTTCTGTTTCCCTTTCCAGGAAGCAAAGCAAAACCACACTCAGAAAATAACGAGAAAGAGCCATAAGTCAAAGGAAAACAAGTCAATAAATCCACTATCTATGGCTCCAAGGAGTAGAGGAAGCACCCAAAGTGATATTATTGTGAAACATTATTATTAATATGGGAAAGCCGCTTCTATGTGGACCTGCTCCTGACTCGTATCTCTTCATCTACACAGACTCTTGCTGATTTCAAAGGAAAGCCCCAGGGTGGGAGCGTGGATACTGCAGGAGGGTGCTGGTCTTAATCATCTGAGAATGAGATCTTACCTTCCTGCCTTACCCTTCTAGAAAAAAGGGCAGATTCAGAAATCAAGAGCCCCTCCGTTAAGTTTTGAGAAATGTTATCATGAAAATGAAGCATATCGGCCAAAGGAAATTAAATCCATCTTGGCTCCCCACTACCAGTACTGCCAAATGCTTGTTCAGGGAGTAACAGTACATAGATATCTGATTAGAATCAATCTGATGTGATCCAGGGAAGGCGGAGTAAATCACTCCCTACAGTAAGTGACCTTGTTGATCCCCTACTAAAGACGTGGAAGAAAGAGCCGGCAGGCGTCTGAGGAATTGTGGCCATCATTTCCAGCTACATGGAGGGCCTATACACCAGAACTCCCGGAGGGCCTTTTACATTTTGGTGTGGGCCATTGTTCCCTTTCCCTCTTGCCCTCAGCCCCAGGGGTATGACACATTGTAGGGCTCACTGTCCATGAGTCTGAACATCAGCACCAACAGCGGGAGCAGCAGGGGAGAGAGGGCCTTCATGCAAGGAGAGCACGCCACCACCTCATGCCCCAGCTTCTACACCTGTTACCCACTGTTCCATCTTTAGGAGGCTGACTCCACCTGGTATTTCTACCAGATCTAAATGATCACATCAGGGATCCAGGCACAAGTTGTCAGGACACAGGAAGTAACCACACAATATTTGTGCAGCCCTTTGCAGTCTACAAAGCACTTTGATATGATTTTCTGTAAGAATATCATTATATTCCCTAGGTTAAAGATTAGGGCCCTTGAGGCACAGTGTTATTGGCTGAAATATGTTCTCCAAAAATTCGTATGTTTAAGTCCTAACCCCCAGTACCTGATAATGTGACTATATTTGCATAAAGCGTCTTTAAAAAGATAAATGAAGCTGGCTGTGGTGGTGCGCACCTGTAGGCCCAGCTACTCAGGAGGCTGAGGCAGGAGGATCACTTGAGCCCAGTAGTTCAAGGCTGCAATGAGCTGTGATCATGGCGCTGCACTCCAGCCTGGGTGACAGGGCAAGACTCTGACTCTTAACAAATAAGAGTGAAATAAATGAGGTTAAATTAGGTCATAAAGGTGGGTCCTAATCCAATATGACTAGTGTCGTAAGAAGAGATTAGGACACAGACACACGCAGGGAAGACCATGTGAGGAGCCAGGGAAAAAATAGCCATCTACAAACGAAGGAGATAGTCCTTGGGAAAAACCAACCCTGCTGACACCTTGATCTCAGACTTCTAGCCTCCAGAACTGTGAGAAAATTAATTTCTGTTGTTTCCCAGGCTGTTGTATGTTACAGCAGCCCTAGGAAACTTAATACACACAGGGTCGTCAAACGAAAGCTGCAGGATTATGCCCCAATTAACTGATTGCAGGAACAGTGCTCTTTTCCCTCCAGGCAGCATGTACCTTGGCATGAACTAGAAAAGGCTCCCATTGCTAGAGATAAATTCTACTATTTGTTAGGAAACTGACCTAGGATGACCCCTATGAGAATGGTGCCCCTAGAGTTGCTCAGTGCCTGGCACGCACTACTGTACCTGGTGACCTAGAGTGGAAAGCACATTTGGACACCCTCCACGGCAGCGTAACACAGGCCATTGATGAGGCTGAGGCTCCCCAAGCACTAGACAGCAGTAAGCTCTGTGAACATGGGCTGAGATGAGCCAGTGAAGCCTCATAATGTCCAAGCAGCACCTGCACCAGGAAGGCTCAAAGCGGCTTTTGACATCTTCAGTGGTACTCGTAAGGTATCATCACAGAGGGGCTGTGTGGCCTGCAGGCAACCCTTGCTGTCTTCTCACTGTTTTAATAGTGTAAGAACTTTGAAATCTACATGTAATGTAATGCATTAGGTCTCCTTTTTGCCTAAATAATGTGAGATTTGGATTTAATGTTGATTTTGGTCAACTGGTTCAAATATTACATATCATATTGTAATTAGATTGCCTAAAAGTATTTGTTCTCAAAAGAATGATTTTTAAAACAAGAGCAACAAGCCAAGGGGGTGACAGGGAGTGGTTACAGTTTGGCCATCATCCTAACATCAGCCTTTTGGTTACACAAAAATCTGTCCCAAAGACCTTATATTTTTTGAAGTGGTTAAAAAAATAAAGGACTTTCAGGAAATGCAACTGTTTCTGGATGCATCCTTTGAAGAAAAAATACTATTCTTCATTTTAAAAGCTATTTTTCTAATACTAAGCAAAGAAAAAAGATAAGGTCATATAAAATGAAAATAATGGGAGGGGTGGAGATAACAAGAGAGAAAAGTTGTCTTAAAGCCTCATGACAAAGTTGTATACGGTATGTGGGTAGACAGTGAAAAGCAAGCGGGATGGAGTTGAAAATAATGTTTTATTCAGCTAGCACCAGTCTCTCTCTGAGAAAACAGATTTTTGTTTGAGAAAAAGACTATAATGCCAGGCCGGGCACAGTGGCTCACACCTGTAATCCCAGCACTTTGGGAGGCCAAGGCAGGCAGATCACTTAAGGTCAGGAGTTTGAGACCAGCCTGGCCAACATAGTGAAATCCCATCTCCACTAAAAAAAATACAAAAATTAGATGGGCATAGTGGTGCATCCCTGTAATCCCAGCTACTGGTGAGGCTGAGGCAGGAGAATCGCTTGAACCCGGGAGGTGGAGGCTGCAGTGAGCCAAGATTGCGCCACAGCACTCCAGCCTGGGCAACAGAGTGGGAGACTCCATCTTGGGGAAAAAAAAAAAAAAAAAAAGACTGTTCTGCTGTAGGGTGGATTGATAATTTCCACAGTTGCCCACTGTAACATTTCTGGTCTCACATGTTCTAGAATGTTACCATTACCCCTGCTTTAAGAGATAGTGTCTGTTTCCCCATCCCTTTGAACGTACCAGGGCCTCTGTGAATAGAATTGGAAGAAGAGTATAGCCAGAGTGACATTGTGTGACTGCCAAGGCTGGGTCAAAAAGGTGAGAGGACTCTACTCAGTATTCTCGTGTTTGTGTTCTCTCTCTCTGTCTCTATCTCTCAATGGTTGAAACCCACCCAACCACTATGCTGTGAGGTGCCCAGAGGACAAAGTTGGAGGACTCCAGAGGGAGGGTTCCAGGAGAAGGACAGGAACATGATAAGAGCAAACTGCAGGACAGAGATAAAGACAGCCAGAAAATTGAAGAAGCGTCTCCACTGTAGGAGAAAATCCCCTCCAAGAAAGGACATGAAATGATAGTACATGAGCTGGCTCTGCTGGGAAGGATGGTTGCAGGGTCTTAATAACATTGTGAGAAGATGGGAGAGGAAGTGAGGTAAAGATACAAGAGTGAAATCCTTCTCGTAATAGGAAATCGGCAGGTGATGCGTGAAGGATGGGTTTATCAGGAAATAATGGCATTCGCTCACACGGAGGTGGTTGGCCGAATAATTGGTCCCAAACCTAATCCCTGGAACCCATGACTTTTACCTTCTGTGATAAAAGGGACTTTGCAGATGTGATTAAGTTAAGGACTTTGAGATGAGGAGATGGTCCTGGATTATCTGGGTGGGCCTAATATACTCACAGGGTCCTTAAAAGATTGAAGAGGAAGGCGTCATCTTCCGGGAGGTAAGGAACGGATGGAGGCACCACTTCTCACCATACCGTGCCCTTCAGTTCTACACAGTTCTTCAACTACATGCATCTCTTACTTTGATAAAATGTTTAAAAAATGCATCAGGGGATCTTTCACATACTGTGACCCTAAAGAGAGGAATGTGTGAAAAAACTGATCATGGTACCTATGGAGATGGAGCCTGAATAATTAAACAACAGGGATTTGTGAGCACCTAATGTGTACTCTACTGTGTACTAGGTATTATGCATGGGGTACACTGTGGGTAGTATCTGGTAGAATCTTTGGTTTTTTGGTTTTTTGAGATGGAGTCTTGCTGTGTCACCAGCCTGGAGTGCAGTGGCACGATCTCAGCTCACTGCAACCTCTGCTTCCCGGGTTCAAGCGACCCTCCTGTCTCAGCCTCCCAAGTAGCTGGGACGACAGGGCATGCACCACCACACCCAGCTAATTTTTTGTATTTTTAGTAGAGACAGGGTTTCACCATGTTGGCCAGGATGGTCTCGATCTCTTGATCTCGTGATCCGCCTGCCTCGGCCTCCTGAGTTGCTGGGATTACAGGCATGAGCCACCACGCCTGACCAGTATCTGGTAGTATCTTACTATCTTACCAGATTCTACCTAATCTAAGAGCCCTGGACCTTGGACTCTGGGGTCTGTTGATCCCATGAACAGTCATACCTCCCACTTGGTGAGACCCAGAGCTTCAGTAGCAGAGCCCTGGACTGCAATAGGCCTGGAGCCCATAGGAACTGGGAATCAGGAAACATCAGGATGGGTTGGTGTCATCAGAAGAAACTGTTTCTTGGAGGGCTGGGCCTGAGCTGGCCTTGAAGACTTGGAGGCCCTTGGATGAGTGGAAGTCAGGGAGGGTAGAGCCTCATGAGAACCGTGGTGTCTGGACACTGTGGAGACCGGCTGGGGACTCCCCAAGGATGGGATCTGCTCGGCACAGGGAGGAAGCCACAAACCGAAACTTGCTGTGCTTAGCTGAGGTTGCTGGGCACTCAGGCGTTGCTCAGACTCATTCAGAGCCAGAATTTAGACTTCATGCTCTGTGAGCAGGTCTCAGGGAGAGGGTTGAGAAGGAGCTCCCAGTCACTTCAAATCTTCCTCTGAGATAGCTTGTCTATCATCGATTCAATCAACAAAGGCTCTTTGAGCTCCTCCCATGTGTGAGCAGAACATCCCGGAAGCCTCCCCTAGGGTTCATGTTCCAGGAAGGGGACTGGGAATAAATCCAGGCGTTTATGCCAGAGGGGATGGTGGGTGCTTTGAGGAAAAGTAAAGCAGGTGAGGGAAGAGAGTGCCCTGCTTTGATGGGTGGTATGGTTTGGCTGTGTCCCCACCCAAATCTCTTTTTTTCTTTCTTTCTTCTTTTTTTTCTTTTCTTTTCTTTTCTTTTTTTTTTTTTTTTTTTTTTTTTTTTTTTTTTTTGAGAGGGAGTCTTGCTCTGTCTCCCAGGCTGGAGTGCAGTGGCGTGATCTCGGCTCACTGCAACCTCCACCTACTGGGTTGAAGTGATCTCCTGCTTCAGCCTCCCGAGTAGCTGGGACTACAGGCGCCTGCCACCATGCCAGACTAATTTTTATATTTTATGCCAGACTAATTTATATACTAATGGGATTTAGTACAGATGGGGTTTCACCATGTTGGCCAGGCTGGTCTCAAACTTCTGACCTCAAGTGATCTGCCCTCCTCAGCCTCCCAAAGTGCTGGGATTACACGAGTGAGCCACCGTGCCTGTCCCCACATCTCACCTTGAATTGTAGTCCCTATAATCCCCATGTGTCATGGGAGGGACCAGGTGGAGATAATTGAATCATGGGGGGCAGTTTCCCCCATCCTGTTCTCGCGATAGTGCGTTTCTCATGAGATCTGATGGTTTTATAAGGAGCTTCTCCCCCTTTTGCTCTGTGCTTCTCCTTGCTGCTGCCATGTGAAGAAGGATGCATATGCTTCTCCTTCCACCATGATTGCAAGTTTCCTGAGGCCTCCTCAGCCCTGTGGAACTGTGAGTCAATCAAATCTCTTTCCATTGTAAATTACCCAGTCTCAGGTATGTCCTTATAGCAGTGTGAGAATGAACTAATACAATGGGAGAATCAACAAACAACCAAGAGAACAACATTTGAACAAGAGGGAGTGGCTGCCGGGTGTGCCTTTCCTCTTCTTACCTGTGGTGCCATTGTTGGTCCATCTCCACAGAACCATCTGAGGCTCCGCAGTTTATCCATCCCCAACTGTAATAACACTAATAACAGCCCCTCTACCACGAGCAACCACGGCAGATGTTTGCTCCCATTTGTAAAAGTTCTGGCTCAGCTGCCTCGCTCTGCTTGCTACAGGCATTTATCAGCTGTTCACTAAGCTGGATGGGGCAGTCTGCAAAGATAGATGTGGACACGTGGTGACCTCCTTACAGATCAGCTGCCGAGACACACATATCAGAGTTCTGAGAACACGCACGTTCAAGAGCGTGCGGAACGCACTGTACTCCGCAAATCCTTCCTGGGGCCTCACCTCGCTATATAAGGCTCTTCAGCTTCACACACATATAGACACACAGAGTCATCAGCACGGGTTTGGTATTGCTATCTTTGGAAACAACCCACATCTTTGAGTCCCATCCAGAGCCATGTCCACCTGTGGTTATCTTTTGGCAGCATGTTAGCCTTTTAAAGGCACCCACATTGTTCACGCCACTCAAGCTGAAGGAATTCAGGCATGTCGCCTTGGAGCTGGGAAAATGATACTCCCCATTTAGGGACTGTGGAGATAAGAGGGAGTTCAGAGTTCAGCTCAACTTGCTGAGATTTTGCAGCAGTGGCTCTTAAACTTTGGTGTGCTGAAAAATTAAGTAGTTGTGTGCTGAAAATGAAGATCTGGAGGTCCAGCCACTCAGATATTTAGACTCATGCAGTCAGTCTGAAGAGGAAGCTGGAATTCTGCAATTGACAGGCCCCTGGGGGCTTCAGGTGCTGACGGGCCACAAAGCACACTTTGAGAAACTGTTTGACTGTTGTACAGCCACAAACCAGTGTTGAAGGCAAGTTTTTGGAGATGCCACCTCCTTGGTAGCAAGTAATCAGCTGTGAAGAACACAGAACAGCTTCCTCTTAAAACAAAAGTGCAAGACCCTCCAAAGGTTAAGCAGGGAAGAGGGCTAGGAGATGCTGCGGAATGGGAGCAGGGGCTCCAGTCATCTTCAGGGCTCTCAGCATTTAACCTCCAAGCTTCACCTTCCCCTTGGAGTTCTGCTTGTTGTTGCTGTTGTTGTTGTTTTTAACTCTGATTTCTACCATGCCCATCAAAATTCCAATCGCCTTATCCCGAGTATAACTAAAATTAGCTGACATTTGCAAAAAAAAGTAATAAAGCAAAAGATGGAGAAAACTAAGGGGAATCATGATTGAAACTATAAATAGCAACAATATCCAAGTCTCCAAAATGTAGGTTTCTACTGCTAAGATGCCCGCTCACCAGCAGTGAGTGGGTGTCCCTCCGTTCACCTCCACCTCCAGGGTCCTTGACTCCTAGACTTCTGCTGGCATACTTCCCCCTGCACCTACCGGCCCAACACAACCGTTGCCTTCTCTGAGAACCAAAGCAGAAAACAGAAAATACGGTTTCCTATCCCACGCGGCTAGGATGACTCCACCAGCTCTGGTCCTGAGGCGCTCCCATCTCTCTGGCTCCAAGCTCTGCCTCTGGCCTCTGAGGCATTCACACACATCCCTTTCAGTACACACTTCGTGTGGCACTTCATGGGCACGCAGGATACACAAGCCATAATAACCCATGCACAGAACAGCTTGTGTGAGTGTAGCCTGCGGAGCGTCTGTGGCATACTGTGAGATGTACTATACCAAATGTGGCAAACACTTGTGACCAGCCCCTTGGGTGTATGTCCAGTTAGAAATGTAAAGCAATTCTGGGCAACATAGCAAGAGCCCATCTCTATAACAAACAAAATAAAAAGTTAGCTGGGGCCGGGCGTGGTGTCTCATGCCTGTAATCCCAGCACTTTGGGAGGCTGAGGCAGGCGGATCATGAGATCGGGAGATCAAGACCATCCTGGCTAACACGGTGAAACCCCGTCTCTACTAAAAATGCAAAAAATTAGCCAGGCGTGGTGGCGGGCGCCTGTAATCCCAGCTACTCAGGAGGCTGAGGCAGGAGAAAGGCGTGAACCCGGGAGGCGGAGCTTGCAGTGAGCCAAGATCGCGCCACTGCACTCCAGCCTGGGCAACACAGCAAGACTCCGTCTCAAAAAAAAAAAAAAGTTAGCTGGGCACGGTGGTGCATACCTGTGGTCCCAGCTATTTGGCAGAGGTGGAAGGATCGCTTGAGGCCAGGAGTTCGGGGCTGCAGTGAGCTATGATCTGCTACTGTACTTCAGCCTAGGAGACAGCAAGATCCTGTCTCTAAAATTTAAAAAAGAAAAAAGTTTTTTTTTTAAAGTGGCCAGACACAGTGGTGGCTCATGCCTGTAATTCCAGCACTTTGGGAGGCCAAGGTGGGAAGATCTCTTCAGCTCAGAAGTTCAAGAGCAGCCTGGGCAACACAGTGAGACCCTCTTCTCCATAAAAAATCAAAAAATTAGCTGTGAGTGATGGCACATACCTATAGTCCCAGTCTTTGGGGAGGCTAAAGAGGGAGGATCCCTTGAGCCCAGGAGTTGGAGGCTTCAGTGAGCTATGATCACGCCACTGTACTCCAGCCTGGGAGTGCAGACACTGTCTCCAAAATGAAAAATGGAAAGCACTGCAACCAAAAAGTTTGTCTGACTCTCCTCCTTACACTCCTTCAGCGGCCCCGCTTTCAACGCACACCTTCCTGAATTCTTATCTACATGAATAGTTCTTAACCTGTAGGAAAAGACCACAGGCAAAATGACTGCATTTTAATAACAAAATAAAGAGAGTCCTGATAGGACAAAGCATTGGCTTGGATTTGTGAATTAATTTATGTGTAACATCGGACACCTCCATGACAGCAAATCACTTTTCCACGTGGAACCGATCACATTTACTGAAAAGAATCCGGTCCCATGGAATGAGACCGCCCTGGAAAATCTGGGCCGTGTGGTTGCCGTAGTAATTGATGCCTTCTAGAACAAATCCGTGCTTGGCTAATTACAGCCTTCTATTTTTAAACTCATCTCCATTCTTCTCCCCCAACCCAACATTTCTCACACAACTTTAGCAGTGAAATACTATTACTGTTATCTGTACAGGCTGTGCTGATCTCAAAATAACTCCTTTCCAGTCGGCCTTGGCCTGCCATGGGAGGAGTGAGGCGCTGGTTCCCCATGCACACGCAAGGCCAAATAAAGACCTCTGAGCCAACCCCAGGCTCTTTACACCACGGGAATCAAAACACCACCACGGGCTTCCAGGGCTCCCTCCCACTTGTGAGCTTCTGGGGTTGAGGCTGAGACCTGCTCAGTGGTTTGCAGCCCAGGCCCAGGCCGCCTCGAGGGGGGTCTGGGTGACACAGAGATGAAGGCAGACGGCACGGAGGCCTCCCTGGACCATGTCAGGAGATCCTTCAGGCCATGTCTCTAAGACTGAACACCTGCAGCCCACAAAAAGGCTTCCATCAGCCTTGCCCTCTCCAAAACTGACTCAAAGCCTGGGGTCCTGCGAACTGCACCTCAAGGCCTGTACTTCCCGCAGCAGGGGTGTGGGGGCTGCAGAGATAGATGAAGCCCACCCAGATGAGGACAAGCCTGCTGCAGCCAGGATGTCAGCCACTGCCGCTGACCAGAGCTGTCGTGACAAAGTACTGCAGACTTGGTGGCCTGCACAAACGTGCCGGAGGCTGGAAGTTCAAGATTAAGGTCTGCCAGCTGCCACTGATGGCACTGGGAAGCATCTCCCCCCGGCCTGTCCCCGGCTCTGCTGCATGCTGGCAGTCTTTGTCCCCCTTGACTTATAGAAGCATCAGCCCTGCTCTGCCTTCATCCTCTTATGGTGTTTTCCCTGTGTGTGTCCCTGGGTCCAAATTTCCCATTTTTATAAGGACACTAGTTATATGGGACCTCATCTTAACTAACTACATCTGCAACCACGCTATTTCCAAGTAAGGTCACATTCTGTGTCACAGGGGGTTAGTTAGGACTTCAACATATGAATTTCTGGGGGACACAGTGCTACCCATTACAGTTGCCTGTGGCAGAGACTCAAAGCCAAGTCAGGTGTGGACAGGCGGAGTGACCAAGGGGAGGCCACAGTTGGCTGTCCTGCAGGGAAGCTGGCCGCAGCAGGGCATCCTCTGGGAAGGGTTACAGTGAGTCATTGCCTTTTACTAGGTGCTCCTGAGTTGGAAGCACTGGCAAAACTTCAGAAGCTGGCCATCGATGACCAAGTCCTGGCCATTTGGGGCCAACAGCTGCAGAGCTCGCGGACTGGCTACCCAGCAGGTCACTGCAGAGGTTGTGGTCAGAGTTTATTTTTATGCAGCCTGTCTCACCATTGTCCATTTGTATGTTCAGCCTCTCAGTGCAAATGCCCACTTGGTGGGCCTCAGGGTGCTGCTGGGGCTGGCAGCCTGAAGGCACCAGGCCTTGTGAGGGTAGGGGGTGGTCCCAGGCAGGCGGCCTGCAAGGCCCAGCACTGGGAAGGCGCGGCACCGAGAGCCAAAGCGGCAGCGCAAGCCCCTCAGGCCTTCGCCCAGAGCAGAGCCTGCACACCGCCCAGGGGGCCCTCCTGCAATCTTTTTATTTGCACAAGGCTTCACGTGGGATGTGTAGCAGGAAACTGCAGAAACACTGCCGGCTGCTCCCGAACAGTCCTCGGGCTTCTTGGTCTTAAGAGTCCTGGAAAGACTCCAGCGAGCTTTTGTGAATGTGGGGCACAGCAATCACTCTTTACCATGTTACAACAGAGACATTTTTAAAATATAAAAGCCATTACAGGTTCATATGAATAACATTTTTATGAAATGTAAATATATTTTCTGAAAGAAAAAAATGTGCAAGAATGGCATTGTTTTAAATGTTTGCAAACTCGTGTCTGGCTGAACAGGAGCCAGCTGGATCCCAGGTCTGCGTCTGCCTTCAATCTGTTTCCCCCTCGCATGTCATGGGGCCACTGGAAATCTCCACGTTACATGCAAGAGAGTGAAAACAGCTAATACCGCGTTAGGATTACTATGAAAAATCGTTTTGACCTTGCATGACTCCCGGAAGAGTCTCAGGGACCCCCCCACAGGGACCCCCGGACCACAGCAGGGACACATGCTTGCGTATTTATGCAGGGGTCAGATCCAAGCAGCAGACAGCAGGGGACTGGCCTGCGGGGACGGACAAGGGTGGCCCATCCCATCTCCGGAGGGTGTGCGTGCTGTGGGAGGGGGGCGATGAGGAGCCATCCTGCCTCAAGCCTGAGCAAAGAGATAAGTTTTAGACTTTGTCCAAGCCAAGGACTTTCAACGTCTTAACCTCCTGCCTTAAAAACCACGTCGTTAGTTCCATTTTTCCTCCACCAGTTCCAAAATGATATGCAGCTGGGAATATGGCTATCCGATTCCTGCTTTAACTAATGGTTTTGGGGGAGCATTAGTGCACCCCCAGAACACACAGAGCATGGGGTCTGCTTTAGATGCCCCCACCCCCCCAACACACAGGGCAGTGAGCAGAAGGCAGCCACAGGCTCATCGTTTGGAGCTTCTTTCTTCCCCAGCTTTCTCCCCCAGCTTTCTCCCCTCTCAGTCCTCCCACCTTCTCTGCTTTTTCTCCAGCTGCTCTGGGCTTCTTCTCCCCTTTCCCTCCCTCCTCTGACTCTGGCCTACCTGAATTATGGTTTGTCATAAAACTTAAAATGAAAGAAGTAGCTTACTACCTACTAGAATAGATGAAGACTACTAATGCCCTTCTTTAAAAGGGTTAATTTTATGTTATGTGAATTTCATCTCATTTTTAAAAAAACAAATGCCTTTACTTTAGATCTACTTTAATTTTCAAATTTCTTAATCCTATATGAAAGGGTTTATTTTAGCCATTGTTTCAGCAAGGAAGAGCCATCTGGAACTTCTGATTCCATAAAATGTGATGTATGACGGAAGTGTCGATTTTTAAAGAGACGTTGGTAAATTATGTAACATTTCCAGAGGTTATGTTTCAAATTATTTTAAAGTATAAAGAACAACAAACTAAGTGCAGACATGACCGTAGAGAATGAGAGATGCCAAACTCAGTTCTCCAGCTGCGGGCTTGTGTCTGCAGAAGCTGCTTGATGGAACTGTCGCTATAAAAAAATACATGTCCGGCCGGGTGGGGTGGCTCACACTTATAATCCCAGCATTTTGGGAGGCCAAGGCAGGCGGATCACTTGAGGTCAGGGGTTTGAGACCAGCCTGGCCAACATGGCAAAACCCCATCTCTACCAAAAATACAAAAATTAGCTGGGAGTGGTGGCACACGTCTCTAATCCCAGATACTCAGGAGGCTGGGGCAGGAGAATCGCTTGAACCCGGGAGGCAGACATTGCAGTGAGCTGAGATGGTGCCATCGCACTCCAGCCTGGGCAATGAAACAAGGCACTGTTCACAATAGCAAAGACTTGGAACCAATCCAAATGCCTATCAATGATAGACTGGATAAAGAAAATGTGGCACAAATAAACCATGGAATACTATGCAGCCATAAAAAAGGATGAGTTCATGTCCTTTGCAGGGACATGGATGAAGCTGGAAACCATCATTCTCAGCAAACTAACACAAGAACAAAAAACCAAACACCACATGTTCTAACTCATGAGTGGGAGTTGAACAATGAGAACACATGGACACAGGAAGGGAAGCATCACACACTGGGGCCTGTTAGGGGGGCGGGGGGCTAGGGGAGGGAGAGCATTAGGAGAAATCCCTAATGTAGATGACGGGTTGATGGGTGCAGCAAACTACCATGGCACGTGTATACCTATGTAACAAACCTGCACATTCTGCACATGTATCCCAGAACTTAAAGTATAATAAAACACAACAAAACAAAACAAAAAATAGATGTCCAAGCCAAGCAGTGCATCTGTCTCTATCTCAAAAGGCACAAAGAAAATGAGATAAAGAATTGGTGGGGAAAGTAAACACATGCAAAGATGAAATGAAATCAGAAGTATCGTTGCAGTTGTTAGCTAGTCAGACATGAGCGGGGCAGGAGAGGGTCCCCCCCACCAGGAATGTCAGGTGACCACTAGGTGATGGTCAGGCGGCTGGTAACTGTCTCTCTCAAATAACCATTGGTCACAGCCAGGGCCGGGAAAGGCAGTCTTTCAGTAGATAGAAAAAAAACTGAAACTGGTGATCAGGAGTTGGTGAGTGGGCTCAGGCATGTGCACTAAGAGGCAAAATAGCAGAGTTTAACTGGTAGGTGACCTTCTAGGAACACCCAACTAGTAAGGGAAGAATGCCTCAAGTGAGCATGCGTGCAACTCCAGTAAACACACTGCACACGCGGCCCCTCCCAAGTGCTGGCAGGCCACTGTGCATGCGGACAGCCCACCCCAAGGGAAGAATCGGGGAGAAGAGATACAAGACCCCAGAAGCATGCCAGCATATAAAACCCCCAGTCAATGGTTAAACAGGGCAGATGATCTCACAAGTTGCCCGCTTGGCCCTCTTCCAAGTGTACTTTCCTTCCTTTCATTCCACTCTAAACTTAATAAACTTTCACTCCTGCTCTAAAACTTGCCTTGGTCTCTCCCTCTGTCTTATGACCCTCAGTAGAACTCTGTCTTCTGAGGAAGCCAGAATTGAGGTTGCTGCAGACCCTGGTACCAGCTGCTGCTGGTAACTGTATTGGTCAATTCTTGCTGCAATAATGCTGCATGACAGACAGTCCCAACACCCAGTATCTCATGACAGTTTTATCACCGTGTTGCAGGTCAACTGTGCTGGGCTGATCTAGGCAGCATTTTGGGTTCTGGTCTCTTCTCTAAGTTCTTTTCAGGATAAAAGGCAGACACACAAGAGGCAAGGAAAACCACACTAGTACATCTAAGGCCTCTGCTTGCGTGCCATTTGCTACCATTGCATGGGCCTAAGCCAGCCCACCTGTTCAGGCCCAACATCAGTGGGCATATTCTCTCCACAGTAAGAGGGTGGATTGTTTTTGAATAATCAGCAGGAAGAAGAAAGCCACCGAGATGGAAATTGTGGAGCTGTATCTTGCAGAATCCTTGAAAAGCATGTTGCTTTGATTCAAAGTCTGATGTGGGGAAAAGAGACACCACAGGGGAAGATTTTCATACGATTCTCCTAAAATAATAGTATCTTGCAAAAATGAAATCTATTTCTGACTCCTCATTTTGAAACACATAAATTATATCAAACAGAAAGAATGTATGCTTTGTAAGAAAAACTCTAAATCAAGCCATACCACCTAAGGACAGAGTGAGCAGAGACCATCTCTACTCATTCATTTGCTTGTCCTTCACACTCAGAGTTTTATTAGGTGACACCCACAGGCCAGATACTGTGCTGGGGCTTGGGGAATTCAAGGATGAAAAAGACAGCCTGCCAAAAGCACTCATAGTCCATTTGGGGAGGAATAAGAAAAAAATAAATGCTCATAAATAACTAGAACTTGAGATACAAAGTGATAAATATCATTTTTTAACATATAGAAAGAATGCTCTGGGGGTTTCAGAGGGAAGTATTACTTCCAGATGCTGAGTAATGATAAGATTGTGGTTGTCAGATTGCAAGGAATTCACACAACTTTCAAACCAGAGAGGACAATTTGTCCAAACTCTTTCTTTTACAGAGGAGGAAACAGGTCCAGAGAGATCAGGGGAAGTTCCTAAAATCATTTTCCCATGGCAATTGTACCTTGATATGGTCCCATGGCAGCCCACGGCAAAAGGGCCAGGAATCAAACTGCATCTTCTACTTTTACGTTCTAGGCCTCTTTTCACACTGCTTTCTCTAGTGCCATTTCTACAATCTCATAAACCGCCTTCCTGGCAACATTTCAATTCTATGTGATGAAAAATGACTCGGCTAAAGAGGAAGGCATTTACAAGGTGTGGGGAGGGGGCGTGTCAAGTGAGAATGTGGTTAAATAAATACCAAGTCCCTCCGAAAACAACAAACGGAATATCAGTCAGAAATATATGACCTGTGTGTCTTTTCTTCGCTTTTTTCTGCCGTGTATATTAATCCAGACTCCCTGTTCTTTGACCAGAATACCCAGAAACGTGCCGATCTCTTTTGGCGCCAGGAGTGGAGACGTTTTCAATGATCCGGCGTGTCTCTTGTTCTAAGGGCCCTTTAAGGATGTGAGTTATGTGGCCTTTCCTCCTGCCGTGATGACTATAAATTATGCTCATAGCTTGGCAAAGAACTCTTAACTGCCTGGCCCATTAATCAGGCTAAGCTGTAAATTTCTTGCCTCATTGCCCTGTGGAGAATCCTTCTGGAAGATTTTCACGCTGGAGTAGTTCAGGAAGCTCCCGCAAGATCAATGGCCTTGTCAGGTCCTCATCCCCCGTGCACTCGGGCAGCACGGCAGGGGCAGCCCCGGGATGCATGTCCCGGCCATGTAGACACGGCCTTACCGCCTGTGAAGCTCACAGACACCTGTTTTGAGCCTCAGCCCTCCCACTTTGTGGCTATGTGATCGAGGACAAGCCACTTGACCAATCTGGGGTCCTATCTATAAAACGGGAATGGTCCGACTTACCTCCCTGGACTGTTCTGATGGTTAATGAGATCGTGTGAACTAGAAGGTGATATTAAAAGATAGTAGGTAATAACAATAGTGCATCCTGGAACCAAAGCACGTGCCTGCCCCAAAGTCCCCCGTTCTTTGCTGTAACTCCACCGGAGGAGACCCACTCCCTTCCTGTCCATTCCCACAACGCCCCTCCTTTGTAATCCAAAGTGCAGCCGGACCCCGGAACCTCAGCCTCATAATGTCTGAAGACACGGTGAGCCTGAAATTGGCTGTGAACCAAACCTATTTCATTCTCCTTCTTTCTCTCTGAAATGCAAACCAGGCAGGACACGCCACACAGGACCATGAAAACTGCAAACCCCCGCTGGAGAGGCAGCGTCCTAGTGTCCCGGGGCGCCTCCTGCAGGAGCTCCCAGGCGCGGTTTTGCCTTTTCCACACTTTTTCTCCCAGATCTTCGGCAACAGCCCATGGTTTCTCCCTTAGACGCACCTCACAGTGAGTCTTCAGTGGCTGCCGTATCTTTGCTCAGTTCGATTGTGAAAATAATAATACTGTGATCTCAATCCAGGTGTATAGAGTGTGAGTATGAATTTAGACTCCGAATCTGAGTTCTGGCCACAGCACCTGATGGGTACCAACCCCGAAAGAGCTGCCCACCTCCAAGGAAAGCTCGGATGCCCCATCAGCGATGTGGAATAGGCACATCCTTCAACCTGCAAGTAGGTGGCAAGAAGCAGAGCCCGCATAACCGCTCATCATATCCACGACAGAGCACACAGTCTCCCAGCTTTCCCAGCCCAGCCATATGCGGGAATGCTGCTGTCTCACTCTCTGAACACTGGTCGGTCTAGTCACCGACCACAAGCCCTGGCTGTCTCTCTGAGGCGGTCCTCACTCAGGACCCCATCCACCTTGTGGACCTACATCGCCATCCTGGAGAAGGAGCATCCACAACAAAAAGGTAGCACCCACCTGGCCACTAAGGTTCCCCGTACTCCTCCCCTACCTCAAAGGAAAGTGTATGATGGGGGCTGGGCACGGTGGCTCATGTCTGCAATCCCACCACTTTGGGAGGCCGAGGCAGGAGGATCACTTGAGCCCAGGAGTTCGAGACCAGCCTGGGCAACACAACGAGACCCTATCTCTACTAAAATTACAAAAATTAGCCAGGTGTGGTGGGGCACGCCTATAGTCCCAGTTACTCGGGAGGCAGAGGTGGGAGGATCACTTGTGCCCAGGAGGTCAAGAATGCAGTGAACCATGATCAAGCCACTGCACTTCAGCCTGAGTGACAGAGCAAAACCCTGTGTGGCATCCACATTCACACACACACACAGTGTATCACATGTATAGTAAAAACAAGTTTAGCTAATTTTGCATTTGTTGTGTTAAATCTATAATAAATATAAGTAATTTGAAAAGACTACTTTAGTACATATTTATTACTTTATTTATTTATTTAGAGACACGATCTCACTCTGTCAACCAGGCTGGAGTACAGTGGTGCAATCTCAGCTCACTGCAACCTCCGCCTCCCGTGTTCAATTCTCCCACCTCAGCGTCCCGAGTAGCTGAGATTACAGGCAAGTGCCGCAATGCCCAGCTAATTTTTTGTATTTTTAGTAGAGATGGGGTTTCACCATGTTGGACAGGCTGGTCTTGAACTCGTGACCTCAGGTGATCCACCCGCCTCAGCCTCCCAAAGTGCCGGGATTACAGGTGTGAGCCACCGTACCCAGCCATATTTATTACTTTATATGTTTGCATAAATATCTAGAAGTAGAGTTGATGGTTGTAGAGTAGGTGAATGTTGAACTTGGGAAGAAACTGCCAAGCATTTTCCCATGGCAATTGTACCTTGATATGCAATTCATATTTCCCATGATGATGCAAGAGCATTGTGTGATTCTACATCCTTAACGCCTGTTGTTGTCAGGGTTTAATTTTAGCCGTTCTCCTGGAGTATAATAGGATCTATGCTACTAAAATGCATATTAAAACCATAAAAGGTATAATACTACGGTTTTAATTTATTGTATGTATCACTGATGCAAAATAATGTTGAACACTTTCTTAAGAATTTACTGGCCCATTAATATTGCTTTTGCTGTGAAATGTATGTTCGAGTATCTTGCCTCCTTTTTAATTGGATTGTCTTTTTCTTACTAAGTTGTAAAGGTTCTTCTAGAAGTAATTTCTTCTGTGTTTTCTTCTTTTATTTAGAGAGAGGGTCTTGCTCTGCTGCTGAGGCTGTGCAGTGGTGCAATCATAGCTCACTGCAGCCTCGAACTCCTGGGCTCAAGCAATTCTCCTGCTTCAACTTCCCAAGTAGCTGGGACTGTAGGCCCAGGTGTGCGCCACTACACCTGGCTAAGATAAATCTTTTTGTAAGCCTGTTTTCATTTTGTTTGGGTAAACACTGTGCCCAGCCTTCTGTGTTCTTTTCTATAAATTTTATAGTTTTAGCACTTATATTTAGGCCAAGGATCCATTTCAAGTTAGCTTTCGTACATGATATGAGATAATGGTTGAAGTTTATTTTTTCCTATGGATTTCCAGTTGTTTCAGCACCATTTGTTGAAAAGAATATCCTTTCCCCCATTGAATTACCTTGGTACCTTTGTTGAAAATCAATTGACCATCTAAAAGCAGATTTATTTCTGGAGTCACTCTTCCATGCCAATGACCTAGTTGTCTGTCTCTCTACCATTACATACAGTCTCAATTGCTGTATATTGGTAGTAAATCTTGAAATCAGGTAGAATAATTTCTACAACTTTGTTCTTTTTCAAAATTGTTTTGGATATTCCATAACATTTCTATAAAAATTTGCATTTCTATAAAAATTTTAGAATCACCTTGTCAAATCCAACAGAAAAGCCTCCTGGAATTTTGATTGGGATTGTGTTGAATCCATAGATCACTTTGGGGAGAAAAGATACCTTAACAATTGTGAATCTTTCAACCCATAAACATGCTATATCTTTCCATTAGTTTAGGTCTTCCATAATTTTTCTCATGAAAATGTTTTAGTTTTCAATGTATAGGTAGATATTGTCTTACATTTTTGCACATATTTTCTTAAATTTTTAAGTATTTCAAAATGTTATGAAATTTAATGCATTAAACCATCTAAAATAGGGATATGCTGGCCTCATAAAATTAATTGGGAAGTACTTCCTTCTTGTTCATTTTCCAAACAAATCTGCATAATAGGGTTACTATTTATTTCTTAAGTATTTGACAGAATTGACCAGTGAGCAATGTGAGCCTTGTGTTTTCTTGTGGGAAGGTTTTTAATCATAAATTCAATTTCTCAACAGATACAAGGCAATTCAGATTTTCTATTCCTTCTGTGGCCATTGTATAGGCTGGATGCTGTGGCTCACACCTGTAATCCCAGTACTCTGGGAGACTGAGGTGGGAGGGTGGCTTGAGGCCAAGAGTTTGAGCCCATTTTTTTATTTTATTAATTTCTGCTCATATTATTATTATCTTCCTTCTACTTATTTTGGCTTTAATTTGCTCTGCATTTTAAGCTTTATGGACCTTTGATGTTAAACTTTTCTTCTTATTTCACATATGTATTTAAAGCTATGTTTCCCTCTATGCACTGTTATAGCTGTATTTCACAAATTTTAAAATCCTTTTCAAAGCATTTGATATCCTTTAGGTGTAGTGTTTTGCAAATGATAAACAGGTTAAACTGGTCATAGGATTATTCAAACCTTTGTTGTCTTTACTAATTTTCTGAGTACTAACTGTATCAATTATGGAAAGAAGATTTCTAAAATCTCCAACTATAACTGTGGATGTGGAAATTTCTCCCTATAGTTCTGTTGGGTTTTGCTTCATGTTTTCTGAAGCTATTATTAGGTACATATACATTTAAGATTGTTATATCTCCTTGTCGTATTGCTCTTTATCATTATAAAATGCTCCTTCATTGTTTCTGTTAATATTCCTTTATATCTGGTAATCTGATATAACTATAGGAAAGCTAATCTGGCTTTCCTATAGTTAGTATTTGCATGATATTATATCTTTTTCCTTCATTTAATTCATTATTCTGTCTTTATACCAAAAGCATGTCTCTTGTAAACAGCATACATTTAATCTTGCTCTTCTATCTAGTCTGATAGTCTCTACCTTTTAAATGGAGTTTTAATTTCAGTTACATTTAGTGTAGTTAGTAAAATGGTTGGTTTTAAATCTCTTATCATGCTACTTGTTTTCCAGTATATGAAGTTTCATAAGAAGCAAAATTAATCTGTGGCAAAAATATCAGAATAGTGGTTGCCTCCGAGTGTTGCAGGTAGGGACTCAGTAGGAGGATGAGGAATCTTTCTAGGGTAATGACAATTTCTGTATCTTGACAGGTGTTGGTTACAAAGGTCAATACACGTTAAATGTACACTTAATATTTGTGCATTTCACTCTCTGTATATTTTACCTAAAAAACAAAAACCATAAATAAATGTGAACTCTAATTAATGATATGCACACTGAAGTGTTTATAGGTGAACTCTACTGATAAACTTACTTGAAATAAAGAAGAATAAGAAGGTTGAGGGATGGATAAAGAGATGAGAGATGAATAGAATGTGATAAAGGAAATATAGCAAAATGCTAATTATATGATCAAGATGGTAAGTATATTAGTGTTCACTATACAGGTCTTTCCATTTTTTTGTATGTTTGAAATTTTTTATAATAAATATTGGGAAAAAGAGGGTGAGATCAATATTACCTATAGAACTGACCCCCAAACGTCACATTTGAATATGAACAATCCTTTAGATCCAACTACCAATCTTCTAAAAAACCAGAAGAAAAAGAAACATGTTAAACACCACCACAAAGATGCAATCAGCAAAACCCAGACTCTAGGAGATTCTACAGAATAAGGAATAAATTAAAAATAATGTATTCAAAACAAATTGCAGGAAAAAGAAAAGAGATAGAAAGGGGTCTATGAAATTAACGAGATTTAGAGCTATATTAACCAACTCCAACATATGAAACTTATTTGGACATTTATAAGACAATGAGAAATTTAAACACTGATCTAATATGTGATCATATTAAACAATTATATCTATCAAACTCACAGTGAGATACCGTCTCACGCTGGTCAGGATGGTGATTATTGATAAGTCAGGAAACAAGAGATGCTGGCAAGGTTGAAGAGAAATAGGAAGGCTTTTACACTGTTGGTGGAAATATATATTAGTTCAACCATTGTGGAAGATGGTGTGATGATTCCTCAAAGATCTAGAACCAGAAGTACCATCTGACCCAGCAATCCCATTATTGCTTATATTTGACCCAGCAATCCCATTATTGCTTATTATTGGATATATACCCAAAGGAATATAAATCATTCAATTATAAAGATACATGCATGCATATGTTCATTGCAGCACTATTCACAATAGCAAAGACATGGAATCAACCCAAAATGTCCATCAGTGATAGACTAGATAAAGAAAATGTGGTACATTTACACCATGGAATACTATGCAGCCATAAAAAGGGACAAGATCATGTCATTTGCATGGCACATGGATGGAGCTGGAAGCCATTATCCTCAGCAAACTATCGCAGGAACAGAAAACCAAACACCACATGTTCTCACTTATAAGTGGGAAGTGAACAGTGAGAATACACGGAGACTGGGAGGGGAACAACATACACTGGGGCCTGTTGGGGTTGGGTGAGAGGAGGAAGAGCATTAGGACAAATAGCTAATGCATGCTGAGCTTAATACCTAGGTGATGGGTTGATAGGTGCAGCGAACCACCATGGCACACGTTTACCTATGTAACAAACTGCACATCCTGCACATGTACCTCAGAGCTTAAAATAAAAATAAAATATAAAACAATTATATCTTAAGGTATGATAATGGTATTATGATTATATTTCTTTAAAGCCCTTGCTTATGTTTTAGAGACACATAGTGAAATACTTACAGATAAAATAACATGTTGAGATTTGGTTCAACAGAATACAGGGTGGGGAGTGGTAGAGATAGAGATGAATTATTAAGTTGACAATTGTTGAAGCTAAGTCATGAATACAGATAAATTCATTACATTACTTTTGTATAATAAAATATTTCAAAGAGAGAACTCAAGAAAAACAGAATGAAGAGGTTCAACCTCTCCAGTAATACAAGTTGAGTATCCCTCATCCAAAATGCTTGGAACCAGAAGTGTCTCAGATTTCCGATTTTTTCTGATTTTTGGAATATTAGCATATGCATAATGAGATATCCTGTGGATGAGACCCACACAAGCCTAAACAGAAAATTCATCTATGTTTCATATACACCTATTACACATAGCCTGAAGGTAATCTTATAAATATTTTAAATAATTATGTGCATGAAAAAGTTTTGACTGCACTTTGACCTGTTACATGAGATCAGGTGTGAGTTTTTCCTCTTGTGGCATCATATTGGCATTCAAAAAGTTTTGGATTTGGGAGCATTTCATATTTCAGGTTTTTGGATTAGGAATGTTCAATTCGTATCAGAAATGCATTCATTAAGGTGATATACTTTCAGATTGCCAACTTGGTAAGTTTATTCTAACCTCAATGCTCAATTTTCTTGGTAATATAAAGTTATATTTTTATCTCAACACACATACACACATACTGTCTGTTCCAAATAGATAGAACATTTAAATGCAAACAAGGTTTTAAAAGTCGAGAAAAATATTGGAGAGGGTTTATATTATCCTGGAGCACATAGGTTCTTCTTAGTCTGGCAGGAAAGTAAAAAACAATAAAGGAAACCATATTCTTTATAATTGCATAAAAACGTATAATGTTCATATGTCAAAGACATCATAGACAAATGAAAAGACAAAGGGCAAACTAGGAAACATATCTGCAATATACAAAACAGCCAAAGGGTGATTAATATGTAAAAAGCGCCTGAAAAATCAGTAAGAAGTGGCTTTGGCTGCATGAATAATGTTATCTTTAAGTGTTTGATGAGTAAATAAGTTCACAAGTAGAGTGTTCATACCTTTTTATATGTATTACATATTTTATAATTTTAAGATAATGAAAATGAAAGAAATCAATGAAAAAGAGGAACAACCTAATAGGAAAAATGACAAACATGTAAACTGAGTCTCCTATCACAAGCCAGTGTATGTACATCCAAGCAAAAATGACAAGAGGGAGGGAAATGTACGTGCTGAAATAGAAATGGACATTCTGGTATACTGTCTAGAGAAAGGTACAACCCCGTCAGTAGGACTCTTTGAAATAGCATTATAGTGTAAACATGCATGCACTTTTTAGTAATTCTACCTATAGGAATTTATTCTACAAAAATAACTAGATAGGTGGAACCAACCCAAATGCCCATCAATCAATGAGTGGATAAAGAAACTGTGGCATATATATACGATGGAATACTACTCAGCCATAAAAAGGAATGGATTAATGACATTCGCAGCAACCTGGATGAGATTGGAGACTATTAGTCTAAGTGAAGTAACTCAGAAATGGAAAACGAAACATTGTATGTTCTCACTCAAAAGTGGGATCTAAGCTATGAGGATGCAAAGGCATTAAGAATGACACAATAGACTTTGGGGACTCATGGGAAAGGATGGGAAGAGCATGAGGGAGTCTACATATGAAATGCCATCAGACAAAGCAAGGGTTCTTAACCCATGTATGCCTGAGGCAATCAGACCTTGGTGATGACCTTCAGCAGTAGGATATAAATAACTCCCACATGCTTAGCATTCCAATAATGGAACACTAGGCATAAATGGGTTTTAATACTGAGAATTCGTATTTTTATGGCTACTCTTGCCCTTTTCTCTCACCACACATATCTTCTTCCCTCGATTCTCAAAAGCACACTTTTTTTTCACAATACAATGATTCTAATATTGGAACCAGTCTTACAATCAATGGGTCCATTTATGCCATGGTGTTTCTTTTAATTCTTCCTATAAAGCTGTTATAATAAATTCATGGTCCGTCTTACCATTGATAATTATTTTAGACTCAGGGTAACATGACACTAGGCATTAAATAATTGTTTACTGTACTAAGCAGAATTATTACCCTCAAAGCATAAACAGCTGCTACTTTTGAGTAAGGAACAAATAAAAAATTCAGTTCTGATGAGCTCAACTCCCCACAGGCATCTCCTTCTAACAGCTTTCAGGGCTGGGCACAGTGGCTCACGCCTGTAATCCCAGCACTTTGGGAGGCCAAGGCGGGTGGATCACTTGAGGTCAGGAGTTCGAGACCACCCTGGCCAACATGGTGAAACCCCATCTCTACTAAAAAAAAAAAAACGACATTAGCCGAGTGTGGTGGCACACATCTGTAATCCCAGCTACTGGGGCAGCTGAGGCAGGGAAATTGCTTAAACCTGGGAGGCGGAGGTTGCAGTGAGCCAAGATCGTGCCACTGCACTCCAGCCTGGACGAAAGAGTGAGACTCCATCTCAAAAATAAAAATAAAAATAAAACAGATTTCAGTTTTGTTGCCAGTGACCAAACCAGGGAGCAGCATTTTAAGAACATTCCCTCAAAAGTGAGCCTAATTTGTGCTGAACCAAAGGCAAAGAGTTGATCGGTTCTAGAATGTTCTGGGTTCCCCCACAACCTTGAATGCAAGATGGAAGGCAGGGGTGAGCACCAGGCTTTGTAGGAAAGTCTGGGTTACAAAGCCTGAGAGCAAGAACTTTATCAACATTTCTACATTCAAAAAACATTAAAGACAACACCAGGCCAGGCGCAGTAGCTCACACCAGTAATCCCAGTACTTTAGGAGGCTGAGGCAGGGAGATGACTTGAGCCCAGGAGTTTGAGACCAGCCTGGGCAACATACTGAGACCCCATCTCTACCAAATAATAATAATAATAATAATAATAATAATAATAATAATAATAATAACTGGGTGTGGTGGTGCATGCCTGTGGTCACAGCTAGTTGGGAGGCTGAGGTGGGAGATGCTTGAGCCCAGGAGGCTGAGGCTGCAGTGAGCCATGATTGCATCACTGCACTCCAGCCTGAGCAACAGAGCAAGACTCCATCTCTAAAAAAAAAATTAAAATAAAATAAAGACAACACCAACGACATTTTGTACAGCAGGACCTGAAGACCTGGGTGTGTTTTCTCCATGTCCCTTGCCACCTGCCTCAGAACCCACCGCAGCCCCACTGCCCACCCATGTCAGCACAGGGCGGCTGCCCAGGGTTCCCTGGAGTGAGCAGGAGGCTGGGGCCCTGCTCTGCATGGAGCTGAGTGAGAATCTGCTGAACTTAAAAGCAGCAGCCTCTTGCTAGTACCACGCCATGGTCCAAGGCCTGCTGTGATTTTGAGAACAGCACTTGTGCAAAACAGTAACCCCTAGAATAGACAGGGCTTTTTTTTTTCCCTTTTATTTTTTGTTTTGTACTTTAAGCTCTGGGACACATGTGCAGAACATGTAGGTTTCGAACTCAAGATTAAGAAACTAAGTCAAAACCACACAACTACGTGGAAACTGAACAACCTACTCCTGAATGACTACTGGGTAAATAACTGTGAAATATGGCAAGGTTTCTCTTCAAACAGCCTGCTCAACTTTTTATTCTTTAATTCCAAGTACTACCCCCCACCTTTCTTCCCCTTTTTTTTCTAACTTTACTACATGCTCAGGCATGCCACAGCACCAGTGGCGTTATCAACAACAGCTCACATTCCTTTCCTTATTTAGGAAAAGACTGGCTCTCTAGTTCCCCGCAGATGACCCCTTCCTCCTCTCCCCTCTCTCCCATTATGCATCCACCTTATCTAAGAAAGTTTAAACGTTTAGCCAGTCGGGTCTAATTTAAATTGTGCGGTCTGACCCCAGCCAATGGGGGAAGGACACAGGGGCAGGAGTCGCATTAGGAATAAAAACTTCTACTCTCCTGTGTTCTAAGTGCTCTCGTGGCAACCAGCCATATGGGAGACACCCTTCTGCATAGAAGTAAATTTGCTTTGCTGAGAAATCCTTTGTCTAAATGCTCATTTTTCCTTAGGACTCTGAGACTTATTTCTAACAATAATTAAATTAAGGCAGAGATAGATAAGTTATTTGAAGCCAATGAGAACAAAGACACAACGTATCAGAATCTCTAGGACACAGCTAAAGCAGTGTTTAGAGGGAAATTTATAGCACTAAATGCCCACAGGAGAAAGCAGGAAAGATCTAAAATCAACACCCTAACATCACAATTAAAAGAACTAGAGAAGCAAGAGCAAACAAATTCAAAAGCTAGCAGAAGACAAGAAATAACTAAGATTAGAGCAGAACTGAAGGAGATAGACAGGGCTTTTAACCAAGCTTATTAATGTGTCACTGAATAACAAATACTTGTGTTGCTTACTGTCTACAACAAAAATCTCCCTGAGCAAGCCTAGGCAACATAGCGAGACCCCATCTCTACAAAACATAGGAAAAAATTAGCTAGGTGTGGTGGCACACTCCTGCAGTCCCAGCTACTCAGGAGGTTGAGGTGGGAGGATCACTTGAGCCTGGGAGGTGGAGGCTGCAGTGAGCCGAGATCGTGCCACTGAACTCCAGTCTGGGTGACAGAGCAAGATCCTGCCTCAGAAACAAATAAACAAAAATTCTACTTGAGTAAACACGAAAATAATCATGGGTTGACCTGCCTGAGCCCTGACATTAATTAAATTGGGTCAGATGAACTTCAGATGAGAGACTTCCAGGTAATCATTATGATAATAATTATGAATAATAAGAATGGTTTGGGCTCTTTTCATGATAAGGAAAAGACTCCCTGGGTTACTTCAACCCTGAGGTGACAGTGGAGGTGAGAGCCACGTGAATAGTCTCCAGAGTATTGAGAGGAGCCAGGCATAGGCTTTCTAGCTCGAGTCTGGATCAAGATGGGCCACGACTGTCACAGATGCTGTGCCAAGGGGTCCCGGATGCAGGAAGCCATCTGCCCTCTGCGCAAACCTCTCCTGCCCCCACTGCCACCTTCTGCCCAAGTCCTCCTCTCCTCCGTGGCTCTTTCTTACGGCTCCCAGATGCCACTTGTAGCTCTTCTACTTCAGGGCACCAAGTCAAGCCAGACTATAAAAAGGGGAGGTAAAGTGAAACTTTGTAGAAAACCTGAAATTAAAAGCATAAGAAGGGCAAGTCGAGTAAAGACTGTGTAGCCTTTCACATCCCATGGCAGCAACACTCATTAATGCCTCTCCTATAACAGTATTCTAAGGAGCGACGTCACCAAGATGGAAATGACACCAATGTCTAACAAAGAGTGCACTCTATTCTGCCTCCAAACCCTCCAGCCAAAGTCATGGTCCTTAAACAGAAATCCTTGACATTGCCAATGGAATGAAGCGCCCAGGGTGACACTCAAGGACCTCATGATCTGGGCCCTGATCCCCTCTCTGCCCTCATCTCTCCCCACCTTCTACTGGATTTACTCTTCCACCAATATGATCTACTTTGTGCTAGTATTTGTTTCTTGTGGCTGCTGTAACAAATTACCACAAAGTCAGTGACTTAACACAAAATATTTTTTGCTGTCATTGTTAAGTCTGTTATTTTTTGTTTTTATTGGTACATAGCAGATATTAACACAAACTTATTATCTGGAGGTCAGAAGTCCAAAATGGGACTCACTCAGCTCCAATCAAGCTGTCGGCAGGACGGCATTTCTTTCTGGAGGCTGAAGGGGAGAATCCCTGTGCTTACCTTTTCCAGCTTCTAGAGGCCCCTCCTCCACCTTCAAAGCCAGCAGCATGGGACCGAGTCCTTCTCGTGCTACAGCCTCTCTGGGTCTCCCTCTCCTGCCTTCCTCCTCTGCTCATACAGCCCCTTGTGATGACACTGGCTCCATCCAGATAACCTAGGCTCATCCCCTCCATCTCAAGGCGAGCTAATCAGCAACCATAATTCCCCTTCGCTATGTAACCTAACAGTCACAGGCTCTTGAGAGTAGGACATGGACAGCTTTGGCCACTATTCTGCCTCCATCAAAGCATGCCACTCACACCTTCCTACCTTTGCTGATGCAGTTCTTTGAACAGCTTCCCTGAACTCCTAATCCCCATGCACTGGTCCTCAAACAAATGCAGGCATCATGCCAAACCCTTCTCAAGTGCTACCTCCTCTGAAGCTGCCCACCCTGTTCCTCTTCGGATCCTGCCAATCCTTGAATCATGCCCCTACCACATTAAAAGAAGTATCCATGCATGGTGGCCCCTGTCAGACTGCCTCTGATAGAACTGCTCCTTGTTTCACAGTCCCCTTCCTAGGCAGTGGGCTGTGTCTCAACCGGTCTGTCCTTCCTCCAATCCAGTTGTCTCTTCCTGCACCTACACCGTACTGATCAGACTGCAGTGGCTTCAAAGAATATTCCAACATCTGGTGAAGCAAGTCGCCCCACCCCTAATTGCTCTTCTTCCTTGTGCTTTTCTCGCTATTCTCAGGCATTGATTTTCCTATATTATTTTAACCAATCGAAAATGCTACGAGTAGATCAGTGGTTGCCTAGGAATGGGACAGAGAGAAAGATGGACCAGAAATGGGAACAGGGAGTTTTTGGGGAGATGAAATTGACATTCTGATAGTGGTGTGATGACATAAGGGTATACATACATCAAAACTGATCAAGTTTTCATGAACACAAAGGGGAACAACAGACACTGGGACCTACCCGAGAGTGGAGGAGGGAGAGGAGCAGAAAACATAACTATTGGGCATTGGGCTTAATACCTGGGTGCCAAAATAATCTGTACATCAAACGCCCATGACATGAGTTTACCTATATAACAAACCTGCACACGTACCCCTGAACCTACAAATATAAGTTTTAAAAAACGGGTCAAATTTTACATTTAAAATAGGTCCTTTAATATCCTTGAGCTGTTTTTGAGAGTCTACACTAAGAGTGCCACTAGTCCCCCTAACAATTTGGCAAGTGAGTAGGTAGTTAGAATGAAACCAAGAATCTTTATTTTCCCTCTCAAAAAAAATGAAACGAACACTTCACCCATATTATTAATTCAGTTCACTTGGTATCAGTGCCTCTCAGTCCTGCGGGCTGGTCGCTTCTCCCTGGATTGCTTCCTGGGCATTCCAGCAGTGAGTCCCCCCATGAGCGGCCTCCATGGCACAGCCCCAGCCCTGGGTGGCTTCCAGCCAGTGCCAGCAGGAGAAACACCCACGGATGGATTTACCTGGGCACATACCCTAGTGACTGCACAGCACAGCACTGACCATGGGACACCTGCCAATCACCCTCCCACGAGCAGTGCTGGAGAGCCTGCAGCCAGACAGGTTCCCCCCCAGGGACTTCTGCAGCACTGCCCGAGGCAGCCAGCAGGGAGCTCTGAGACGTGGCACCTCCCCGGGGGCCAATTCCCACAGCAGAGGGTGGGTTTCAGTCACGTCTTGCTGGGGAAGCACCTCAGCAAGCTCCTCTGTCGTCCAGTGAGTCACGATCACACCCTCTCCCATGAATGAGTCATGACGGCAGCCCTCTCCACGAGGTCTGGGTCTTAGCAGAGGGGTGCGGGTAGGAGTGGCCCTTCGTTGGGTGCTCAGGATCAGTTCCAGGTGTAGTGACTGCTGGGTGCATTGGTGATTCCTACATTGTTTAGCCAGTTCTCTTATCAGCTAATTCCCCCAACTCCAGTTAATTATATATACTTGTATACGTGTGTGTGTGTATATATATGTGTGTGTGTGAATAAAAGCAAGGGTAAGCAGGAAAACCCCGAAGAGAAACGTGATGAAATGAGGTGCACCTGCCTGCTAAGTATTGAAACGGCCCAGAAGCCTCTGTAACTGAAGCCAGGTAGGAGTGGCATGTGCAGAGGTTTACAAACCAACACAGCACATTAGAAGGTTCAGAAGAAGACCCAAGTAATCACGACAGTTATCATATGATAAGTGATCAATGTGAATCTTTAACTAAGATGGGGGAAAGATGAACTTTTTAATAAGTGGTGTTGGAACAACCAGCCAGCCATTTGGGAAAATATAAAATTGAATCCATGCCTCACAATATATAATAATAGGATAAATTCCAAATGGATCAAAGATTTACGTGAAAAATATGAAACCATTAAAAACATTAGACTGGGGAAGACTTTTCTTTTCTTTTTTGAGATGGAGTTTCACTCTTGTTGCCAAGGCTGGAGTGCAGTGGTGCAATCTCGGCTTACTACAACCTCCACCTCCCGGGTTCAAGCGATTCTCCCACCTCAGCCTCCCAAGTAGCTGGGATTACAGGTGCCCGCCACCAAGCCTGGCTAATTTTTGTATTTTTAGTAGAGACAGGGTTTCACCATGTTGGCCAGGCTGGTCTCGAACTCCTGACCTCAGGTGATCCAGCCACCTTGGCCTCCTAAAGTGCTGGGGAACATTTTTCTTTTACCCAAAATACAGAGAGCAAACTGTTCTAGATCTAAGGAGAGGTAAGAAACGAACTAAACACAACACGTGGACCCTAATTGAATCCTGGTTTGAACAAACTGGCAGTAAAATATTTTGGGGACAATGGGAACACTGAATACGGATCAAGTGTTTGACACCAGTAAGGAATGATTTTAATTCTCTTTAAGGTGTGATAATGGTATTAATGGATAAGCAAGACAATGTCATTTTTTAGAGATGCAGACTGAAGTAATTTGGAAATACCACGTTTCAGCAAAAAACAATTGTTAAATCTAAGCGAAGTTGGTATATTATTACAGGAACTCAAAAAGTCTTCAAATACTCTTAGTTTGGGAAGCATGTTGCCTTTTCCTTCTCATCACAGTCAGAAACTATTTTTTAAATTACAGTCTAAATTTTGTCAGAGAAAACGTCATTGTAGAAAGGGGCAAAAATGGCCCCCAAATCAAACTCTACCCCGTGGGCATGTGTCCAGCTCTGTCTTGGCAGTGCCCATGCAGTACTGGGCGGGGCCCAGGATTGTCGCTGCCAGGGCTGGAGGCTGTCCAGGAGTGGGGTTGTCCTGAGCCCTGAAGGGTGGGTGTTCCCAGGCTTCCTGCGCGCCCCCTTCCTCCCCTCCTCTGCCCTGCGGGACTTGTGGTAACATAGGGGCCACTCCACTTTCTGGCCTCCGCAGCCACAAGACCCAGGCAGGGAGGGAAGGAGGGCAGGACAGGGTGGCTGGAGAGGGGGGCCCAGCTGGAGGGAGGCAGGCAGGGAAGGACACAGCTTCAAGAGCGCTGGGGGCACAGCAAGAACAGGGTAGGCGCAGAGCCAGAGACGCTGTGTTCTGTCACTGCAATCCTGTTTTGGTTCCCAGGCTGGTGTGGCCTGAGGGAACTTGGTCCTGCGGGAACAAATCCTTCCTCGGGCCTCCAAGTCAGTCCCAGTGGGCAGCGGGGAAGGACGCAGTCTTGCCTCTTCTGAAGCAGGTTAAGGGGCCCCTTAACCTGGCCCCTGCAGCCGCAGGCCTTTCTAGAAAGATTGAGCAGGTCCACGTCCTAGAGCTCCTCGAAACGTCTAGACAATTTGCTTTGATAAGATTTGCTGTCACCTCCCAACCAGAGGTTTATCTATGTGGTCTTGAAGAGGGATTAATTTCCTTTTTAAACCCCCTAAGCCGCCGTTTGACAGGTGGCTCCTGGCGGTAGGCTGGGCCCCTGTCCAGGGCTGCTTGGCAGGAGCGTTACCGGTATGATCTGAGACCAAAAGGACACCCTTCTGTCAATTAAGAGCTCCCTGGGCTCCAGGGTCTAAGCTCAGTGGGCAGGCAACCCCCTAGATTCCTGAGCTGCAGGACAAACCACACTGGGGCTAAACTCCGCACTAACAGGAAAGTTGTCAGACCCCTCCTAACTCTGATTTACAACACAGACCATTACAACTCTGCTGGGACCGAGGGCGGCCCTACCGGCTCTCCTCATAACACTGCAGACCCGGGGCCAGCTTGAGCGCCGACAGGGTGTGCACCAACTTTGTGCCCTATAGCTCACCTTTTGAAGTCAAAAGCCAAATCCACCTCATTTTAATGCTAGAACCTCACCCCCAAGTGGACATGGGATGCATGTTACACGTTTGCCTATTGCCCATGCGCTCAATCTCCCTTGGAAATATGTATAGCTTTTCCCCCAGACCTGCTGAATCTGTGACTCCATTGTGTGATACGGGCCCCATGAGGCATAAAACCCAACCTGTCCTTCCCCTCTCCCTGGATATCGCCTTCGGTACATGCCACAAACTGATACTGCCGGTAAGCCTCTGCTTGCTACTATTTAGCCATCCTGGTTTCATTTATTGATTTATTTAGAGACAGAGTCTTGCTCTGTTACCCAGGCTGGAGTGCAGTAGTGCCATCACAGCTCACTGCAGCCTCGAACTCCTGGGCTCAAGCGATCCTCCCACCTCAGCCTCCTGAGTAGCTGGGACTACAGGCATGTGCCAACAGGTCCAGCTAATAATTTTATGTGTGTTTTTTGTTGTTTGTTTTTGTTTTTAACAGAGACAAGGTCTTACTCTGTTGCCCAGGCTGGTCTTGAACTCCTGGCCTCCAGCAATCCTTCCATCTTGGCCTCCAGAATCTCTGGGACTCCAGGCATGAGCCACTGCATCCGGCCCATCCTGTGACCTTTTGGATGACATCTGGGACTAGATGGGGCATGCTACTCAAGCCCTAACTCTTTATAATCATAGATTCTTCACAATTCAGGCTTACATCACATATAACTATTTGTTAAATATTCAAAGAAGCAAAGAAACTTGATCATTTTTTAAAAAATTGGCTTTAGGTTCAAAAGCCAAAATTCCCTGATGCAACTCATATTTTTCTATTTGCCTTCACCCTCTCTCCTGGTGGCCAAATGTCCACTCTTGCCCCCTTCAGGCCAGCCCAAGCCCACCCACCTGAACCAACCCTGGGCCCTTGCCCTTGGCCATGGGCACAGCTCCACCTCAGTCAGCTCCCTCAACCCTGACCAATCTGGGGTGCTGGAGCTGCACACACGGCCACCCATGACAGTCCCCAGCCCCGAGCTTCCTCTCTGCCCAAACAAAACTAAAAGTATCTGCCCCAAAGGGTGTCGGTGAATGGGGGAGCTGCGCCTCCCGACTGTGTTTCTCTAAAACCAGCAGAGTTGGGGATGGCAGCCTGTGGTTTCCCACTCCAAGCCGAGAAAGCTCTTTCAGGTACAAGAGTGAAATGGTGTTTCTTAGTCCCTGGCTCCCTCAGCAACTTCCTGCTTGAGGGAGTCCCTTCCAGCTCTATTAGCACAGTTTTAAAAAGTAACTTCAAAAAGCTTTTGGAAAGAGATCTAACTGGTCCAGCCAACTGTCTTCCTTCCTAAGAAGCAAGTGCCTCCATGCCTCCCTCCCTCCCTCCCTCCCTCCCTCCATCCATCCATCCATCCAATGCGCACCATGCACTAGAGGTAGGAGAAGGAGGAGAAACAGCTCCTGCCTTCAGGAGGAAAAGGGGAGAGACATTGTTGACTCTGACACCAGCTATGGGGTGTGGAGACTAAGGACACAAACTAAGTGCAGGGCAACACAGATGGGACCACGGGCCATGAATGGATGTGATGCTGGTGAGGACCAGGAAAGCATCACAGAAGCTCAAGCCAGAAGCAAGTGCCAGAGGAGGCACATTTGAGAGGCCCATAAAGCTGGAGTGCAGGAGGCTGAGGGTAGTTAGGGAATGACTTGTCCAGACTCTTAGGTTATATGGCAATGACAGGGATAGGACTTTCAATAGAAGAGGGAAATGTCTGCATTGCTCATCAGGTAACGGATGGAGCCGGGGCACAGGGGCATGGGGAGACAGCAGGGGAGGGGGTGGGCATGGCTTGGATGCGGTTTGGGGTAATGGTCAAGTAGCCTGGCTTTAGTCTGCAAACCTGGGTTTGAACCCTCACTCTCAAATCAGCAGCTCTGTGGCCTTGGGTGTATTATGGAATCTCAGGTAACAGTCCTTATGTCCCAGGCTATTAGAACCACGAACATGAAGCCCTACTATGCGGCAGGCACTGTTCTGATAGTGTCAAGTGTATTAACTCATTTGATCCCATAGTAACCTATAGGGAAGGTGACATTCTCATCCCCATTTTACAGATGAGGAAACAGAGACCCAGATAGTTTAAGTACCTTGCCCAAAGTCCCAGAGCGAGGAAGAAGTGGACTGTTCAGCACAGAGACTCACACATAGTGAGCACTTCACCAGCAGCACGCATTATAACAATGAGTCCAGCCAAAGATAAGGCCAGGCCAGGACACGGCCAGTGGGAGTGGGAAGGAGACTGGGGAAGAATGCACACATGGCCCAGCCCCTGAGAAATGTGTCTGTGGGTTTCTACAAGCCCAAAAAGGGGGTTCCTCCATATTCCATAATGGTAATGGCGACCCTGGATTCCAAGAGTAAGACCAGAAACGTGGAAATTGAGGACTTTTTGTTGTTCTGGAATCATTAATCCTCCTCTTCCCTCTGATCCCAGAAACACCCTTTACGGGCAAGACCACTGGTCAATTTGACTGTTCGGGGGACCCCTACCGGCCACTGTTACAGGGAAAGGCAGGATGGGGCCGAATGAGTGCTAAGATATACAACCTGTTGGGCCCGGATGGACCCACCACATGGGACTCCTTGGAATCCCAGTATTAGCCTTTGTGTGCCAATCATCACATCTGGGCCTTCCAAACTTGTATCCAACCCTAACAATGCTGCAAGGCAAATATTATTATCCCCATTTGATAGCTGAGGAAAATAAAGGATCAGAGAGGCTAAGCAATTTGCCTAATGACACACAACTAGTATACGACAGATCTGTGATTTAAAATGGGGTCTGGGCCAGGCATGATGGCTCACACCTGTAATCACAGCACTTTGAGAGGCCAAGTTGGGAGGAGTGTTTCAGCCCAGGAGTTCCAAATCAGCCTGGCCAACATAGCAAGACTCCGTCTCTACAAAAACAATTAAAAAAAAAATTAGCCAGGCTTGGTGGTGGCATGCACCTGTAGTCCAAGCTACTCAGGATGCTGAGGCAGGAGGACTGCTTGCGCCCAGGAGTTCAGGGATATAGTGAGCTATGAACACTCCACTGTACTCCAGTCAGGGCGACAGGGTGAGATCCTGTCTCCTATTAAAAAAACAAAACAAAACAAAAACACAAAAAAAGTGGCGGGGAGGCTCTGCCTGACTCCAAAGCCTATTTGCTAAGCATGTTTTTTTTTGGTACTAGGAATAAAGAAATGCCTCTCAATGTGGGGCAGTAATTGAGCATTCCTCACCAGTGGGCTTGGCAGAGGAGTTCAAAGCAGTCTCTGGATTCTGCCTGCCTGGGGTCAAAAGCTGGCCTCAACACTGCAGCCAATGGATGCTACAAGTGACCGTTCTCTTGGGGCCTCAATTTTCTCCATCTCAGAAATGAGGACAGGAACAGGGTCCATCTGCTTCACAGGACTGCTGTGTGCATTAAGTGAGAAGATCCACACAACAGGACTGCCGCTAAGCAGGCAAACTGGTGAGTGGAGATCAGCATGAGGGTTGACGAGCTCAGCAGACGAGCTGCAGGCCTGCAAACTCATCTCTGGACTGCCATCTCCCGCTGCTGGGCACGTAGCCATCCTCTTGGTGGTTCTCACCAAGGTGCCTTCCTCCTACAGGCCCCAGGACTTTAAGAAGCAGAGGCTGTGCTGGGGAGTGGGAGCAGAAGGTCCCAGATTCCTGCCCCAAACTTGCTTTTTGGGGATACCAACCTGTAAACCCAAACCCATTTACTTATTTGCTCCATCTCTTAGAGATGTTTTTTGTAAAAATAACAAATACTTTAGGTTTTCTGGGTCAAAAGGCGCAAATCTAAAATATTGAATAGGTGTTTTCTATAAGAAGAGAATAAATATTTCCAAAAATATTTTCCAAAAAAATCTTAATTGATGAAATTCAAGGATAACAATAGAGTACAATTTTCTGGTAACGCCGGTCTACCAATAAGAATTGGAAATCTTTTGGGGGAATAACATTTCCCTAATTGAGATTCAGAGCTAGTGTTGTGAATCGTCAAAACCAATTGCATATTTGCATATATTTATCTGTTAATGCTGATTTGGAATGAGATGTGACACAGTTCATCTTTGAACATGTCTTCACACAGATAGGTACCTTCCCAACACTACTATGTCCATGAGCATTTTTTTTTTTTTTTTGAGACAGGGTCTTGCTCTGTCACCCAGGCTGGAGAGCAGTGGTGTGACCTCAGCTCACTGCAACCTCTGCCTCCCAGGCTCGGATGATGCTCCCACCTCCATCTCCCAAGTAGCTGGGACCACAGGCATGTGCCACCAAGCGAGGCTAATTTTTGTACTTTTTTTTTTTTTGTAGAGACAGGGTTTCACCATGTTGCCCAGGCTGGTCTTGAACTCCTAGGCTGAAGTGATCCTCCCATTTCAGACCCCCAAAGTGCTGGGATTACAAGTGTGAGCCACTGCACCCAGCTCATGAGCATAAGATGTTTAGCTTAGCATATTTATTACATAAAACACATTTATACATTTTTATAAGATTCTATTAGACTCTATTAAATTTTTCTTTAGATAGTTGCCTTTCAACACATTAATCACTTCTCAAATGCAGATCAATGGATTCTGAAATATAAAAATTTCTTTTGGGTTTGCATTGAGGTCCCTAACACACTGCTCAAACTGTAGTTTGGGCTCAGATAATGTATCTGTGGCAAATGTGTGTGGGAATGGAGCTCTTCTTTTTTTAACTTTTAACAACATGGGAAGAGCTTAAAGCAGTAACATTAGTTGTGATTCAAACAATAGTTCTTCTTGAAATCACTTAACACAGTAGGAGTTTCACATAAACACTGTTTTTATCTTGTGGTTTAGGCTGAATTCCTTAAGAAACACTATCAAGTCTGCAGCAAAAGTGAATTTCCAAAACTATTCAGTGTTTAGTAACGGTGGTTCGGGGCAGTTCTCATTCAGAAAAATTTCAATCTTTGTCCTGAGCTCAAAACTTAAATGAAACTTTACCACTACTAAACCATTGAACTGCTGTATTACAGGCCATGTCGGGATATTCAGCTAATATTTCTGACAAAAATTCATGAGAGCTGTTGATAGTGAAGTCCACAAGAGCTAAAGGAAGTTCACTATTGACAATACTGGTTCAATAATGCATGATAGATTCAAATATTTCTCACAAAGTATCTGTTGACTTAAATAATACAATGAATAATCTATAGGCTTTAACACCTTATATTATTACAAGCTTTGTAAGTTGTCCAACTGAGCCATTTTCTATTCCACACTGATATGAGTTAGCTGTGTCCCCACCCAAATCTCATTGAATTGTAGCCCCCATAATCCCCACGTGTCATGGGTAGGACCCAGTGGGAGGTAACTGAATCATGGAGGCAGGATTTTACCATGCTGTTCTCATAATAGTGAGTAAGTCTCATGAGATCTGATGGTTTTATAAAGGGCAGTTCCCCTGCACACACTCTCTTGCTTGCCGCCACCTAAGACTTGCCTTGGCTTCTCCTTTACCTTCCACAACGATTGTGAGGCCTCCCCAACCATGCGGGACTGTGAGTCCATTAAACCTCTTTTTCTTTATAAATTACCCAGTCTCAGGCTTTTCTTTATAGCAGTATGAAAATGGACTAATACACACATATATTTCCACTACCAACAGTCATAACACATCTTAGCAGATTCCACTTCAGGGTGTACTGAATTCGTTTTCTCAACTTTTTGTTTTGAGACAATGTTCTCACTCTGTCATCCAGGCTGGAGTACAGTGGTGCAATCTCAGCTCACTGCAACCTCCACCTCCTGGGTTCAAGCGATTCTCCTGCCTCAGCCTCCTGAGTAGCTGGAATTACCAGTGCATGCCATCATGCCCGGCTAATTTTTGTACTTTTAGTAGAGATGTAGTTTCACCATGTTGGCCAGGCAGGTCTCAAACTCCTGACCTCAGGTGATCTGCCCACCTTGGCCTCCCAAAGTGTTGGGACTATAGGCATGAGCCGCCACACCTGACCAGTTTTCTCAGCTTTGAAAATACTTTTGCCAGTAGTTGTTCCACATAAGACTATTGATAGAGGCCAATTCTTCAGTTACTTCCAACTTGGTACTGGCTCCTCAAATAAAGAGCAATAGCGGAGCAGTGTGCATAACATATGGTGACCCCTGTCATGAGAGTCAGGGGAAACCACTCAAAACCATTTGCCTTTTTAGTCGACTACTGATGTCATTCCTAATGTCAACTCTTTGAGCAACTGTTGTCGTGGAAAGGCCAATAAACAAGTTTACTTTCTCTGAGCATGTTTCTTCAGCTGCAGTAATCAAGCATGATTTAATTAATTCACCATAAGTGACTTTCCTTGCTTGGCTAACAAATGAGCCATCTGAAACTTACTTTGGTTGTAGCTTCATTTTCATTTTTTATTTTTGTGAATAAATTCTGTGATGAGATATTCAATTTTAAATTTTCTAATTTTTCTGACCATTGCTTTCTTGTGAATTAGAAATATCTTGATGAGTGCTAAGATGGGAAGTAACAACATGTATTTTGGTTTTTTTTTACTTTTTGTGGAGATGGGGGGTCTCACTATACCACCCAAGCTGGTCTCCAAATCCTGGGTTCAAGTGATTCTCCCACCTCAGCCACCCAAATCGTTGGGATTACAGGCATGAGCCACTGCACCTGGTTGTATTGTGTTCCTTAGGACAGCTACCATGTCATTGCACTTTGCTGCCTAATTCAGTAACAATTCATACTCCATTGTACCTTAAAAGCACAATGATATTTGAAATCCACTTTTCTTGTATATATTGGTAATAAAAAATAAAATGTTGTAGCATGGGAATACAAGTGGCATTCAAAATGCTGCTGAGTTATAACTGTGTCACTGCAATTTACATTGCACAGAGCGGCAGGGCAAAATGATGAGAATGCCACATATTCTCATCATACGGTCTCTGCAGCAACTACTCAATTCTGCCACAGTAGCACCAAAGTGGCCGTGGACAACTTGCAAATGAATGTGGTTATGTTCCAATAAAACTTCATTTATGGACACTGAAATTCAAATGTCATATAATTTCCCTATGTCCTGAAATATCATTTGATGTTTTTCAGCCATGTAAAATGTGAAAATCACCCTTAGTTTGGTGAGCCATACAAAAACAGGAGGGTACCTTGCTGATGCCTAATCTGCAATGGGCAGGAAACAGAAGCCAAAGTCGTCCCTGCTCTTCCAGAGCTCTCCTGTTCCTGAACAGCCGATAGCCCTGGAAGGATGTGATAACAGCAGCAGGAAAGCAGGTTGATGCTTCAGGGAGACAAAAACTAAAGCTTCCCTCATAGTCATTAGAACATAATGAATCTCTCTTATTTTTTCTTCCATTTACAACCCTACTTCCACCTTTGTTCAGGGTCCTGGAGAGCCTCCCAGCTTCTTTTAATCCCGGGGCATAATCCTGGGGCCCCCTCTCACAAAGAAAGGGGCCTAAACGAAAATTCATCAGCTGTGTGCAGTGGCTCCTGCCCGTAATGGGAGGCTGAGGCAGAAGGATCGCTTGAGCCCAGGGGTTCAAGACCAGCATGGGCAAAAAAGTGCGACCTCAACTCTACAAAATATAAAATAATTTAGCCAGGCACAGTGGCATGCGCCTGTGGTCCCAGCTACTTGGGAGGCTGAGGCAGGAGGATCGCCTGAGTCCCAGAGGTGGAGGCTGCAGTAAGCAGAGATCATACCACTGCACTGCAGCCTGGGCAACACAGCAAGACCCTATCCCTAAAAAATAATACTAAGAATTGATGAAGACTAATCTATGAAGACTAACATGTGGGAGAAGCAAGAGGGGACTGTGGAAGCCACATGGGGAAGCACACACTGTGGAGCGTCACCCAGCAGTGTCCCAGCACCCTGGAGCTGCTGCTGCTGCAGACAGCCTGAACCAGCAGTGGGGAAAGCGGAAGCAGAGCAGGAACTGTGGATCCTGGAAACAAGAAGGGGAGAAAATGACCTTGGGAACAGAGAAATGGGCAAAGAGCAGGCTTTTGAGAAGGAAGGAGGAAGCAGCATTGCATCACTCAGACTTGATTCTTCAGAGCTTCCTGGAAGTGATTCTAGTTTCACAATTAAACGAGACGATTGTCGGAGAGAAACCTGTTCAACATCTCCAAATTCATGGACGGTTTTGCCAAAATAAAAATTTTGTAGGCACCAGTGTGGTTCATTAGGACAATACAGGCATCCTTCACTACATTTTCCCTAGCCCTAAGCCTAGTGTCTACATTAATTGATATTAAATTAGTCTCGCCCCTAACCCTGCTTCTAGTGGTCACAGCAGCTACAGGGACCATCCAGCTGAAGGTCTTGGTATGTGATCTCGAAAGTCAAGGTCAGCGTGGAGAACTGGAAAGAGGCCTGACTAGAAGACAGACTGTCGCTGGTCAGTTGTGTCATCTTCTGCAAGTTGCTTAAACCTGTTAAGTTTTCTCACTCTAAAGTGAGGTGTTGGGGCAGTGTCTCTGACTTTGAATGTGCATGAATGACCTGGGGACCTTGTTCAAATGCAGATTCTCATCCAGTGGTCTGGGCTGGGGCCTGAGATTTTGCATTGCTAGCAAGCACCCAGGTGATGCTAATGTCGTCAGCCCACTGACTACACTGGGCAGCAAGGGGCTGGACAATCTTCTATCCCTTGATAGATCTAAAAACCATCCTAGGGCTGAGGAAGCTGCAATGATGTTAATTTTTAGAACATACAAGATTCTCTTATTTACGTATCCTAGGCTGTCCTCCCAACTCCCTCTAGGTCATCCCCTTCGCCATCAGTTGCCTATATGAGAATGACCAGAAATTGGCCATTCCCAGGCCCGACTTTCCCCTCCTCCATCCATTCTTTCAGATGCCTACCGGACATCTCCACAACGTTCTCCTACAAGCCCTTAGCACTCAAAGTCCTCAAACTCTGGGAGGAAGCCTGACTCCTCTCTTTTCACCCCTACTCCCAGCATCCATTCAGTCCCCGAGGTCTGTCAGCTCTCCTTCCTAAATAGCTCTCGACTCTGTCCACTTATAAACTGATGCTGGCAAGCCTCCTCACCTTCGAATGGCCTGTTGTCTTCTCCTAGATTCTAGGGCATTCCCACCAGGATAACACCCATTCCTCCATTAGGTATCAGCTAGAACTTCAGTTCCTTGGGAATACAGCACTTCACAGCCTCTCTGGATTAGAATAAGGTCTCTGTTCACACTCTTTTAAAAACACTGGGCTTACTTGTAATTACTTATCTTTCCCACTTATAACAACAAAATGTGACATGCTTTTTGTCCTCATCCCTAAGACCTAGCTAAGTGCTTTGCACATGACTGGTGTTCAATTAATATTTGTTGATTTCTCTTATATAGTTCTCACACCAGCTGTCCCAAGACCGTTTGCTGGTAAGACATTCTTCTTCTTCAGGGTAGGACTTTTTGTTCATTTTTAAATTGTTTCCAGGGTTAGTACTGATTGTTTTCTTTGATTCAGAGTGTCTCTGCAGGGAGTAGGGGAGATATTTCAAGTTCACTGTTTTAATTTTGCCAGTAAAAGGAAATTTACCGTTTTGCTTCTTGCATCTAGTCACTGCTAGCCGCCCCCACTTCTAGTGAAGATGGTCAGAACTCTAATACGCAAACAAAACCGAGCTGGGGAGAAAGACCACAATTAGTGAATACGCACGTGGGAGCCCTCCCTGGACAAGCTCCTCATCTGAATTCTTCAAGACTACAGAAGATGTTAAGTAGCTGTCATTACATAATCAGTGGGAGATGCCTTCAGAAACATCCGCCTACAGAAAGAGGTAGCCCGTCTCTCCAGCACCCACATTCCTGGGCGAGGGTGACACTCCAGTCAGAAGGTAAGAATCCCATGTAAGCGCTCTGTGAAGAGCAAACCACCACTCAATTGGAATACAGTAGCAGTCCTGGAGGAATCCAGGACTCCAAGCGCACTGAGCCCTGTAGATCTCACCCAGCGGTGAGCGCTGGAGCCCCTGCTGGGAGGACCCATCGTGCCAAAGGCCTCTGAGCGCAGAGCTGCCCAGACTGGCCAGGGACAAGACCTGGAGCTGCTGGGAAGCACAAAAGCTCATCCAATTTACTTCTCCCAGAAATATCTTATCTACCTGAAGTGAACAGTTAAATCCCATGATTAGGTCCCTTGTTTCAGCTTCATCATCCATCCAAATCCACGGCCCATTGTAATGCAAATCATGTATAGTCTAATGCAAACAAACAGACTTTTATCCTAAGACATTTTTGTCCTTATATTTGATACAAGGAGAGGATGATACTTTAGGAATAACAGGCTAATACTGAGAGAACCCAGGCTCGATGTAGTCACCTAATATTATCAACAAAGTCAACAGAATAAAGAAGAAGAAAAAAGCAGCAATTATTTCCTTACTGCTTTCAAAATGTGGGTTACAACCTATTACATTTCAAAAGCTTCCCCGATAATATCCCTGTTTTATTTATAAACTTAAGAGCTGATTTCTGTCACCCTCATCTCTTCCTATCTACATCAAACCTCTGAAGGCTAAAAATGTAACAGACTTTCCTTGGAGTGGGAGCAAAGGGTGGGGACTGGCCCCTGGATGCGTGATCACAAGGGTCTAATGACCATGCCTGTTCAAAAACAGACCCTTACCACAGTTATTCCTCCAGGCAGTCTCCCTGAGGTTGTACAGAGAAATTCTACTGAAAACCCATCCTTATAAAACATTTAAATATCATATAGTTTATCAAGGCAAAGCAAACTACCGAAAAACTCCCTCACACCTGTAATCCCAGCACTTTGGGAGGCCAAGGCAGATGGATCACAAGGTCAGGAGACTGAGACCATCCTGCCTAACATGGTGAAACCCCATCTCTACTAAAAATACACAAAAAAAATTAGCCGGGCGTGGTGGCGGGCGCCAGTAGTCCCAGCTACTCTGGAGGCTGAGGCAGGCGAATGGCGTGAACCCAGGAGGCGGAGCTTGCAGTGAGCCGAGATCGCGCCACTGCACTCCAGCCTGGGCGACAGAGCGAGACTCCGCCTCAAAAAAAAAAAAAAAAAAAAAAACTTCCCACAACAAACCTCAAAACTCTTAAATAGATGCAGGGACTGTGCGGTATGCAAAACCAACTAGTAAAGGAATGTTAACACCTAGTCCCAGACTCCAAAAATAAAAGTCAGCTGGAAAGCAATGCTGTTTAGCCCTCCACGGAGAACACTGTCCACCTCATTTCCCTGCATTGTTTGCTGTATTTACGTAGAAAAAGAAGTTCCATTCAGGCTGTGGACTCCGCTGTTTAGCCGCATATTATATTTATCGGACACTTTCTACATACTAGGCATTGTGCTTTCTGCGGACATTACCTCACTGAGGCATGCACAGCATCTCCTAAGTGGACACTATAGGTATCTCCATTGTACAAAGCGGACAGTAATCCTTGCGCAAGTTGAGCAGCGTACCCAGGGTCACGAAGCCAATGAGAGGAGCAGTGGGATCTGAACCTCTTTGGGATTCTAGAGAGGGAAACTGTAACTACTATACAGAGCTGGTGGCTGGTGCCCTGGGAAACCCTTCACCGGCTTACAAGACCAGATGAGACTGAGATATAAAGGAACTAATTCCATTCCCACTGTTGGGAAATAACATGTGCCATTCTCATGGGACATCTGAGAGCTATTAATGAATAGGATGTTACACTGACCCATCTCCACAAGGGAAGACAACAAAAAGGAACAAACTGTGTAAGTTTTATATACTTACATCTGGCAATTTCTGCCTTTCCCGGAGGCTTGTTTATAACATTTTGTAATGCACCATAAATTGAAAATTTTAATTATCCATTACTCTATGTAAACTTTGGTAATCAAACTCCATTTCAAGATGTTCTTGGGGCTGGGTGAAGTAGCTCACGCCTGTAATCCCAGCACTTTGGGAGGCCGAGGCAGGTGGATAGCTTGAAGTCGGGAGTTCAAGACCAGCCTGGCCAACATTGCGAAACCCCCTCTCTATCAAAAATACTATTAGCTGGGTGTGGTGGTGTGCACCTGTAATCCCAGCTACTTGAAAGGCTGAGGCACGAGAATCGCTTGAATCTGGGAAATGGAGGTTGCAGTGAGCCGAGATCACACCCCTGCACACCAACCTGGGAGACAAAGCAAGACTGTCTCCAAAAAAAAAAAAAAAAAAAGTCCTTGGATTCAGACTTCCGTCATATTAGCCACACGCCTCTTCTTGCCAGAGTCCTGCCTGGCTGCAGGTTCAGAATGGCCCGCAAAGTTTCAGAAAACAGAGCTCCAGGCCCCACCCCAACTCTGAATCTAAAATCCTGCTAGTGTGATGGTCATCCGTGGTTTTATAAAGTTCTACAGATGAGTTTAGTGTGCAGCAAGGCTGGACAGTCATTTTAAATTGATGAGTACCGATTGAGCAGTTTGCGATCACTAGAGTTCATTAGTCATTTCTTTCCTGGATTTGCGGGCAATGGAAGTGGGAGTGGTGCCTGAAGTGAGCTCCTCCCCACCTCGTGGCATCACCTCTTCAGCAGAACAAGGCTTGTCTGTGATGTACATAAAAACGCTCTTTCTCATGCTATTTCACTGCATTCCGCTTTTCCGCTTTAAATCTTTACAGACGTGAGCCACCACGCCCAGCCTATTTATGTTTGAGAGGCCCAGGCTGGAGGATCACTTGAGGCCAGCAGTTTGAGGAGCGCCTGAGCAACTCAGCAAAACCCCGTATTAAAAACAGCCAGGCATGGTGGTGTGCACAGGTAGTCCCAGCTACTTGGGAGGCTGAGATGGGAGGATCACCTAGCCCAGTTGTTTAAGGCTGCAGTGAGCTGCAATCACACCACCAAACTCCAGCTTGCGTGACAAAGCCAGACACCGTCTCTAAAATTAAAGAAGTAACATTAAAAAAAACTTAGCCGTTTCATGCCACTAGAGGTATTTTCTTTCATTTCAGAGGGAGTTAACAAACCCCACCCCAGCAGTGCCCTTCTCTGCAGTCTTTCTGTCCAACAGTGAGTGGATGATGATTCCAAATTCATCCTCCCAGGGTCTCTTTTAAGCAACTCAACACTTTCTGCTGGCCACACTCAGGCTCAGGCCCGTCCTCTTGCCTGGGTGTTCATTAACAACTCCCTGCCCGGCACACCTGCTTGGCTGCTTCCTGGCCACCCTAGTGCAGAACTACCACACACACCCAGTGCCTGCCACTTTATTTTGCCCTTGGCTCTGAATCTCCCGTGACTGCAGTTTCAGATATGGAATTCAGGGGCAAGTACACTGACTAATGAATGAGTATATAATGGAAGCAAAACTTTACAAGAATAAAGAAAAAAATTCCCAAAGTAGCAATTTTAGAAATTTAATCGGGAAGATTATCAAATAGCTGGTCTTTCAGACAGATGAAACATTAAGCACTTATACCTACACGGCCTTTCTCTAGCTATGAGAACTCGGCCAACCACACCCATGCCAGCATCGCCCGGCCTCCCATGCGAACAGAGCTGGGCTCCACTTGTCTTGTCCACTTGTTTCCTCTGTCCTGCATCATGAACTTTTGCCACCACTTTGCCTGACCCAAACTTAATGCACTTTATTAATAGTCAACATGACTCAGGCTCTAGTACTGTGCTCCTTCAGGACCCAGCTGGGACTGAACCAGGCTACCTGGTAAAAGCGAAGGGAAGCCGGTTTAAGACTTGTCTCTGCCTCCTCTATGCTTTGAAGAAGGATTCACAGGTTTTGCTGGGGATGACAGGAAATTCAACTGAAATGGAAATTTACCCACATTAATTCCACACCTGATAACAGGGACATACCCTAAAGATGGGAAATTATGGGGAAAAATTTTCAGGTACAGCAGCTGCATACTGGAAGAGAGACCTGTAGCATTCTAGTTGTGTTTCAAATCAGCGTCCAGTTGGAGAAACACTTTGTCTCCTAAGATTTAAAGTAGGAAATTAGAAATAAATACTGACAAATACCTGACAGTCTCAGTGTTAAGGTAGTGTTATTTTTTTTAAAGTTCTGATGCAAGAACACCCACTGAGAGCAGCCAAAATCTGGGACCTTGGCTATGCATAATGCCAAAGAGAGCCAAACACACCAAGCGATGAGCCACTTACCTCAATGAACATGTCTTCCACAAAACAAGCATCCAGTGCCTTCAACACAGGCATACGTCAAAAATTCCTGGTCCAGGGTGAAAGCCCAGTAGGCATCCACAGGCTGGTTCTCAGTGGATTCATTTGGATTAAGGTTAGTCATTAAAAGGGAGGATAACAAATAAGCTATCTTCTTAGGGTTTCTTCTCTTGTTCTTTGTACTACAAATTACTTGGTGATGTATGTTTTCACGCAAGGAAACAGGCCTAGATAAGAAACCAGGGTTATGAAAATCAGAACTTCTCCTCTACTCTCCCTGACACCAAAGGTTTTCCAACGTCTGGTCAACAGACATCCCTAGCAGATTTTTAAGAAATCTGAATGAAGTCTGGGTATACCGAAGTCACGCACGGCTTTTGTCCCCATTACATTTTCAAACTTCCTTCATATATAGCAGTAAGACCAAGTCATGTATTTGGAATGAACCATCTGGTCTATTACATACAGTCTACCACTATAAAAATGGACATAAAAATGAGTCTTGAACTTGTATTCTGTCTATGGGGATACCACCCAGAATGCACCGGATCGCATCTGAACCTGCATTCTGCGACTATCAAAATAAAGGCAGGCCCAAAGGAAACTGAGAAACTGGCCTAGAACTGAGTGCCTGCTATCTCGTCTTCGTGTGTATTTTGATTATGTATCTCCCTATTGGAAGAACAGAAAAGTTCAACACCACAAAAGCTGGGAAGCAGTACAGGGGCAAACTCAATGGTCACTTGTGAGCCTAACATAATTACTGAATCTTTCATGATTTTTTACATGTAGTTTTAAATAAAAATGTCGGTTTTTTTTTTTCAGCCCAATATCCATGTGCCTAGGTAAAATTCTCACACCCTAAGAAGAAAACTAATGGAAGTTTTCCTTTCTTACATGTGGTTAACTTCAACTTTACGCAACCAACCTTAATTTTACAGATTCACGCTTAACTTTTAAATAAGCATCTTGCCTCTCGAAAGCCACCTTAATATATACTGAAGCAGGTGAATTTGTAAAAAGAGAAGACTTTAGGTTAGCAATTGAATCACAGTGGCAAGAATTCTAGAATTCTGATATGGCCCCGTACGAGGAGTTAGGGAAGGAAGAATGAGTATTCGTATTCCTTCCTTCATCCAAGCACGTCAAAGCATATCAGAGAAAACCATCAGACCCTCACATCCAGTCGAAATGCTACCAACTAAAATATGAGCATTTTGAATCACAAAATTATGTAAACATTCAAATAAAAAAATCAATGTGAAAAATCAAAATGATCTGTTAAACCTCCAATTTTTACTTTCAGAGATTGCTGATGCCTATGTCAATGTATCTCAAATAGTTTCCTTTTTACACATTTAACTCAACTTTGATACTATACCTACCAGACCTGGACCAGTTTAATTGCATAGGAAGATTTTTACTATGTTTACATTTTTCTTAAATTAATTTTTAAAAAAGCATAGTAAAGAGTCTGAGGACAAATTATTCAACTGTTTATCATACATAAGACCGCATGACTATAATACAAAGGGGGGTTCTTTTTTCATTTAACGTTACAATATACACAGCAAGTCCGGACTAGATCTTACAATCTGAACACAGGTATTTAACCTTTTCCATGCTGTTTATGTTTACAATGCACAGAAGTCCTGTAACCAAACTGTGTAGTAAAGCACACAAAACTGGACTGTAACATAACACAGTATGCAGAAGCATTGGATTTTATGATTTTCTTTACGTAAATATCGGTTTAAAAACTGCTTTAGTTTTTTGGTGCTTGCTAAGATGTGGCAACCAGCACAGAAAAAAAAAATGACCTGACCCATATGATATCTTAACCTTATATTCCTAAACAGCAGTAACTACTGAATTCCTTTTGATATTGCTATACTCAAGATGATATCCTTTTATTCACTGTAAACCTTTATGAACTACCAAGTTCAAAAAAATCATCCACAGGCTTGACAGTTAATTACAAAATAAATATGGATTTCCTGATAAACAACAAAAAGTTTTTGTAGTTTATAAAAACGAGTATTTCCAAGTTTCCATTCACATTTACATAGTGTTTAGCCTTTCTTTTCTCACTGTTTACATATAAAAACCTGCTTTTGTTCAGAAAAAAAATTGACCTAGTCAGCCACATGGAATTGACCAATAGAATGAAACGCGGTGTTCTGCTGAGTCATCTTAAACAGGTTATCGGCAGAGGTAGATTACTGCTTCTTTTCTAGGCTTCTTTTGATCCTGGACAGGTAAATTACTTATCTTCATTCTCCCAATTCAACCGCTCAAAAGTGTCACACCCCAAAATTGGTCAATTTAAAATGGGAACACAAATTTAGCAACTGCCAGACTGTGTTACATTAAGGCAGCGTAATCTCAACACGAGGCACCTGTTAAATACCAGCCTGTCTGCTCAGGTCACGCATGAGAGTTCTGCTTTGCTTGCACTCATACTCTGGACCTGTTGGTGCAATCAAGGTCTTGCTTTCAAGTTTACAAGTAGGTTAATCAGGAATACAAGAATCAACTGCTGGTTCCATAGCTTCTGGATCCAGTGTCCCTTTACCTTCAGAAGCCTGAACACACTTAGAATGTAACAGATGTTGTAATCTTGAATTAGATGTCAATCTACTATGTTCAGTACACAGATTGCTGTAAATGTATTGGCTATGGATTCAACAACAGTTCCAGTTTTGTTTAAGCAATAGTACAGCCATAATTTTCAACTGACATTTAAAAATGGTCTAGTTACACCTTGTGTCAAAGTGCAGAACTGCTACATTATTGGTTACAGACATCTATGTGCTATAAAAACAGCTTTGGTACAATAAATTATCAAAAAAGAAAATAAATTTTTGTAAAATTCACAGCATAATTGTGAGGCAAAAAAGCAGTCACATAAAATTCTGCATTTTTTAAAAATGTTCAGGATGAACAGAAGACATCTTTGTGCAGAAGAAATGGTGGAGATACCACGTGCCGAGAAAAAGCAAAAGAAAAAGTAAAAAGCAGGAAGGGACACAGCTGTAGCTATTTCCATCAAAGCAAACCACTACTTCTGTGACCTTCAACCAATAAGGAAGTCAACTTTATGACACACGCAAAGTGACCTTGCAATACCTTACAATTAGTGGGTCACAAAAGTCTATTTTAAAAGAAAGGCCTCTTGAATTACCCATTCTCTGTGTTTTCAGCATTAAGGACTGTCTGCAAAAGCATGTCCAAAAGTGATTGCATCTGAAATGGTAGGCTCTTCTAATTTCGAGTCCAAATCCATAAGGCCAAAGGTTATCCCAAAGACCACCACTCAGACCTCCCCAGGACTGGCCACGACCGACCCGTTGATTGCTTCTCAGTGCACCTTGGTTAGGAGACCAGTCACGTTCCATCCTATCTTCCTGTGGCCTCTGCAACGGGAGAGCCACAGGATCCCATGTAATTGCTGCTTTGCTCCTCAGTAGGTTCAGATAGGAGAGTTCTGATCCCCGCCACTCAGCATGCTTACTGTGCCTGACAAACTTCACCACAACCGTCCCTTTCATACAGCTGAAGATGGTGTTTGTGGAAGCTGGAGGTCCCTCTTCCTTACAGTACTGCATTTCCGTGCCCAAGTGTGTTTAGAGGACTTAAAAACCCAAATTTCCCACCCTCCCACCCAAAACAAAACAGAACAAAACAAAAAAAAAGGGGGATGGGGGGGACAAAAAGAAAAAAAAAAAACACCCTCATGGGGCCCTTTATGCAAATTATGTGCAGTGCCTTTTACTTTAAAATTAGTTGGCAAATGACCAAGACCAACATCTGAATATTAACTTTTGCTGAATAGAAAGACAAAAAAACCCCACTGTGACTGGGATGTGGCAAGTTAAAATGGGGGAGCAAAAAGAGGATACCTCTGAGCTATCCATGAAGATGGGTTTGGACATGGCTCTTTTAAACACTTCAATGTCCCTTTGCAATCTTTTCAAGTTAAAAAAAAAATCAGCTTTGCCCTCTTGTAGCGGTTCAGTGTGTTAATCTCCTCCTGATTCAAGCAGCTTTGCACTTTGTTTTTGGAAAAAAAACACCACTTCTATAAAAACACACAAGAAACAAACTCAAGTTTCAATGTAGTCACGAGCTAGCTACAGGACTCTGTTGCACACAAACTCCTGTCATGGGGGACTCTTCTCTATCAGCCCCTTGCCTCATTGTCAGATGTCCTTCAGTCATGTAATGTGCAGGACCTGTATTAGCAGAAAATTGGTATGTTGGATGTCCAGCTATGCCAGTCTCTTGGCGGGGATTGGAGTAGACGGTCAAATTAACGTCCATAGCTCCATTCTGTCCAAAGTCCAAGGTATTAGCAGCCACTGGGCGATTCTGGTAGGCCTGATTGCCTTGGTTACCAGTAGAGGAGGAAGATGTCGAGGAAGAAGTCGTTGAGGAAGACAGGGATGTCATGGAGTGGTGACTGTGGCCAACCTCCATAGAATCTTGGGTAGAGGAGCTATTCGTTGGAGAATTGTAGACCCTTGGCCTGGTCCGGTTACCCAAGGCTTGTTGTCCATGGTGGTGGTGATGGTGGTGGTGGTGGTGATGGTGATGGGAACTGTTACCATGGTGATGATGCAATGCATTCTGTTGAGGGGCTACATGAAAGGTTGTTTCTTGAACAGGATGAGTTTCAACAGTGACCTGTGTAGGAGCTTCAGTGCCTGACCAACCAAGAGGAGCAGGAAATTGCTGACGCACCTGAAAGAACAGATTTTTAAAAGGATTTTTCAGAGGACTGTTTCCAAGCTTTAATCTTCCATCAAAAGCCATGACACTAACAAACTAGCATCATATTAATCAGGGGGAAACGGTTTTTGAAACTTTTAATGTGTTAAGACAGTTTTATAACACAAAATCCCAAATACATTCAAGGGCAAAAAATTTCATCATGAAAGCTGCAATTTTTAGGAAGTTATATCCTTAAATAGGTTCATCTATTTCACTAGCCACTGTCCTTCCTTGGGAGCCCTGTTTATGCCAGGGGTCAGCAAATATTTCCTGAAAAGGGCTGGACAGTATTCTGGGCAGGTCCAAAAGGAAGTCTTTACTTTTCCCTCATGTCCTTCCTCTCTCCATCTTTCTTCTTTCAATAAAGGACTACTATCTACCTAGCTGCTCAACAATGCCTCTGTCCAACCCATGAGCAAGAACTTATGAGTCTACCTGTGAAACAGATTCCAAATTTGGCCTCTTCTCTTCATCCCCATCATCTCTTGCCTACGCTAACACAACAGCCCCTTAAATGAACTCCTTGTTTCCATCCTTGCCCTTCTCCAAAGGGTAGCAGGAACAATCTTTTCTTAACACAAATCCAATCACTTCCCTATTTAAAATCCTTTAATGACTTCTCACTGCACTTAGAAAAACAAAATAAACCCAAATGGATACAACGATCTGCATCATCTGGCCAATGCCCACTTCTCTAACCTCTTTCTCCACCCATCCTATCCCTGGCTACCTGAGTTCCAAACAAAGAAGACCTGCCTTCCATTCCTCCCCTGGGTCAAAATCTCTCAAATGCCTCAGTGTACTAGTAACACGCTGCTCCCTTCTGCCTAGAAATGTTATTTCTTGGATTTTCTTATTGCTTGGATGTCTCTTTTTCATCGCTTCAGTTCCAGAGCCTTCCCTGACCACTCTGGCTGATGCTGCCTCAACAACTGTGGCAGAAGCTACTGGTTGTGCACAATATTCTTCTCGTTCCTGAGCACATGGCTACACAACACTTCCCAGCCTCCCTTGTACTTACTGATGGCCATATGTCTAAGCTGTCAATGGAATGTGAATGAAAGCTTGTGTCACTGCTAGCCTGGCACACAAGATAATACCTCCCAAGTCCTTCTGCCTGCTGGACACAGTAGACAAGTAGGCCCTAGGGCAAGGTGGAACCACAAGATGGTAGGAGATCAGGACCTGGAAGACGGCCTAGCCACTAACCTGAACACCTATTCTGGACTGTTGCACAAAAATGAAGGAAACTTGGTACTCTTTAAGCTACCATATTTTGGGGGTCTGTTATATCAGAGTTTGGCCTATTCTAATTAATACATCCTATCCAACAAACAGTCTTTCTCTACCAAATTATCCTTATTTTCTTTTTAACAGCTAATGCTACTTGCCATTTTTCTTCATGTTCATTTTATTTACTTGTGTCACTGTAAGCTCTAGGAAGGCAAAAGGCTCAGTCTCTATCCAGTGGCTGGCACAAATTGTTAAGGGTTTATTCAACAAAGGTGGTCTGAGAACCAAACTTTTAAGAGATACTACTGAAAACAATCAGTAGAAAAGCTGGCAGTGAGTTCTCAGAAAATACTATATGGTTTTTATATGAAGTTAATCAAGTTACTGGATTAGAAAATCACATGGGGGGCAATCTGGCAATAGTTATCAAAATTATAAATCACATTACCCTTTGAAACAGTCATTCTGCTTTCAGGAATTTATATCACAGATAAAATGTCTATGTGTGAATGAGACATGTACAGTGGTGCCTCCTTATCCACAAGAGATACAGTCCAAGATCCCCACTGGATGCCTGAAACTGCAGAGGACTAAACCCTCTATATACTATGTTTTTTGATCTGATAATCTAGATGGCTACAAAGCAAAGTAACTTATCTACTGTGTGGACATGCTAGACGAAGGGATGAGTCATGCCCAGGGTGGGACAGCATGAGATTTCATCGTGCTACTCATAACAGAATTTAAAACTTACGAATTGCTTCTGAAATTTTCCACTTTATATTTTTGGACCGTGACTGACTGAATAACTGGAACTGTGGATAAGAAGGGACACTACCGTACAGGGTTATTTATTAAACTACCATTTGTAAATAGTAAAAAAGGTTGGAAATGAACTAAATGTCCATTAATAAATAGGGGACCGGTGGCCAAGACGGCTCACATCGGTAATCCCAGCAGTTTGGAAGGCTGAGGTGGGAGGATCACTTCAGCCCAGGAGTTCAAGACCAGCCTGAGAAACATAGTGAGACCTCACTGCAGGGTGTGCTGGGACACAATCATAGGCCTAGTTACTCAGGAGGCTGGGGTGGGAGGATCACTTGAGCCCAGGTGCTCAAGGCTGCAGTGAGCTGTGATGACACGAGTGCACTCCAGCCTGGGCTAAAGAGCAAGACCCTAGCTCTAAAAATAAATTTAAAAATGAATAAACAAACAATAGGGGAATGGTGAAAAGACTTATGGAATATCTAAACAACGGGATACTGTGCAAATAAATAAAAGAATGAAAAAGCTCTCTATTTACTGATATACAGAAAGTGCTCCAAAATATATGTCAAGACTAGAAAAACCAAGATGTTCTGAAAGCGTTTGCCTGGTATGGTACTATTTGTGTACAAAGGGTGGATGAAGAATATGTATTTGTATTTGCTTGAATATGTATAAAATATCTCAAAAAGTATACAAAAAACTAATAAACTAATAACACTGGTTTAGAAATTGAGGGGCTAGAAGGCATGGAAGGAAGGAAAACCTTTCGCTGAATTCCCTTTTATATTTACTTATTTTTAAAACCATGTGACTATATCAACCACTCAAAAATTAAGTAACAAAAAAGGATTTGAAGCAAAATCTTGACCTCTGTGAAATCCAGGTGGGAAGAACGCGGTGTCTTATGCTACTCTTGTATGTGTTTGCGGTATGGAATAGATCTGGAAGAAAGAAAGGGAAGAAGACAAGACAGGCGGATGGTCTAAAGATTTAGAGAGAGCCCCTGGGAGTAGTGATACTTAAGACCTGAAGCATAAATAGTAGTTACCAAAACAAAAGGAGGAGGAAAAGAGTGTTCCAGGCTGAGAGCACAGGAAATGTAAGAAAAGTAAGAGAGAATGTGGCATATTACACAAAGTGAAAAATGAATTAGTGTGACTAGGGTGAGTGAAGAGGAGAAAGAATGGCCTCGGTGGGGACCAGATCCTGGAAAGCACCGACGCCTTGATAATAAGTCTACATTTCACTTCAGGTAGAAGGGCAAGTCAAAACTGGTTTAAAGTAAGGAAAACAGGCCAGGTGCAGTGGCTCATGCCTGTAATCCCCACACTTTGGGAGGCCGAGATGGCCAGATAACCTGAGGTCGGGAGTTCATGACCAGCCTGGCCAACGTGGCAAAACCCCGTCTCTACTACAAATACAAAAATTAGCCAGCATGGTGATGTGCGTCTGTAATCCCAGCTACTCAGGAGGCTGAGGCAGGAGACTCGCTTGAACCAGGGAGGCGGAAGTTGCAATGAGCAGAGATTGTTCCATTCCACCCCAGCCTGGGCGACAGAGCAAGACTCCGTCTCAGCAGGGGAGAAAAAAAGTAGGGAAAATAGCAAGAACAGACCACTTTAGTGAAAGCTCACTTGGCTGCAGGGAAGAGAATGGTGCTGACAGGTGAATGGAATGAGACACTCCATTCTAATAAGACAAGTCATAACAATGAGGTAAAGTGAAAGGTGGAGAATAAAAACGTATTAAGATGTGGTGAATCCAGATAATTTACTGTCTGATTCAGTGTGGGGAAAGAGGGAGAGAGGAGTGCCCCCAAATTTACAACTTGAGCAAATGGGTAAATTTAGGGCCATTTTTACAAAGAATGGCAAAAGTAGAAGCGTTGGGAAGGAAGTGAAAATGATGACTTCAGTTTATGTGCTGTGTGTGCACATATTGTTGAGACTTTCAAGGTGACATTTATAGTAAACAATTAGAAAGGCCCCAGGGGTTCAGAAGTGAAGTCTAAGTCAGAAGTCAAGACTTAGGAGCAACTAGCATGAGGATGGTGACTGCAGGCCCTGGCAGGTGTGGCTGAAATCATCCAGGAAACATTAAGCGGAGTAGGGAAGGGACACAGGTCATGCCTCGAGGAACACCCAGGTTTCAGTGCTGGGTAGAAGAAAAAAAACGAAACAGACAGTGAAGGAAAGGGCAAAGAAAAGGGGTGGGGGGAGGGAAAGAAGAACATCCTGCCAAGGAAACCAGCAGTGAGTGTTTCAAAGAGTGGGGAAAAGTCAACACTGCCAAATGAAGTTGTAGAATGCAGAAAGACAGCATTAGGGTGTCCACTGGACCCATGAATAAAGGTCACCGCTGACACCGGCAGGAGAGTTGGAGGGCAGGACCTAAGTGGAACAAGCAAAGAGGTCTTCAGGGTAAAGAGACAAAGACCACAGGTAGCAGAAGTATAGGGAAAGAAAGGGGGACACGCAAAGGTGCTGCTTAAGATGGGAGAGGCCTGAGGATGAGGAAATGCTGATCAACAGAAAAAGCCAAAAGAGGAGAGAGTGAAGACACCGGAGCTGAGGGAGACCAAAGGGCAAAGCCCCCATGATGGCAGGAGAGAGGGGATCAGGGCAATGAGTGGGCTTGGCCTTAGGCAGAAAGAAACACACTGCTTCTAACAAAAAAGGGGTAGAGGAGAAGTGGACAGTGCACACATAGGCAGGATCATGTATTCAATGTTACAAAGTGGAGAGAGTTCCTGTCTGAAGACTCTTTTCCTTACAAAGCAAAGAGTGGGTAAGAACAGAGAAGGGGAGGGCAAAGGTTTCTAAGAGTAGAAAAGTTTGAAACTATTATTAAAGAGAATAGGAGAGGATGGGACAACTTGGAAAACATGTAAGACTGCCCAGCAGAGGTTGGTGAGTATTAACAGTGCTGACAAACAGCTGCATGTGGGATTTTCTCCAGCACCATTCAGCTGCCCTAGTCACAAGAATGGAGAGCACTCTTAATCAACAGCAGTTTACTCATCCATCAAATACTACACTGGCCTCTCACCTTCAAACACCATCACGCAAAACTCGGTATGAACCAACTTACAACTTTATTAGATTATTTAAATATTTTTACCATCACCATCTGCTTCACTCCAATTTTGAAAAAGTACTTAATTAGATCCTCTTCAACAGGTTTAAAAACAGAAAACAAACAAAACAACAACAAAAAGGCTAAAATCAAATCAGAAATTGATTCAGAATCCAGGACTATAAATGCTAAAAAATCATGGGAGGAAGCAGAGTCGAGTCATTCAGATCATGACCCAGGGAAATTTACTTAGCCCATGAAGTCTCAGTTTCCACTGTAAAATGGGAATCAAAAAAGCATGAGGCTCAAAACGCTGCTTTGGTAAATGAGATAAACACAGGAAAAAAACTGTTCAAAACAACAACTGTTATGCCCCCAATAAGTGTTAGCCACTTCTAGACAAGGAGGAGGAAAACTGCAAGAATGTGCTTCTCTATGATAAATACTTACATTTCCTTAGACAGGAACGTCATGAACCTCTAGGGTAAATGATACGGTCATTCTAAAGGCACCTGGCATCCAGTGCTGCTCCACCTGAGAATGGCAGGTGACACAAGCAAATGAACCACGTGCGAGCTCACCTGGGGACTGTGTGTCTCGCAGTCCATGGCCTGCACGGCAGCTGTGAAGTGCCCACCACTGTGCCGATGCTGGTGCGTCGGATCCGACCGGGCTCTCCCACTGTTGCTTGTCCCCGATGAGCCACCTGAAATATCACAACACAAAACAATACAACTGTGAGTTTAAAATTCATTTTGTTCAAATTTATACTCTGAAGCTATACCATTAAAACTGAAAGTACTCACACACACACATACAAAATCTCTAATATTAACTTGAAAGTATATCACAAAGTCTTCATATTCTCTGACTAAAACCAGGTTCTCTCTCGTCCACCACTTAACTAAAATACAATGAAGTCTGGTTAAGGTAGGGGAAAACTCAAGCAATGTGGACAAAAATTCCATTTAAGAAGTAATTTAAAATGCTGGTTAGTAAACAGATTTCCAACTGCCAAGCAGATTTTATTACATGCGTAACTAAATATTGGAGCTTTGGGGGAGATGAATTTACTACTAACTACAAAGAACAGATTTAAGTAAAGTAACTGCTCCCCACTCTATTAACAAATTTAATCAACACTTTAAAATAATCCCACTTCATAAAGAAAACACAAAACATTCCCAAGCCTAATCTAACCGCAGCAGCACAGACCTGAGCTTGACGATGTACTGGAGGTGGTGCCCGAAGACTGAGACTGCTCCATGGCGGGGCTTGTAGATACACTATTACTTGTATTTGTACCTTCATCAGCTGTTTTCTTGAAGAAACTGTGCTGCAGAGCATAATAAGGTTGAATTCGAGTTTTGGGGTCATAATCAAGCATCCTTAAAATGAGGTCTTTGAACTTCAAGTAGTCAGCGACCGTATGACCTGACTCCCCAGCACGTCGCCCACCAGGTCCTCCTGTTTCCACTCCAAGAATGTTATGAAGTTTACGGGTTCCTGGTGGTTTGTACTCCTGTAAGAGAGAAGATGAAAGGCTTTCTCTAAATTTGGTGGAATACGTAAACACTCACATAATTGAATTTCAAATATGTTTAAATATATATGTTGAGGCCTTTATTAAAAAGGACACTTCATAGTTAAATCCTCTGCCTTTTCACACATTACTATCCCAAATGCATGGTAGTTACAGTTCAACATTAATTCTGAGACCAAAAATGGCTATAAAGATCATTTAGCCCAGGGGTCAGTAAACTATGGCCTGATCCAGAGCCTGGTTTTCTACAGCTCCAGCTACAAATGGTTTTTCTGTTTTCAAAGGTTGTAAAAACAAGCAACCAAAAACAAAAAATATGCAACAGAGGTCCACAAGGCTAAAAGCATTTTCTCTCATCTTTTACAGAGAACATGCATGCCCCTGCTCACCCTGGCTGGGAGCCTCTTTCCTACCTAACTGTGCACCCGCAGCACCTGTTACACTTCCTTCAGCAACAGCAGCCCAAGAAAGCTATGGCAATGACACCAAGGATGTTCTACATAAAAAGGCACTGGCCTAACCCTACCTGCTCATGGTAGAAAAAGAGAAAATTATGTATGCTTCCCTTTAGAAAATCTATGTAATAATAAACTAACGTGTGTTGAGATTTCCTGAAAACTCATTTTTGACAGATAATACTATAACCCTCAAGATCTCTATAAATATTGAATTTAAGAATAGCATCACCAGACTTTGACTTCTGTTACAATGCAGAAATGTGTGAGATGATTGTTCCTCCTCTAATAAGTCATAAAATCACTGCCTTTTAAAGACCCATCAGAGAGCTGTATGAGGATCCAAAGTTGGAACAAAAATCTCCTGAATTCTACAAAATGAAAAGCCTCTCCTGGAAGAGACCTGCAGTGGGAGAAGGCGCAAGTAAGCCACAGATGAGCGAGAAGACTCCAGCCCAAGTCTGAACCAACTTCTGACGGCCAGGAGTGGACAGACAGAAGGATGGGGCAGTACAGCAGGAGGAAGGCGATCTCCCAGGCACAGAGAGTTAGGAGTGGGGCTGCTGACTGGGCAGTAATGTATAGAGACCACTAGATTTTCCCTGATTCTAAAGACACAAACACTGCTGAAGGGAATGTCCTGATCCCAGCTCAAAACATATGAAAACAGTGGGGAGTAGAATCTAAGTCAAACAAGCAAAGCCCAGAGTCAGCTAAGCTACAAAAGAGATCAACTCAGCCCCACATGAGGGGCCTGACAGAGTTGAGAGGCCTCTTTCTGAGGGAAAATATGACTCACTTCCATCTTTAACTGTTCTTAAGCAAAGAAAATTTGTCACACATTTAAAAATTACAAACATTTTTTAAAAATGACGTCCACAATCACATGAAAGAAAAAAACCCAATAGAAGATACACATAAATAAATGGTGCAGATGTTGAAAATAGCAGACTGGAACTTTAAAATAATTATGATAAATTACTTCTGATAAATTATGATAAACAATTTAGTTCAAAAGTGGACAACATATGAATAGATGTAGAATTTCAGAAGAGAAAAACTATATTTAAAACAAAATAGAAATGCTAGAACTAAAAAATATAGGCTGGGCTCATGTCTCTACACCCAGGTTGAGGTGGGAAGACTGCTTGAGTCCAGGAGTTCAAGACCAGCCAAGGCAACATAGCCAGACCCCGTTCCTACAAAAAATTTTAATAGCTGGGTATGGTGGTTGCACCACTCCTGTAGTCCGAGCTTCTTGGGAGGCTGAGGTAGAAGAACTGCTTGAGCCAAGGAAGTCAAGGCTGTAATCAGCCATGATCACACCATTGCACTCTAGCCTGGGTGACAGAGTGAGAACCTGTCTCAAAAATAACAATAACATCACATGAATCCATTTAATGGATTCAACAACAGACTGGACTCAGCACAAGGAAAAAAAAGAAATCAGTGAACAAGAAGACAGAAAAAGAAATTATCCAAATTAAAAACACAAACAGAAAACAGAATGAATAAACCAGACAGAGACCTCTGGGATAATATTCAGCACTGTAACATACACATCACTGGAGAACTAGAAGAAAGACGAAAGCAGAACAAATATTTGGCAAGACTGTATCTGAGGATTTTCAAAAACTGATGATAGAGATCAACCCACAGATCCAAGAAACTCAGTGAACTCCCAGGAGAAAAAATACAAAGAAAATCATACCTAGGTAAATAGTCAAACTGCGGAAATCAAACAAAGAGAAAATATTAAAATCAGCCAGAGGGAAGAGGGGGAAAATATTATATGCAGGGGAACAATGCTAAGAATAACCACTGACTTCTCTACCGAAACAGTGTAATCCAGAAAAAAAGTCAATACATCTTTAAGCTATATCGTAACATCTTTTTCTTTCACTGAAAGAAAGAAGTTAATCTATAATTCTATATTCACTGAAAATATCTTCCAAAAAATAAAGGTAAACAAGTATTTTCAGATCAACACCTGCTGAGAGAATTTATCGGGATAGCTTATTCATTACAAAATAAAAGTTAAAGGAAGGTCTTGAGGCTGAAGAAATAATACCAGATGGAAGCTAGGAATTGCAAAAAGGAATGAATAACACCAGAAAAGAGCAAATATAAGGATAAATATAAAAGATCTATTATCCTTATTTTATGTCTTTTTAAATTTCTTTTTTGTGTTAAATCTATTTTTTATTTAAACAGCCAACAATGTGTTGTGAGGTTTATAACATGCAAAAGTAATACAACAAGTGCACAAGAGGTAGATAGAATCACATGGTTATCACACTGTTTAACAAGCAATATATTATTATTTGAAGGTAAACTAATGTTAAACGTGCATATTATAAAAGGAACACTAAACATGACACATAGAGGAATAAGTAAAAAAATCAGTACAAGAGATAAAATAAAATGCCAAAAAGTATTCAACAAACCTCCCCGCAAAAGGCAGGAAAGAAGGAATAGGAAACAAAGAACAGGAAAGACAAACAGAACACAAATAAGACAAGTCTTAAACCCAAAACTCTGAATAATGGGTTAACCACTAACAGACTAGATTAAAAAAACGACTTGATCATATGTTGCACACAACACAAAAATAATTCTTTAAATATAAAGGTAGGCACAGGTTTACAGTAAAAGGGTAAAAGTGTGTGTGTGTGTGTCTACACATGTTGCATATTTTTCTTCATATCTTTCATATCTACACACACACACCATGAAAATATCAAGAATAAGAACACTGGTAAGACTATAGTGATATCGGACAAAGCAGACTTAAAGACAAACATGACTAGAGACAAAGAGGGACATTTCAGGATGATAAAAGGGTCAATTTATCAATAAGTCGTAACAATATCAAACATGCATATACCTATTAACAAAGCTTCAAAAACCATAAAGCAATGTTACAAAGGGAGTCTAAGACAAATCCAAACTTATCAATGAAGACTCTTCTCTCAATTACTGACAGAATATACACAAATACACACAAAGATATAAAAGATATGAAGAAAAATATCAAACAATTTGATCTACATTGATAGCTGGAGACCACTACGCCAAACAAACACAAAATACAATTCTTATCAAGCACACATAAAACATTCACAAAGACACATTAGATGCTAGGCCATAAAACAAGTCTCGATTTTAAAGGACTAAAATCACGTTCTGTGACCAAACTGCTACTAAACTAGAACTCAATAAGACATCTAGAAAATCCTCAAATATTTTGAAATTATGTAACAAAATTCTAATGACAGGTTAAAGAAGAAATCACAAGTTAGAAACATTTCAGAATGACTGTTAAAACATATAAAAAGTGGCCGGGTGTGGTGGCTCATGCCTGTAACCCCAGCACTTTGGGAGGACAAGGCAGGTGGGTCACGAGGTTAAGAGATCAAGACCATCCTGGTCATATGGTGAAACCCCGTCTCTACTAAAAATACAAAAATTAGCTGGGTGTGGTGGTGGGTGCCTGTAGTCCCAGCTACTTGGGAGGTTGAGGCAGGAGAGTTGCTTGACCCTGGGAGGCGGAAGTTGCAGTGAGCCGAGATCACACCACTGCACTCCAGCCTGGCAACAGAGCGAGACTCCGTCTTAAAAAAAAAAAAAAAAAAAAAAACCAACAACAACAAAAAAAACATATAAAAAGCTGCAGAATGCAGCTAAAGCAGTGCTTGGAGGGAAATTTATACCATTAAATTCTATAGTAGCAAAGAGGCTTAAAAATTAATGATCTAGTTTCCACCTTTAAGAAGCTGGAAAAGGAGTAAATTCAACCCAAGTAAATGGACATAATGAAGAGCAAAAAACAGAATAGAAACTAGATCAAGAATAGAAAAAGAAAAGAAAAAAAAAAGAAATCAACAAAGTCAAAAGCTGGTTGTCTGCAAAGATTAATAAACTTGATCAACCCTGAGGCAAGACTACTTGCGGAAAAAACAGAAAGTACAAATGGCCAATATCAGGAATAAAAGAGAGACTATCACTACAGATTCTCTAGATATTAAAAAAAAATTATAGTAAAATATTATTGATAAGTTTACGCCAACAAATTCAACAATTTAGATGAGAAAGAAAAGTTTCTTGAAAGATACAACTTACCAAAACTAACTTAAAAAAAATTTGGATAACCATATTTTCATCAAAAAACATAAATTATAATTAAATAACCTTCTAACAAAAAATGTCGCAGGTTCTGAAGGTTTCATCAATGACCTCTACTAAACATCACAAAAGAAATAATGCCAACCAATCATATACAAATTTTTTCAGAAAATCAAGAAAAAATATTTCCTAATAGTTTCACAAGTCCAGCACAATCCTAAAATCAAACCCCAATGATGGTTTTATTAATAAAATGTTATGCAAATATCCATTAATGACATAGAAACAAAATTCCTTACCAAGAGATTAGCAAATTGAACTGAGCAATATATATAAGGGAATAGTATATCAAGGCCAAGTGTAGGTTATCACAGGGTGGGGCTTAACATTCAAAAAATTAATGCATTTTACCACAAAACAGGAGAAAAATCATATGATGATCTCTATACGTGCAGAAAAAACATGACAATATTCAAAACCCACTCATGATATTAAAAAAGCAAAAAAGACATACAGTTGAAAAAACAAAACTGTCTTCATTCATGGAGCATTAAGACTGTTTAAGTACAAAGCCCTATCAAATTTCAACAACAAAAATACAGTCATCCCTCAGTATACGCAGGGGGTTGGTTCCAGGACCCCCCCAAATATGCTGAAATCCACACATACTCAAGCTCCACAAGGAGGCCATGCGGAACCCACATATGTGAAAAGTTGGCCCTCATACACAGGTTTCACATCCAGGGAATACTGTATTTTTGATCCACATTTGACTGCAGATGTGGAACCTTCAGATACAGAGGGCTGACTCTATTTGTCAGAAAAAAATGTGCATACAAGTGGACCTGTGCAGTTCAAACCTGTATTGTTCAAGGGTCAACTGTACTAGAATAGGTGAATTTAGCAAGGTCTTAGGATACAAAATCAATATACAAAAATCAGTTGTATTTCTGTATACCAAAAATGAAAAATTATGAAATTATACATTTTAAATGCCATTTAAAATAGCATCTAAAAAATTAAAAACTAAGGAATAAAGTGAACAAAATATGTAAGACTTCTGCATTAAAAACTATAAAACACTGCTGAGAGATTTTAAGCCCTAAATAAATGGAGAGATAACCCATCTTTACAGAGTGGAAGACTTAATATTGTTAAGATGTCCATTTTCCTGAATGCAATCCCAACTGCAACCCAAATCAAAATGCTAGCACCATTTTTTTGGTAGAAATTTACAAGCTGATTCTAAAAATCCATATGTGAAAAGAAAGGACCTAGAATAGAAAACATATCAACAGGGTAAAGTAATTGCTTTCAGCAAATGCTGCTGTAACTACTAGGTAAGCATATGGAAGAAAATGAACTTCAACCCCTTCACCCTGTTCCACGCTCAAAAATTAATTCAAGATGGACCACAGAATCCTAACTGTAAAAGCAGACTAAAAAATAAAAATAAAAAACTTTTAGAAGAAAACACAGAATATCTTCACAAACTTGGAGATGGCAAAGATTTTTCAGGATAAAAAAAGTACCAAACAAAAAAAGTTGACAAATACAACTTCATCAATATTAAAACTCCCTATTCATCAAAAGATACCATATTAAGAAAGGAAAAGGCAAAGCCACAGTCTAGGGAAATACACTGACATACATGTGACAAAAAACTTAATGACAAAGGACTACTCAATTATTAAACAACCCAGTAACACAAGCAAAAGATGGGAAAGACCTGTGACAAAGAATATGTATGAAAGGCTAATAAGCATATGAAAAGGTGGTATTAGCCATGAAGAAATGCAAATGCAAACCACTACATATCCACTACAGAATGGCTAAAACCCAACAGACAAACCATACAAAATGGTGAGGATGTCACGCAACTGGAACCCTCATACATCATGGGAATATAAAATAAAACAACTTTGGAGAACTGGTGTTTTCTTGTGAAGGTAAACACATACCCCATGACCTGGCAATTCTACTCTTAGACTGTGCTGTCAGAGAGATGAAAACATATGTATAAAAGACTGTTCCCTGCAGCCTTATTCATAATAGTCCCAAACTGGGAACAAACCAAATGACCACTGACAGGTGAATATAAATTATGGCATGTTCATTCAATGAAATATGTTGAAGCAATAAAAAAAAATTAATTCCTGAGACATACAATATTGATGATTTTCCAAAAACAATACATTTGCTGAGTGAAGAAAACCCAAAACTAAACAATAAATACTATAAGGCTCCAATTATACTAAGTTTGCCAATGAAAAAGCAAAGCTAGTCTTTGATGATAGAAATCAGAAAGTAGTGGGATAACAGAAAAGGTCACAAGAGGATTTGGAATGATAGAAATCTTTCATATTGGTTTAGATGGGGGACACTGCTGTACACAAAGGTGAAAACAAACTCAACACTTAAAATATGTATCTTATATAAACTGTACTTCAAAAAAAGCATCATTTATTGTCTTCTTCATTCTGCACCTCCACCAGGAAAAAAATATATAGTATTTATTTCATTATTGGAAAACCCTAATATGGGGCTTTTGAAATGTAAAATGAAAAATTAAAAGTAAAAATAAAATCAGTAAACAAACCACAAAGAGATAGCCAATGAAAGTATATGCACATCTATTTGTATCTCTAGTCAAAATTCTTAGTGTACCATTTGTAATGTAATTATTTGATTATGAATTTGACTTTTTGTTACAAAATTTATCTCTTAAAAGCAAAATAATTATTTCATATTTTTAAAAATTAAGTTGCTTAAGTCAATTGCTAAGTGCGACTAAAATAAATCTCATAAAAATCTAGTTAATTCACATGTATTAAATGTATGTTAAGATATCCACTTCCAATTTTAAAAGGGAAAAGACAATCTACTCATTTCTGAAATGCCCCCACCCCAAATAACTAAAAATAGTAATACCTATAGATCAATTTGAAAGAAATGATAGGTCACTGTGGTTTTTGTAAGGCAGAGATTTAGGAGATGGAATGGGATGTTTTATTGAGGAAAAAAAATAGCAGAAGCAAAATATAAATAAATCAATCTGAAATGGAGAAAGCAGCAGCCTGTATCACAGAGAGAGACAACATAAAAAAGATTTAATTTCCTCTCCATGCTAATTCAAACTGGTAGGAACGCCTTTAAATGCTGGTGAAGCTAGTAAGGATTCCCAGACTAAGTTTTTGGTTACATGGAAAATGGGCCACGATTAATGAGCTATGTGGGTAAAGAAAAAACAAGAGCCCAGGAGGTCTCGATGGCATTTTCCATCCTTTCCTTATGGGGAATAGGCATAATTTAGCAGCTGGAAACTGCACTGCCTATAGCTTTAGTGAATATGGCAGAACACAAGAACTTACAAATCAGTTTTGAAAGATACAACTACGTATGTGCTTTTAAATATTCTAAAGAAAATCATCTGATATTAAAAGTTATGACTCCATAGCTGTGTGGAGGTGAATTAAGGCGATCAACCATCATCTTCAGTTCACTGAAAATGACACCTGGTGGCAGCGTCCGCTAAAATACAAGGCAAAATAATAACTGAAACAAAAATAAACTCTTAAATGTTATAAAATGCAAAACTATGATCTCAAGGTGACTTCTGTATGTACATGTGTGTGTGGGGGTCATATTCAATCACATATTTATACATTACATTCATTCAATACTAGGACCAAAGTAAATTACAAAACATGATTATTTACAGATCTATAAAACAAAAGTAAAAAATCAAGATGCAAAATTGGCATCATTTACTCTATTAAACTGACATAGTTTAGGTATCTTTTAAAAAGTCCTCAGATAAAAGAAAATTACTAAAACAAACCAAATGTTTTAAAAACCTCACTTTAAAAGATTTTGGAGATGTGAAATTTTTGCTATCCAAGTCAATGAGCTAGGAATCTGAAGTCTATCAAAGGACCATCTAGTCAGTTAATATCCTTGGAAAAAAATCACATACTACTTAAGCCAAAAATCATCTTCTGACATAATTTACCAACTGAACTTAAAAAAAAAAAATCATTTACTCCAATTGTGACTTCTGTTCACAGCTGCAGTATTAACTGTGACCTCATTACATGCCCAAGCTGTGAGAAACAAAGATCAAATTTATTAATTCTACTGTTGAAACCAAGTATGGTGATGTGATCAGCTGCCTCAAAATGCAGGCATACAGTTTTTAATATGAAGTTTTAAAGATAACTCTGACCATTAATCAAACACTGGTCCATACCTGATAGTTCAGGTCAAACTATACTCAACTTCTGAACAAAATATCTATGTAAGGTATCAATAAAATCGTTAACTGAAACACACTGATTTCAAGTAAATGCAAAATGAGCTATAAAAAGACAGGTATGATAAAGAAATTTAATAAAGGCTCAAAACAGATATATCCTTATTTTACCCGTTTTCCATCTTTGGTCTTCTTTAAGTTCCAAGTGCCATCTGGCAACTTCTCAAAGAACTTTCTTGCTTTTGGTGCTTGGTCAAGAATATGAGCAGGTGGAATACCCAGAACTTCCACTATTTTATTCATCTGATCTACCTGTATTAAAAATAAAAACAACAAAACCTGTAATTTCTACTGTACATCTACTCCTGCTCATCAAGTCATTCATTCATAAATAAATTGCACACCTCCTGTGTGTCTGGCACTCCTCTAGACATCCAGCATACAGTAATGAACAAACACAAGAAAGGCCCTACCTTCCTTGAGTCAAATACCCCACAGAAGGGAAGACAGTCAATTAACAAACATATTATGTCAGGTAGCCATGGATACAATGTTGAACAGTAAGGAAAGATGAGAGGAAGTTTTAAAGTTTCTGTTTTGGGAGAATTTTATTAAAAAAATTTTTTTTATTTACTTATTTTTGAGACAGGGTCTCTGTCACCCAGGCTGGAGTACAGTGGTGCACTCAGAGCTCACTGCAGCCTTGACCTCCTCCCAGGCTCAAGTGATCCTCTCACCTCAGCTTCCTGAGTAGCTGGGACTACAGGCATGTACCACCATGCCCGGCTATTTGTTTTTTAGATGGAGTCTCGCTCTGTCACCCAAGCTGAAGTGCGGTGGCGCAATCTCGGCTCACTGCAACCTCCACCTCCCAGGTTCAGGCAATTCTCCTGCCTCAGCCTCCTGAGTAACTGGGACTACAGGCATATTTTTCAGTAGAGACAGGGTTTCACCATGTTGGTCAGACTGGTCTTAAACTCTTGACCTCAAATGATCTGTCCACCTTGGCCTCCCAAAGTGCTGGGATTACAGGTGTGAGCCACCGTGCCCGGCCCCATGCCCAGCTAATTTTTAAAAGTTTTTGTGGAGATGGGGTTTTACCATGTTGCCTATGCTAGTCTCAAACTCCTGGGATAAAGCAATCCTCCCACCTTGACCTCCCAAAGTGCTGGGATTACAGGCGTGAGGTACGGCACCCAACCCAGTTTTCAGAGCATGTTAAATAACCACACACACACACACACACACACACACACACACACACACACACACACACAAAATCCCAGAGGCTTAATAAAGTATGGACCTAATAAAGTACTTTTTTAAGTACTTTAAATGAGTGTGCCTATTATATGCTAGGAACCATATTCAGTGGTAGAAAATAATAAACAAAACATAAAAATTCCTGCCAAAAAGAAGTTTATGTTATAGTGGGAAGACAGCAAATACATATACACACAAACACACAATTTTTTTTTTTTTTTAATGGAGTCTTGTTCTGTCTCCCAAGCTAGAGGGCAGTGGCGTGATCTCGGCTCACTGCAAGCTCTGCCTCCTGGGTTCAAGCCATTCTCCTGCCTCAGCCTCCCAAGTAACTGGGATTACAGGCACGCAACACCACACTAGGCTAATTTTTCTATTTTTAGTAGAGACGGGGTTTCACCATATTGGCAGGGCCAGTCTCGAACTCCTGACCTCAAGTGATCTGCCTGCTTCAGCCTCCCAAAGTGCTGCGACTACAGGTGTGAGCCACTGCGCCCGGCATTATCAATAAATAATTAAATACATGATGTCAGATGCTGGCTAAGAACTATGGGATGAGGAGAAGGGGTACTGCAACCGTAAGTGGGGTATATGGTTTCACCGAGAATGTGACATCAGAGCAAACACTAACATCAGCAAAGGAGTATCTCAGAAAAGAGCATTTTAGGCACAGGAAGGAAGAAATACAAAGGGCTATGGGCCTGTAGCTGGCGTTTTCAAGGGACCACAGAGTGAGGGGAGAAGGAGAGACCAGGTGGTGGTGAGAGAACTGGCATCAGAGGAAGTAGGAATCTGTGGGTTACTCAAAGGACCTCGGCCTTTACAATGAGTAACATGGCAAAGTTTTTTTAATATTGTTTAAGCCCAAGAAAGATACTAATTTACACAGTAAGATTTATACTAAAAAAAAAAACAAACTATGACAGTTACTATAAAAGAGTAGCTCACCAGTTCAAGTTGAAATGAATTAAAAGGGGCTGGGCACAGTGGCTCACGCCTGTAATCTCAGCACTTTGGGAGGCTGAGACGGGCAGACCACTTGAGGTCAGGAGTTCGAGAGCAGCCTGGCCAACATGGTGAAACATCAACTCTAGTAAAAATCCAAATATTAGCCAGGCATAGTGGCGCTTGCCTGTAATTCCAGCTACTCGGGAGCCAAGATTGCCCCACTATACTCCAGCCTGAGTGACAGAGCAAGACTCCATCTCCGGGAAAAAAAAAAAAAAAAAAAAAGAAGAATTAAAAGGAAGGATGGAAGAAACAAGTTTCTGACACCACCTATTAACAGCTGTGTAATCCGGTACAAGTCATTAATGCCTTTGGCCTTTCTCTTCTCATTTATAAATAGACTGATCAAGACGTGCAAATTGTCAATTTTTCTTTTAAAAAACAAACAAAACCCCACAGGTGTAGTTTTTAAAACAATGAAAGTCTAATTTCTCTGACTGCAGGGAAGTTAAGGCCTGTCCCTGCCCTCCCATTCACTGCCTCTGACCTTGAAAAATCTTCCAGAACACAGACTGAAAACCTGTAGACTTCAGAACTGCACACAGTCTCTGTAGCCCTACAAGTCTATAATCTCGTTTACTCTACATTATTCAGACTGAGTATCCATCAGTCCTACTGATCATTACTCTTCAACTCCAAATCATAATCTCAAAATTTAGAGTGATGTTTGTATCACTCTTCAGGATGGCCTTCATTCTTTATCATCTTTAAGCTTTCTGTATTGTATTTAAAACCTGTAAAATGTATGCCAAAATACTTAACACTTTCTAACTGTTCTCCTTCATGAGTAGATTAAAATATCCTACTCCTATCTCATAATTCTAAACTTACATGACAACTGACAAATATGAAAAATAGGTATATTCAAACTGACCTCACATTTGAATGATTAAGTAGACATCTTTGCCTAAAAACAACTTTTAAATTACACTGTCACAGATGAAAGACAAAAAGAAATTATGAAAACAGAATTTGTAAAGCAATACATCATTTACCTCATTGGCACCACTGAACAGAGGTTCTCCAGTGTGCATTTCAACCAAAATACACCCGAGGGACCACATATCAATGGCAAGGTCATAAGGCATTCCCAGTAGCACCTCTGGAGACCGATAAAAGCGACTCTGAATATACTGGTATATCTGAAATATATTTCAAAATAGTATTACTTCAATTGCTTAAAACTGCAGTCAGCATTGGATTAAAAACATTGATCTGATATTAACAGAAAAGAATTGGCTAATTCCTGAATTAGGGTTCCATTGATTAACTTCAACATTAGACTACGAATACGGCTTAAAGAACTAAACATTTTGAGGGATTGGTTAATCTGACTGTGAAATGCATAATACGTAAAGATTCAAGCCCTTTCATTTAGTCTAATCCTACCTAGTCATCATGATATTTCTTAAAACAATTATGCCTCACTAGGAAAAAAAAAACACTATTGAAAGCAATGTATTTCCCTAATAATTATTTCTTCCTACTATGGCTGGCACTTAGTTTACCACTAACTTTACAACTAAATAGTATTTAAATTAACCCAAACAATGTATTTCTCAGCGTTAAAAGTCAAGTAACTTCAATATAATATAATTTAAAATTCAGATATTTGTACTCTTGCTGTCTCACAGATAAATCCCAGAAACACTGCCACATAAAGATTCAATTGAGAGCTGTCTCTGACCAATAGCTTCTTCTCTCATCTTCTCTCTCTACCTCCATCCAAGACTTCTTATAGAAAGACAATCCTGAAATGGACTATTTTCAATGAAGTAATGTTAGGATGTCTTCAGAGACCAATTTGTTTCACTTATTAAAAGTGGAAAAGAAATAAAATCCTAACTAAATTTCCTAACACCCAAACCATGCAGCCAGAAAGCTCATGAAATTTTCTGTGGTTCCCACTGAAACCTCCAGCCAAGTCTTCGAGAACAATCTCAGGCCTCCACAGGTAGGTCAACCAACCTTAAGGAACTATGAGAAGAAAGTCTAATTTAAAAGAACTGGGAAGAAGTATTACATTTCCATGGTTTTTATAAGCCAATACCATTGTTAACTCCCTAGGCCCAAACACTCACCACTCCTGAGACTTTTATTTCACAGCTTATGCCAAGAACTTTGTCACCTCCCTATCTAATTTGTTTAAAGCAGTTGCTTTCCCCAAAACACACTTGCCCTACCACCTTCTGATTCTAATCCAACAGATCTAGGGGCAGGACCACTGCAGGTCTATTTTAGAAATAACTTCCCATGTGATGCCAATGAACTTGAATAGTTAAAAACTTATTGTAGGGATAACTGGCTCATTTTGGCTAGACAGAAATAATAATGTTTAATATTAGGACAAAATACATAATTTGGCTTAAATAGGGGGAAATTTTCCCAACTCTATAATCTATTCAAATTACTGTCAAGATGGGCATGTATTTTTCATTCACAATATACTCTACCACATATTAACTACGAGCATCTCTTGATTTTTTGAAGGCATCTAAAACTGCAAACTTTGCTCCCTACTCCAATTTTTAAAAATTACTTTAACATTTGATAGCCTCACTACCATGAGAAGTTGCAGAAAATAACAAAAAGACAGTCCTATTAATTGGCTATAAATCCTTATGATTAAATTAATCTGTTATAGTTAAAACCTGGACAAAAGTAGGACGGGACAGAAAATTTCACTAATTTGGAAAAATAAGAAACAGAAAAGTCAGTAAGAAAAATTAACATCTGTATGTTAGCCGGGTTTCTTTAAAACAGAAGAAATATAGTTTCAATACTTAAAGCAAAAAGAATAGTGCTTAAAATGAGTAAAATATTATCAAATGGTGACACTAATTCCTTTCAAGAGGAGACCCCTATCACTTCTATTTTATACATAAAACAATGCTGTTAGAGTAGTTTTCATAATGCTGGAAGAATGACAGGAAAAAACTGCTTTCCTAAATCAGCTAAACTTATCAGCACTACGAACACATCTGTTTTTAGCAGTCTGAAAAAAACCAGCTTGGATATGTGTCAGAATTTATGTAAATTTTAAATAAGAGTGGGGAAAATAAGACAAACTTATTTATCAAAACAAGTAAGTCTATCAACTGAATTTTCTATACTTATACCATGACTAATGCAAAATTACCTGCATTTTTTTGAACCATCAGTTTTTGAGAAAAAAGATTTATCTTGATCCATCTTCAGAGAAGTATTTTACAGCAAAGATTCAATGTTCTAGTACTGGAAAGTCCCAAAATTTATACTAAAACCTTTACTTGGGAAATATAGTTACAAATCCCCTAATATTTAATCATTCCATCTCCTATTCTCTCCCTTAATCTTTTAGCATACATACAATTTTAAATATACCCATTTCAAAAAAATCAATGTCTTTTGACTCAAAGTATTGCTATTTGCATTTTAAAAGGTATTTCCCCAAAATAGATATCAACACAAGGTAATTAAGTGCTACATTTTAAAGATAAATAAGCATCCTGTAATTGCCTCTAAATGGTATACACCTTATTAACATTTCAAATATCTATTAGGTTGGCGCAAAAGTAATTGCGGTTTTTGCCACTGCAAAAACAGCAACTGCAATGGCGAAAACCGCAATTACTTTTGCGCCAACCTAATACCTACACTGTCCTACCTACTTCTATTTAATTTCTATTTAATTCACAAGTTCTGAAATAATACTTACCCTCTGCCCCAACTGACAAGAACTGCCAAAGTCAACTATCTTGATTGCACTGCGTTTGGGGTTACAAAGAAGGATATTTTCAGGTTTTAGATCACAGTGAATGATACTAAGTTCTGGAGTCGCAAGGAAAAGCAGTGCAGTGCACATCTGTTGCGCAAACTTTCGTGTTAGGTTCAAAGAGACCCCTCGGAAATTGGTGTTTCTCAGCAAGTCATAGAGGTTGTAGGACAGCATTTCAAAAACTAAACAGAGATGGTTTCGAAACATAAAGTGGCGTTTCAAATGCACTGAAAGAGAAAACAGTTTCATTTTAAATTATATATACCAATAAACTGAGAGTAACAAACACATGCACTCTCAAATGTTCTATAACATTATTACATCAAATGCAGAGTTCAGTTAAAGTTTGGAGATCAGCATTTTGTAATAACAGCAGTTTTCAATCAGTTAAGAATATCTAAGTTGCTCTTCTGCTGAATTAAACAGGTACAGCATATGTCGGTAAGTGATATAAGGTAAGCAGTGCTACCAAAATGCCTTGTTTCTCTAAAAGTCAGATCTGAAAACATAAGGACCAAATGGACAAACAGCAGTGAGAATATTTCAGCAATTTTATCTTCATTTATAAAAGAAAGCACTTTTTACTTCCCGAGAGCCCTACCTCACAACTTCCTATGTCTAAGCTCCACCTACTGGGATCTCTGGTTTGTGACAATGCTGTAGTTGGCAGCCCTCTGTGTAGGCTTTGAAATGTATCTGCACTGCTGAACTTTAGATTTCACTGGTAATTTTCTGTCACAATTTTCATTGATAGCCTTTTTTTTTTTTACCCTTTAGGCAAATACAACAAATGTCTGAAAATCATGCTTTGGTAAAAGTATTGGAGGACTTAACTGTGTTTATCAAATTGGTAAGTGACAACTCTTGTGTGAGACTGAAGGTTTGGAAAACTTCAAAATAAAGCTCAGCTACAAGAAGAGATGATAAGGAGGCTTGTGAGTGGGGAAACAGCATAGAATACATAGGTCGCTATCACTGTTGACCCTCTAAAAAGGCTGAATACTCACTAAATTGCCTCAAAGATTGTGCTTTAACTATTAACACTGACGTCACATCAGATGAGGTTATTCGATAAAGTGCTGTCCCTCCCTGTTAAGTCTTATATATACCAAACTGAGCACCTGTAACACAACTGCAATGACATAAAACACCCATCTGTCAAGGTGATTTTCATTTTATCTTATAGTATTACAAAATGAGAGGTTTCTCTACAGATCTATCTGGAATAAACTGATAGTAATCAATGTCTGATCACTAAGAACTGTGGATACATTGTGTTTTCCTGGGAATAGTCCTGGGCTGCCTGCCTCAAAGCAGTGAACATCAATATTGCTTTTAGATCTTTCATGGTATAGGTGATCTAAAGTTAGAATAAGTAACACAATAAAAATAACTACATGGCTATATAGGAGTCTACAGCACAACTCGATACTAAAAATAACAAAAGGAATCCTTAAATGTTACCTAAGAATGTAAAATATCTGCTCTTAGTCACTTCAGTTTATAGGTTTAAAACTAAAAACATAGTTCCATGATACCTCACAATCATGGTCTGTGGATGGCTTTTAATCTCCTGGTTAAGCAGGTGCCACTAAATGAATGCAAAAAGTAACTGCTGTCAGAATTCTAATGTGATTATAAAAATTCCTTTAAGAAGCTCTGTGATCACAATGTTCGTCCAATGAAAGATCTACTTAGTTTCACTTGACCTCACAATTCTTTATTCATTTACTTAGTATCTACAGTGTGCTGAGCACTAAAGACATTGTCAAAGAAAGCTCAAACAAGCATATTTGTTCAGTCTTTTTAACCAAATTTTGGGGAGAATGGAGGGCTGGCAAGACTTTGTTGAAGACTTCAACTAAATTTTCTTTTAACTAGACCATGGCAGGTACCAAATAATCCAGATAAGAAATTTGGCTACACAGTAAAGAAGTAGATGTTTTTTAAAGTTCAAAGACAAGACAATAAAACTCATCAGAATAAATCAGACTCATCAATCACTTTAAAACTAATTTACATCATAAAAATCAATATGACTTTCGGATACCTTAAGTTTAAGGTATCAATTCAATTGATATGAACTTGTCTAATCTAAAGTTCTTTTGTTTTCCAAACAGAATCTCAGTTTCTTGAGACGTTATGCATTCACCATCTTCTGAAATAAGAATTTAAAAACTCATCCAAAGAGTATCTGTAATAACTAATACAATTAATAATATGATCATTAATGTCAACTTTATTCAAAACAAAATACTAGCATTATACATAACTGAGTAGCTAACATTTTTCAGTACTTAACTATATGCCAGCTATGTCTTTTTTAAATAAAGCAGAATTAAAATGTTACAGTAATGCTACCAGTATTTTTTCTGCTCCCCTAAGCAAATACTCAAGAGTGAGGAGAAGGCAGGAGGCATGTTCAGAGATCATTGTGTAAGTCAATCATCCTTAGAATGTCCTTGATGTGCTTCTAAAACCCTTGAATGGAAATGGGTCACCTCATGTAAGTTATAACTGACAGTGAACAGCAAAGTTTCATTGTGTGTGACAAGGTTTTAAGATAAGAATGGTATTATTATGAATTATATCAGTATCTATAAAGAAACTAAGAAAAATTAATAGAAACTCATTTTATATTTTAATAATGAGGAATGAGAAGTATTTCACAAACAAAATCTAAACAATCTGAAGCTTGCCCCTTTTAAAGATCCATTATTTGTTTCTACCTTTTTGGGGTGGACCAAAGAATCATAACGTTTTCTTAAAAGATCTGTTAAATAAAACTCAGCCTTACGTGTATCAAATAAGGTCAGTGTTTCTGAACACAAGTGACTATGGCTCTGTGCTGATCTTAAGGTCTGTATCTTCGATTGATGGCATCTTATATGAATACTTAACAGTTTTTTCCTTGACGGTACATAAAATGATGGTGTCTTACAATCACTGACATATTAGATTTGATTAAAAAATACTGCGAAAGAAGGTGTACTAGAAGATATTTTGCCCATGTATCAAATGGCCCTAGACTTCAGTATTGTCATAATTCTTCTGTCTCCTATTTCTGTTTTCAGAAGGAAGACTATGTGAGAATGAAACAGACTTTGGAGTAGGCAGAAGTACGGCAGCTTCCAATCTTAGCTGCAGAGCCCTATGACCCTGGGTATGGGGCTTCTTATACAAACCAACCATAACTTAAGGATTCTACCATCTTCCTTATAAGACTGCTATAAATTATTACAGATGATGGAAGAAAAGCATAAGGAATGTGGTAGAAATTCAATAAGCAGTGGCTATTATCTCTTTTCTGTAGTTGTAAATCTAATAGCTTCTAATGCTGCCAAGCTGATGAAGAGACTGGGGAGGAGCCTGAGATCTTGTTGCAGATGCCCCAAAAATGGTTCCACAACCACTAAGAACATACTAGCTCACAACTAGTTTCTGAGCTAGATTAGAAATGGTTAAAGTTACTGGAAAGATGACCCTATGGATAAACATGCATCATTATTAGCAAACAAATGGTACCAGTAAGTTGCAAATAAAAAACACACACACACTATTCTCATTTGTTTCTACATGGTATGCTACATGGAAGGCACATTCCCCAAGATTTAGACTATTACTACCAGATCAAGTCACTTATATAAATCTTGCTGTCCAACAGAAATAAACAAATTTTTAATCAGCCACTTTAAAATAAAATCAAAATATTTTGATAGAAAAGAACCATTAACTCAAAGTTTTGGTGTGGGTTGGGGCACACTGCGCTGTTTGCCTGTTTGTTTACCTATGTAGTATTTCATTTCAGTGTCATGTTTGTTCATGAGCTCAAGAAGTCGCACTTCTATCTGTGCTTGATTCAGAAAAGCCTTCTTGTTCTTTATTATTTTAATGGCAACCCATTCTTGCTCCACACGATCATATGCCTTTACAACCTAAAAGAGAAGATGAATAATTCTCTATTTCATTAATTGCAAAAATTTCACAATAATTTATAATTCACCTTAATTATAACATTTACCTAATTCTCAATTATATGTTTTTATAATTATTTTTCTGACCTTCCTAAGTAGAAGAGATGCCATCTATTTCTATTCAATATATATCCACTTATTACACAGTAACTTTAAATCAATCTTTTAAATTGAATTTCTTTTTGCATTTGTACAATATTTCTAAATATCCACAAAATAGATAATTTTCTTAATAAAATTAAATTAACTATTTTCCTCCTTCAGAAATAAATTATGACTCTTGACAAATGCTTAGGTTTTTTTATCTTTCTTACTAAATAACACTATAAAACAACTCATCGAACTATTCTTTTAATGAGAGATACCTGAACCCTAAGAATATGTATGAAATATTTAAAAGTTTATCAGCAGAAGGCTTCAGATAACTTTCTAACTTTCAATTAGATTTTCATACATAAAAACCTAAGTATATAAAAGAAAAATTGGTTTAGACTAAAAAAAAATCAAACACAAATTACCAGTAAAGTTCCACAATGCCACAAACGCCATAATTGGGGGATTATGATAGTTTTAAAATGAGAATTACTGCTAAGGAAAGCACAGCGTTCATGAGCACACATCACCATGCAACACCTCTCACTTGAAATCTGACTCATTTAAAACGAGGTTCATACTACTATAAAAGATTTACATAAACATTACAAAATCAATATATAAGTAAAAGAAAATGTTATCTCTTATTAACCAGTGACAACCATTACAACTAATAAAATAGAAGTTACATTTATAATATTATACATTGTCTGAATAAGTAATTCTTTTAGATACATTTTCTAGCACATTCAAAAAGCCTGGGGATGGGGAAGGAACTCCAAATGATTCCAAGGTGCAGGATGAAACCATAAGGTCAGGAAGAGGATGAAACGTATGTTCTCAGATCTTCATCAGTCAAGGCTAAATCTACTGTGACAGATTCTGAATGGCTCAACTGAAATCAAACTTGGAATAAAAAATGCACTAATCTCTGGTTTCACTCAATTCTAAAAGACACTCTCTGTGGTCTTTTATAACAGAGGCTACCCTTGTAAACATGTGGCCAAGGGGTTCTGATATGCTTCTGCTTCACTGGATGTACTGACTGCACTAAGAGTTGCAGTTCAGTGCCCAGATCCTGATGGGCTGCAGGATAAAGGACACTCATGTGGGCCCAAGTATCTACTGACTTGCCAAACAGTTAACAGGCTAACTGCCAGTTTTTGACCATGAATTACAAATTTAATAAGGTTTTTTTTTTCTTTTACATCAATGCCTAGAGAATTTAACTGGCCTGGAGCCCAGACATCAGTAATTTTTTGGGTAAGCTCCCCAAGAAATTTCAATACGCAATCAGGATTGGTAAGTATTGGCTACGGAAATGGAGAAATCCCTTATTTGACAATAACCTGACACAGAATGTGGAGAAAGTCTGACCAAGTCTATACAGAAGATACTATTCTGGTGAGGGACAGGACCTGAACCTCAACGTGGACACTGCACAACACCTCAGCCCAAGAGGGGAAGTATCAGTCTGCCCTGGGAAAAAGGAGTTCAACGTCAAGCAGGACTCTATCGTCACAGGGTTCCTGTGCTCACTTGTTCTGTGGAATCTGAGTATGAGAAAACTAAGGTGAAGGGGAGAAGAAAAACCTAACTATGAGCACAAAGACTGAGTCATCAGGGGCCAATCAGCTTACAGAGCAGCCTGTATGGCTACAATTTGCATGGTAGATGTCAGGAAAGTTAGAAAGTAAGCTATTAGGCCCTGTACAGCAGCTCATGCCTGTAATCCCAGCATGATTTGGGAGGCCAAGGCAGGCGGATCACCTGAGGTCAGGAGCTCGAGACCAGCCTGACCAACGTGGTGAAATCCCATCTCTACTAAAAATATAAAAATTAGCCAGGTGTGGTGGGGGGCACCTGCAATCCCAGCTACCCAAGAGGCTGAGGCAGGAGAATCACCTGAACCCAGAAGGCGGAGGGTGCAATGAGCCAAGATCACACCATTGCACTCCAGCCTGGGCAACAAAAGCAAAACTCCATCTCAAAAAAAAAAAAAAAAGGGACCTATTGAGTGCAACTGCCCAAACGTTAGTGAAGTTTTCATGGCGGAGGTAGCACTCTCTAGGTCTAGAGCAGCAGTCAATTTTTTCACGGCCAGGGTAGGTAGGGGTGAGGTGGATGGTTTGGGGATCAAACTGTTCTGCCTCACATCATTAGGCATTAGATTTTCATAAGGAGTACACAACCTAGATCCCTCGCATGCACAGTTCACAATTGGGTTTGAGCTCCTTTGAGAATCTAACGCTGCTGCTGATCTGACGGGGCGGAGCTCAGGCGGTAATGCTTGCTGACCACTCACCTCCTGCTGTGTAGCCCGGGTTGGGAACCAGTAGAGGGTATTCACACCCTTAGTTAAGGACTGGGCCTCACAAATGCCTTTCCTTAAGAGGCTGACAGAGAAGCTGCTTCTGACTAACAGGAAGACCTTAATCAAGAGGGACTCCCAGGCCAGGTGTGGTGGCTCAGGCCTATAATCTCAGCACTGTGGGAAGCTGAGATGCGAGGACTGGTTGAGCCCAGGAGTTCAAGACCAGCCTGGGCAACACAGTAAGACCTCACCTCTACAAAAAAACAACAAATTAGCCAGGCATGGTGGCACGTGCCTGTAGTCCCAGCTACTCTAGAGGCTGAAGTGGGAGGATCACTTGAACCCAGGAGGTTGAGGCAGTGAACCATGATCACTACTCCACTGCACTCCTGCCAGGCTGATACAGTGAGACCCTGTCTCTTAAAAAACAAAACAAAACAAAACAAAACAAAAAAAAGGACTCCCAAAGCACTGAAAACCCCCTCAGAAGAAAAAGAGGTTATAATTCAAGGAAAAAGTCCCTGGATTATGTGTAATTACCAAAATTCTTTCAAATCATGGGAAGAAGACATATACACGTGACATCAGGGACTGGTAGGGCCACACTGGAGTGACACAGGTCTAACACAAATGTTCATATTTGCTTACACGTTTATTTTTCTGGATTTAGACCTGTGGCTGCTAATGACATAGAGTGTTGCGGGAAGTCAGGGACCCCAAACGGAGGGACCAGCTGAAGCCACGGCAGAAGAACATGGATTGTGAAGATTTCATGGACATTTATTAGTTCCCCAAATTAATACTTTTATAATTTCTTACGCCTGTCTTTACTGCAATCTCTAAACATAAATTGTGAAGATTTCATGGACACTTATCACTTCCCCAATCAATACCCTTGTGATTTCCTATGCCTGTCTTTAATCTCTTAATCCCTTCATTTTCGTAAGCTGAGGAGGATGTATGTCGCCTCAGGACCCTGTGATGATTGCATTAACTGCACAAATTGTAGAGCATGTGTGTTTGAACAATATGAAATCTGGGCACCTTGAAAAAAGAACAGGATAACAGCAATGTTCAGGGAACAAGAGAGATAATCTTAAATTCTGACCACTGACCCGGGCGGAACAGAGCCATATTTCTCTTCTTTCAAAAGCAAATGGGAGAAATATCGCTGAATTCTTTTTCTCAGCAAGGAACATCCCTGAGAAAGAGAATGAGCCCCTGAGGGTAGGTCTCTGAAATGGCCCCCTTGGGTGTGGCCGTCTTCTATGGTCGAGACTGTAGGGATGAAATAAGCCCCAGTCTCCCATAGCACCCCCAGGCTTATTAGGACAAGGAAATTCCCGCCTAATAAATTTTGGTCAGACCAGTTGTCTGCTCTCAAACCCTGTCTCCTGATAAGATGTTATCAATGACAGTGGTGCCCAAAACTTCATTAGCAATTTTAATTTCGCCCTGGTCCTGTGGTCCTGCGATCTCGCCCTGCCTCCATTTGCCTTGTGATATTATATTACCTTGTGAAGTATGTGATCTCTGTGACCCACACCTTATTCGTATACTCCCTCCCCTTTTGAAAATCCCTAATAAAAACTTGCTGGTTTTGCGGCTTGTGGGGCATCAGAGAACCTACCGACATGTGATGTCTCCCCCAGATGCCCAGCTTTAAAATATTTCTCTTTTGTACTCTGTCCCTTTATTTCTCAAACCGGCCGACGCTTAGGGAAAATAGAAAAGAACCTACATGAAATATTGGGGGTGAATTTTGCCCGATATCTGGCTGAATTTCCCCCGATAATACAGAACACTTTCTGTTTTAAGCATGATGGCTTTTTCCTCACAGGTTAAAAAGGAGCATGTATTTTGTGTTCTCTCAGGGCAGGAACAGAGAAGTAAGCACATGCAGGTTCCATAGTTTAAGAAAACAAAAAAAGGCAATTTAGGAAAAGTCATTTTGATTCCCATTCTATCCTCATCATCGAAAAGTCAAAAGTTTGGACTGCAGATTAATAACCATCTCATTCCACAAGGGCTGCAAGGCAGAGGAGACTGGGATTATCAGCAAATCACACCTCAAACAAAACACAGCTCTGTGACTCAATGTGATAGAAGGACTTACAACTGGGAACAGCTGGGGGACCACAACCAGAGATCCCCCTAACATTTTTTTTTTTTAAATGAATAGAGACAAGGTCTTGCTATGTTGCCCAGGCTGTTCTGGAATTACTGGGCTCAGGTGATCCTTCTGCTTCAGATTCCCAAAGTGCTGGGATTATAGGTGTGAGTCACCACGCCTGACCCGAAAAAATATTTTTAAAAATACAAGGAGGCCAGGCATGGTGGCTCACGCCTGAAATCCCAGCACTTTGGGAGGCCAAGGTGAGCGGATTACCTGAGGTCAGGAGTTTGAGACCAGCCTGGCCAACACGGTGAAACCCTGTCTCTACTAAAAATACAAAAATTAGCCAGGTGTGGTTACAGGCACACACCTGTAATCCCAGCTACTCGGGAGACTGAGGCATGAGAATCACTTGAACCTGGGAAATGGAAGTTGCAGTGAGCCGAGAGTGCACCACTGCACTCCAGCCTGGGTGACAGGAGTGCAAGTCTGTCTCTAAATAAATAAATAAATAAAGCACAAGGAGAAAGACCCAAAACTCTTGGTATTGGTGCGACTGATACAAGAGACTAAGACTGCCTGCCTGCTTAGAGGTCTGATATAGTTACAACATGAAGTGGGAGAAAAAGCCAGGGAACAACCCCCAGCTTTCCAAAGCCTCCTGAAAAGTGAGTGGACTCCCACTGCACCACCTGAACATGGTAATTCTTTTCTCTTTGAAGTGGTCTATCGGACAAGAAGGTAAATACCTCTAGCATATGTAATTAACAATCATCTACAGACTATACAAGGCCCATAACAAAGAGGCAATACTATCTATTAAGTGATTAAAATTCACCAGTCATTAGTAAAATGAGCACTTGGTAGCCATAAAAGTTTTTAGAAGTCTAAGGAGTTTATATTACTGATGCAGTATCACTACCTTTAAAGAATTATGGTCATCCAAATACTTGCATATCCATTGCTGAGCTCTATTTGCAAATATTAAAAGTACACTCTTGAGGAAGGGCTGTTAACAACAAGATTCACTAAGAAGTTCTTTCTAACTAATGAAATTCAGCATTTTCCATTAAATTACCTGTCCAAAGGAACCTTTGCCTATCAAGGAGTCAATTTCGTAACGATCCATCCACTTTTCTCCGTTTTTTACAATATAATCATAGTTATCATCATCATAACCATCATTGTAAACCTTCCGTTCCTTCTTATGACTAGAATCGTCTCCCTGGCCCTGTTGGTGTCTTCGCTTCTTTTTTGCATAGTAAACCTGAAATGAGAATACATAGTGTTAACTGTAAAATTTAAATCACTGTGAGGAAGGGCATTATCAGAGTATATTGACACACACCTATTTTCTACAGTTGACATTTGAGTTAGAAAATAATACTGATCTAACCAATGAAAAAATTTATACAGTGAAATTCATTATAGTTATACTGTTTATAGACTTTGTAAACAAAAAATGTTAAGTGACTTGTCCAAAGTATGCCATTCAAGAAAAGTAAAAGGACCTGGTTTATATTTATTTGTTAAATTGAAGTATAATTTATATACAGTGAGGTGGCACAGATCTTAAGAGTTCAACATGAGGAATTTTGACAAAAGTTACCAAATGCCAAACAGCCAAGTAACATTTTCATGTCCCTCAAGTTCAAGTTCTCTCATGCCCCCTTCCAGTCAATCCCAACTTTATATTTGGGATATAAAGGGAATTTATTGATATAAATTCCCTCTTCTGTAACTTGCATGAATTTATTTATATTTGATTTTATGGCAACATATTTTTAAAATAAGTTCAGATGTAGACCAAGTGATGTTTTACTAAAATAAATAGGCCCTCTGAGACATGCCCAGTTTTTAAACCTATAAAAATATAACGATTAATGAAAAACAGCTATGGCCTCTTAGCCCCCACTCCCAAAGACCATACGCCTATGGTTAATCACAGGCTGAGTTATTTTCTTTAACACTGATTCTGGGCCAGGCGCGGTGGCTCACACCTGTAATCCCAGCACTTTGGGAGGCCGAGGAGGGTGGATCACGAGGTCAGGAGATCGAGACCATCCTGGCTAACACGGTGAAACCCCGTCTCTACTAAAAATACAAAAAATTAGCTGGGCATGGTGGCGGGCACCTGTAGTCCCAGCTACTCAGGAGGCTGAGGCAGGAGAAAGGTATGAACCTGGGAGGCGGAGGTTGCGGTGAGCCGAGATCGCGCCACTGCACTCCAGGCTGGCAGCCTTGGTGACAAAGTGAGACTCTGTCTCCAAAAAAAAAAAAAAAAACAAAAAACAAAAACAAAAACAAAAACAAAACACCAACACTGTTTCTAAGACTAGTAAAAAAAAAAAATACTAGATGAACTAGGAAACAGTCCAGGTAACTGGTAAACTAACTTTGGCGAAATTATAAATTACACTGCATGGAATAACATCAGAAAAAGTCTACTTTATAACGTGGTTAAGACACTTAAAAACAAGCTCCAAGAAAGCTACTGTTAACAACAGTTTAACTGTAGCTTTGTTAACAATTTATCAGATAATAACAAATTGAAATTAATATACTGTTATCAACAATTTATCAGATATATTCAGATAATCACAAGCTAGTCTGGAACATGTTTATAATATATAAATGTGTACAAAATCTAACTCAGAAATGTTCCTCACAGAGTTCATTCTAATTTTACGTTGCCACACTGCCACTGTAATGTAGTAATACTGTCATTAAATAACATTAAATTGCTATAAAATTTGCATGTACCTAAGAACATCTTTTCACTTTTCAGCTAAGCAGCTCTAAAGCTGGCAAAGGACAAGCCTTCAACATGAAAGGGTGCAGGGCTCCCACTAGAAGAGGAAAGAAAGCATGGATTCTTCTCCAGAAATGCTCCTTTAATAATTAACTTTGGAGACAGAGTTGAAGCCACAAGCAAATGGCAATGAAGCCAATGGTCCAAGACACCAGAAAAATTTTCGGTGGCAAAACACCAAGTACAGGCAAGGAATTCAAAGTGCTGTGTCTGTTTTTTATCTTATTTACTTACAACAAAAAAGCTTCTGGACATCTTATCATAAAAAGATATAGATAAAAGAACACACATAAAAAGTTAAAAGACAATAAAATCACAGAAATATAGATAGATCAAATAAACTAGGCCAAATGCCTGTAACTAGGTATTAAACATATTTCAGAGCTTCCTGACACCCATGGCAAAAGCAGAAACAAATATATAAAAATTCTAGCAAAAATTCTAACACATATATACTTTTAGAGTCCTTATTCCCCTTTCTTGTTTTGAATAAGTTATTACAGAACTCAAATGAAATAAAAAACAAAAAATAAAAATTAAAAAAAGAAATAACAGTATATTAAATACAACCTTAAAAAAATCAAGTTATCCACAATTATCTTTATACTCTGCAGTCCTTGTTAATATATCTTTTACATAATTGTAATATTATTTCTAAATCATTAGTCTTCATAATAATCATCAATATGACAACTACTAGGAATGAAAAAAAAGTTTAGGGTAAATAGGTCACACTTTTTTTCTCAATGACATACTGCAAGATAGATGTTATTATAACAAATCAAGTCTTACCTCATTAATATGCTTGTATGTTTTGATCAAGTCAACAGAAAGTTTTCTCAGGGGAGCAGTTGCTGGGTCACGGAAGGTTTGGGGCATCCGCCTCTGTAACATGACAATATCAGGCATCACCTTAAATAGACAGAAAAGACTAGCACTTTAACTATAAGATATAAATTCCCTCTTCTGTAACCTGCATGTATCTACTTTTTTAAAGACAGCTACACATTAGATGATTATACATTCTCTCTCAAAGTTCCCTTTCATGTGGATTCCAATAAAGACAACCACTAGAACAAATCAATGAAATTAGAGGATAATATGCCCAGCTGCCTGAGGCTTTGATCCTATTCCGCCAAATTTAAAGTGGTAGAAATGCAGACATACGCCAATCTAGGAGACACACAGGATGTTGCCCACGAGGGCTTCTCTACCACACAATTAGCCCAAAGAAAATTTTTTTCTGAATTATTCCTAAAACCTGACCAGGTTCACAACTAGCAGACAAAGATAAACCCAGCCCTCAGAGGCAACTTTCAGCTTCCTTAACATAGGATTTCAGGACCCAGCTGGCACCAAAAAAGGGGGCTGGCAGCAGAGCACCATTCCCTCCAACTGCTCCTAATAAGAAGAAATTCAGCTCCTAATGTCTCCAGACCCTGCTGCCCTCTGACAAATATCTGCCCCTAACCAAGGCTTGCCCTCACAGTCCCCTTCCCTGATCCCAACTCATGGCTCTCGACACCATCTGACAGGCAATGAGGGGTTCCACCGTGAGCATCCTGCTAGACCGTTTCCACAGCAATTACAACAGATGATAGAGCAGGGGCATGCACCCCCTCTATACACACACCCCAGGAGTGCTGTGGCTAGCATCAATGATCCTGGATTGCTGTCCAAGTGCCACTGCTCCAGCAAGTGCCATGCCTCAGTCAAAGGATTCCCAATGGGGGTTCTTGCAATCAACAGATCCTCAAAACCAATTATTTCCATCAAGGTGGTCACAGCCATTCCCCCTGGCCCATCTTTGTGTTCCTGCCCAACTCTTCTGGACATTTGTGCTGGGAAATGAGCCAGAAGACCCTGACACAACATCTCTCCAAGGACACTCGGGTCAATCGGAGGGGCAGAGTGACAGTAAACACATCATACTAAGACCTCGCAAAAATGTGTGGAGTCATGGTATAATTGTTAACCTAACCCACACCAAAAAAGAGAAGAGGGGAGGTTTGTACCAGTGGACAGAACAGGAAAAATCACCATCCATGTGGTCCGAAAAGACAGAATTGTTACAGCATTTTACGTGCTGTAAATCATGAACTTTACTACGTGCGCTTTATCATGAACCAACATTAACACTGGTTTCTTCTGCATGTATACTCAAACTCTAAAAAGTTGTTACCCAGAGGGCAAATTCACCCATTTACTGAAATAACACTATCTCTTCTCAAAGTCCTGTGCTTCTTAATTCCAAATAAGGTTGGGGGGGGGGGGAACCCTTGGTGATTATACTATTTGTCTGACAAAAATCATCAGAATTAAGAAGATGATCTGATTTAATTTTTCAAATAGACAGTCTTACTTTTCTAAACAGTAGCTAATGCTAAGTTCACAGAATATTTTTATACTATTCCTTAAGGACTTAATGCATAAATTAATATGGGTAATAAACGTCAGTTTTTCTGTGAATGAATGCTGTAAGCATTTAGGGTGATGAAAGGTTTCCCTTAAATGTCTTTTCTTTTTTAATTTAAGTTCCCAGCATTGTTTTCATGTAGGTAGTTTATTCAGTAAGCCCCTTTCTTGGGCTGGTGGAGTGCAGCCTAAATGTGAGGTTTCACAAAATCTGAATCAGTGCAATGCTTCATTACTGCTATAATAAAAGTTGACAGGAAGTATAAGTCATTGGTAGAGTCAACCGAATAACTTAATAATAAAGTAACAATAACAGTAGCAGGTATTTACTGAACAACATGTTTTTAGCATGCATATTTTTACAAGTCTTCCATGCAATCCCCTCAACAATCTCAAGGGAGATAAATACCATTCCTGTGACCATTTTACACACGCGAAACCAGAGTCTCCAACGTTAAAGAACTTGACCAAGGTCCCAGAGCCAGTTAAAGAACAGGAAAATCACCATCCGGGTGGTCCGAAATATTATCGTAGTGCAGCTACTATAATATTGTAGCTGAAGATGTCCATGCCTAACCCCAGGCTCTTAACGAGGACACTCTTGCCAGGAGCTCCCTATCAATGTTACGCCTCTAGTCTACCCTCTTAGCAGTCATTTTTAGGCTATTTGTTGAGCAAAGTAATTGAGGTATGCCTAAAATAAGCAAAGGCATTTATTAAAATTAGTTACATCAAAAAACTGTGAATGTCTTTAAGTTTTTAACTTGCCCATTTACAATTCCACTGGTATTTCAAACATCTGAAAAAAGAATCAGTAACTACATTCAGGAGTAATGATGCTCACTAAAAAACACCAAAATCACATATAATCAAAAAAAAATTTCAAATATACAGTACATATACAAAATAGGATATAAACATGAGTTACATGATCAAATTTCTGCACTCAATATGAGTGTGTGCTGTGTGCTTAGCACTTCACAAAATGTTGCTAATCTTTTCCACAACTGGTCATACTCTGCCTACAAGGCCAAGCTGTTTATATTTCATGCTTCAAACAACATCCTGCATTGAGATGCTCAAAATACATGGAAAGAACAAATAAATGTCTACAAAGCAAGTAATACTCCCTATGCTTTCATTGTGATTTCATATTAACCAATTTTTTCTTTTGGAACATTGTGATGCCATTAGTACATATCCAGAATTAGAAAGCAGCTTTTCCAAATACCTACTTATATATCTATACTAACACTCAAGGCCAGCCCTAAGCATCTGACACTTTCTCTACTTCCTGCTTCTGCTAGCCAAAGTCAAGAGAATGTACAGTAATAGAGCAAGCTCCCTTCTACCTTCTACAGCAAAAAGTTAAGTCCATGGTGTTCAGAGGACCCAGGAGCTCACCAAGCTGCAGAAATGACCCCTTTTGCAAGGCAAGTAACCTAATAAAAGGGAAGTTGAGGTGACCTCCTCCTGCTGCCTCAGCTATCTGCCTCCAGGAGCTAGAAACAGTACACCCTCAATGCTCACATCTCTTGCTCCTTTTACTTCACCCAGATTACAAACCTCCTGCTTAGATCAGTTATAAGAGCTAAAACAATAATTAACTTTTGTCCTGAAAAGATTCTTTAGTATAAGCTCTAGGACTCCTTTCAAAAACTGTTTTCCATTATAATACCTATTTCATTTTATTTATATTTACCTCCTGTTTTCCTATATAATGAAGAATCAGAAACACTGTATTCTGCCTTTCTTGTTATTTTGAGAGCATTAATAAAGCTGAATAGCATCTATAACACATATCCAGGGTACTAGAATTTAAGAACTATGGAAGATATTGTGAAAACTAGAATAGCCCAGAGAGCCAGCATTCCAAACATCAGTCTTCCTCTTCTACACCTACTTTCGCTCTATTTCTCTTTTAAAAGACATCTGATAGGATGATTAACAAGAAACAATGAAAATTAAATAATGAAATTACAGTAAGTTTACAGCTAAAAGGTACTTTGTATGTGTTGGGGGTTCTAGTCGGAGGTGCCAATTTGACACCCAAGGAACAGATATGAAGGGTACAAATAACCTAACTCAAATCCTACAACCAGATCATGAGCCGGCCAAGACCTTGAAGCCAGGTCCTATGACTAGACTATGCCACTTAATACGCAGCCTACACTTTAGTTACAGGAAAGGGATCCTCTAATATGACTCCCTTATTAGGCCCAGAAATTTTTGGATTTTGGCAGAAATATTTGGCTGAGTATTATTACTTTAAAGATAGTCTTTTTACATCACACAAATCTTTAAAAGTATTTCATAGCTTAAAACAGAAATAGTAAGTGAAATATCTCTTATTTTATATGATCCAAATACACATAAGACGTTAGTTGGATATAAAAATAGGTGCTTTGTTAATTAAATTATTTACTAAAATAATATAATGATAAAAATGACTTTAAAGGACTGGAAGTTTTCCTAGCCCGCTGTAGACACCAGAGGTTAGACCTGAAAGAGCACTGTATCTAAGAAGAAGGAAGCCCAGGCTGGACCCCACAGTCTCCTGCTCACACACGGAAAAGTCACAAATGGGAGCGCAGTCCTTTCAGCTGTGAAACACATTAAAAACAGCACTCTGCCTGACAGGCTGCTTTTGAACAAGTGGGAAAATTAATCTGAATCAACTTGGTTTCCTCAAAGTGCAAATGGATCATCGTGTTATTATTATTAGATTTCCAGGCAGTTTTCTTCTGGTACACAATTAAACACTTCCTAAACTTGGACATTCTGAACAACTGTCCCAATTCTCAAACACGCAACTAAACTGAAATCAATTCACTACATAAAATCTTAAGTCCTGCCAAATTCATCTTATTGTAACGATTTAACTGTGAATGTTAACATGTTGTATATTTTAAACATTATGTCAGCCTACTAGCAAAATTTTATTACAAACACGTTTTAATATAAACAAGACACCAGGAAAAGACATACTTTTAAATCTCCCAACTCTTTTATCCTCACACAATATATTAAAAGACCTAAACAAAAGAATGGCAAACCAAATTTCTAAGTCCATGGAAAAGCAGCCATTTTCAGTGCTCATCACACATCAAATATCCGTGGGGCAAGAAACTTTCACACAACTACAGCTGTTAAGTCTCCCAAACCAAAACTCAACGTAGACGGTGCAGTTAATTTAGAAAGATATTAAAAATACATACACATACATATATATGCATGTGTATGTGTGTGTGAGTACCAAGAGTTCAGCATGTATTCTATTTACACCATTCACTTCATAGAAAAATGGTGAATAGCCTGTCTGAATATTAGAATAAATAGCACGGTTAATTTGCATACATCTCTTTTGAATTTTAGGGAGTTTTGTATTTATTTTTACAAATGTGTAGAAAGGTAGTTTAAAATAACACAAAATTGGTTCTGTAAGTTTGCTGTAATGGAATCTGACTTGCTTTCCTGTAACGGTTTTAACTTAGCCACCTTTCCATAAAAATAAGCTTTTTCTTCAAGATCCTTTAATATTCTTCAGAAATAACTTTTCCCCTTTCTATTACAGAATGAGAGACTGTGGTTATGTTTATGAGTGTTTAAGTGAAATACAAGTAAAAATTAAAAAAAAAAAATTTAATGCAAACTTCTTAACATGTTTTCCCAATCCATAATCCCACGTTGCATGTAAAACTGAAAGCCATTAAAGCATTTTGCCTACTTAGTATTCCAACATTTTTAAGGAATAAACTGCCATTCCAATAGTCATTTCTGATACTCCATGAACTTACCTGGTTAGTTAGAGGTTGCTGAATCTGGTCAGAATATGATAAGGCAGAAACCTGTTGGTCACTTATGTTTGGCTGGCGACGGTCACTGTACTGATGTGAATGGGGCATCTGTCCAGCCATCTGAAGGCCAGCAGCATGGAATGAAAATGACGGTGCAAGCCGAACAGATGAAGGTTTGCATGCTGAAGTCTCTCCTCCTACAAGAAGATAAGTGAGGTTTAAAGGAAATATTCATATCCTAATGTTTGTATCATTTGACATATCTAATGGTTCCTTAAATAAGAACTTTAGGATATTCAATATTAAAAAACTTTTCTAACTACAAACAGGTATATGTTACTCAACACAACAGTTATGTTTTTAATGGTATAGAAGATCCATAGTGATTAAAATGAATATAAACTTGTATTGAGAAAATCTTCAGAAAATCTTTTTGTAAAGCAACAGCAACAACCTTTAAGACTTACTTTCACCTACGAGATTTTCATAAATTAAGAACCATAATACAAGTTAAATAAGTAATCTTTTAATTATTGAGGGACTTCTCCAACAGACCAGCTCCTCACAAACCAACTCAAAGGAACATTTCTGAGATGCTATTTTGCACCTGCTGCCAGGTTTACGGCAAACAACATCGCCAGCATTCCCCAAACCAGGTGAAACCTTATGGTGCTCTCCACTGACACAGGCAATCAAAGGTTGGATATAAAAACAGGAAAACAAACATAAAACACAGAACTAAACTTCTCAACCCAAGGTCGTTGGATTTCTCTGCACCTTTCAAACAGTCCTAAGGGAATCTAGACCTGGCAAGCTCACCACAAAGAAAAAATAACCAATAATTATCCTACGGGTAGGATGAACCATGATCATGATATCCATGGTGGAAATGAAAAATTAACACTTTGGTCCATAAAAGTAATGGTATCTAATAAAAGGTAATTCTTTAAGAAAAGGATAAAAAAAAGATTTTTCTTAAATTCAGCCAAATTTGTAATCACAGACTAAAGCCTAAAACCTTGGTCAACAAGAATGACTAGATTCAAAATACTTGTGCCTGTCCTCCTGAATGAACCAGCTAACAGCCACAACACAACCGACCATAACGCTCAGTAGCAAAATACTTCCGACTTCTACCATTTTCAAGACACACAATAATGGTGGTCCAACAGTGAAGGGCACAGACTCTCAGCCAGGTTGCTGGGGTTGGAGATCCCAGCACTACCGGTGACCAGCTGTATGGCCATGCATACCTAATATCCTGATAATGATAATAATACCTACCTGAAAAGGTTGTTATGAAGGTTTAGTGCTTTAGTACATACAACATACTCAGAACAGCTCTGGCAATTAATAAATGGCCCAATGTTATCTGCAAGTACTGTAGAGTAATGCACAGTCAATGTGCAGTAAAGGCTCATGGGGCCAGTGCCCACCTTGTGGAGCATACCATCTCTACCTGAATGTGGCACACACTCTGCAAAACAAAGAGAACAAAGCTCCCCAAACATAAGTTCCACCTCTACTTTCCACCACAGGGAATGACACCATTTCCTACGCAGTCAACGAGACTCAACACTCTGGCAGTCATGTTAGAGTTCTTCCCTTACAGCTGCCCAATCTTGCTCATTCCCTCTCCTAACAGAATACTCAAACACAACCTTTTCATCTACATCACCACATATAACACTTAAGATTACCAAAACAGATTCCTAATAGCTGTCTTTATTCTATTTTCAATTCTGGATCTACTCAATAACATGGCTAAAGTGACCTTTCTAAAATACAAATCTCAAGTCCTCTACCCCTGCTGAAGCTGGAATGTCAACTGCCCCTAGCATTGCTTTCAGACTTTAGATTCTCTTCTGTCTCTCCCCATTACAGTGAGGTCCTTAACTTTCCCAATCTACATGATTAATAATGTTTATTAAATAAGTAAAAGGATAGTACAACTGTGGTGAAAGATGGCCAACTTTTCTAAACATTTCATCATTCATAGTCAAAAATACTTTCATTCAATTCAATTCTGTAAAACAACCTTGTTCACTTTTTAAAAGAACTTCTACAAACTTACACTAAGGCAATAATCAATGATGTGCACAAAGATGCCAAGCATGTTTATCCTGGTGTTGTTTGTAAAAGCAAAACATTGAAAATCTAAATTCAAATACTGGGGGTGATGAGGGCTTTTAAATCTGAACATTAAAAAGAAAAAGGTAGGAAGGAATATAAATAAAAAGAATTGAGGTCCTTAATATATAAAAAGTTCTTATAAACAGTAAAAGACTAAGGCTGTGACTGGCAAATTTCTTAACCATTCAAAGCCTTAGATTCCCTATCTATGAAGCAGAGGTATTACTATACTGACCCTATTCCTTGTTACAAAGTTTAAATGAGATACCACCAACAGGCACACAGAATGAAACCTGTGACACACACCAAACACTTTTTATAAAAATGTTAGCTTCTGTTTTTATTATCTATGTCACTGTTATATACTATGTTTAAACTTATTCAATGCAATATTGTAGAAAAGAGGATAAAAATCATTAGCACAAAGCTTAAATTACTATCATAAAATCAATCTGTGTCACGAAACGGGGAAAAAATGGCCAGCATCCCAGAAACCCACCACACCACTCTATGACCCTTTCTAACCAACACCTCCTTCCTCTTCCTCAAAAGTTACTACTATCCTGACCTCCAAAACCCGATTTGTTTTTATTTATTTATTTTTGAGACAGAGTCTCGCTCTGTCACCCAGGCTGGAGTGCAGTGGCACAATCTCGGCTCACTGCAAGCTCCGCCTCCCAGGTTCACGCCATTCTCCTGCCTCAGCCTCCCGAGGAGCTGGGACTACAGGTGCCCACCACCACGCTGGCTAATTTTTTGTATTTTTAGTAGAGACAGGGTTTCACCATGTTAGCCAGGATGGTCTCGATCTCCTGACCTCGTGATCCACCCGCCTCAGCCTCCCAAAGTGCTGGGATTACAGGCGTGATGTTTTCATATAAGCAGGTGATACAGTTTGGATCTGTGTCCCTGCCTAATTCTCATGTCGAACTGTAATCCCCAATATTGGAGGAGGGCCCCGGTAGGAGGTTATTGGATTAGGAGGGTGGTTTCTAATGGTTTAGCACCATCCCCCCTAGTGCTATCCTCGTGATAAGAGTTCTCACGAAAAAAGGCTGTTTAAAACTGTGTGGCACCTCCCCCTTTTGCCTGACTTTGCAGGCCATGTAAGACATGCCTGCTTCTCCAACGCCTTCTGCCATGATTGAAAGTCTTCCTGAAGCCTCCCCAGAGGCTTTCATGCTTCCTGTACAGCCTGAAGAAAGAACCATGAGCCAACTAAACCTCCTTTCTTTATAAATTGCCCAGTCTCAGGTATTTATTTATAGCAGGGCAAGTACAAACTAATGTAATAGAGTAGAATTGTTTACTTCATCTTATGCCTATAAACTGCAGTTTGTCCATTACCTTGCTTTACAACAATATGGACAAATGATAATTTATCCATTCTACTACTGACCGACACCTGGATTATTTCCAGTTTGGGGCTACTATGAACACTGCCACTTGTAAGCTTCTTGTTATGCATCGTTTGGTATACACAGAGATGCTGTCCTGTTGTTTTTCTGGTCTTTTTTTGTTCCAATCAATTTATCCACTAGCAGTTTATGAAAAATTCTCACGCTCCACTCCTTCACTATGGCATGCAATCATCAGTCTAATTTCAGCCATTATGCTAAGTGTATTTGTGCTGTGGTACTCCAATGTGGTTTTTAATTTGCATTTTCCTAGTTACTCTGAGCATTTTTGCATGTCTATTGGCCACTTATACATCACATCGTGAAATGTACATTCAGGTTGCTTTTCTATTTTTTCTACTGAATTGTAAGCCCATTTCTTACAAATTTCTAGGATTTTTAAAAATCCATATTCTGAATATGATCGAGCCCCTATTGGTTACAGGCAGCTTGCCTTGTCACCCTCTTAATGGTATACTTTGATGAATAAAAGTTCTTAATTTTATCAACTTTTGCTTTACAATTAGTACTATACTTTTGGAATCTAAGAAATTTTTCCTTATATCAAAGTCATGAAAAAAATCTATTACCTTCTAAACACTGGGCTTTCTCTCTCACATCTAAATGCAAAATCCATTTGCATTTGACTTCTGTGTAAAATAGGAATCAAGTTTCATTTCCCCCTCCAAATTAACATCCAATTGATCCTTAACCAATTATTTAAAAGACAAACATTCTCCACTGCTCTGTAACCCCATCCTTATCATAAATCACATTTCCCTTTATGCTTGGATCTAGTTTTGGACTGCCTATTCTGTTCTACTGGATACAGACTTACCTACCTAGGTCTCTGTTCAAGAACTGGACACTACCTAAATTACAATAGCTTTAAAAATTTTAAGATCCAACAGGAAATTCTGTTCTTCTTCAAGAATGTTTTGGCAGGCCAGGCGCAGGGGCTCATGCCTGTAATTGCAGGGCTTTGGGAGGCCAAGGCGGGAATCACTTGAGCCCGAGAGTCTGAGACCAGCCTGGGAAACACACCACCACCTCATCTCTGTAAGAAAAAAAAAAAGCCAGGCATGGTGACGCACACCTGTAGTTCCAATTACTCAGGAGGCTCGGGTGGGAGGACTGCCTGAGCCCAAGATTTCAAGGCTGCAGTGAGTTATGATTGTGCCACTGTATGTGCTCCAGCCTGGGTAACAGAGACCTTACCTCTAAAAGAAAAAAAAAGTAAGTAAGTTTGGCTATTCCATGTAAGTTCCTGATTCACCTCATCAAATCCACCAAAACAAATCCATGTTGGGATGTTGAAATTGAAATTGCATTGATCTCTATAGAATGGTGGTGCCCAACAGAATTTTCCGCAATGATGGATTTACCTGTATCAGTAATGTAGCAAATAGCCACATGTGGCTAGTGAGCATCTGAACAATTTTATTTTTCTTTTCCAATCCTTATTCTTTCCCTTGCCTTATTCTACTTGCTGGGACCTTTAGTACAGTGATGATTTAAAAAGGAGGTAACAGACACTACTCTCACATATTCTCAATCTTGGAAATACAGCTTTCTTAGAAAGAAAGCTTTCAACATTTCTCCAGTATTATGGTTGCTGCAGGTTTTTAACAGATACTATTCCCAGATTAACAAAGTTTCCTTCTACTGCTAGTTTTCTAAGACCTTTTCCTCATGAATAGATGCTGACTTTTATTAAATGCTCTTTCTGTATCTACTGAAATGAGATGACCTTTCTGATTTACTCTGTTGATGTGGTGAATGACGCTGATTGATTTTTGAAATGATAAACGACTTTCCTTGAGCCAAGCATGGTGGTTCCCACCAGTAATCCCAGCAATCTGGAGGCCAAGGTGGGAAAATCACTTGAGCCCAGGAGTTTGAGACCAGCCTAGACAACATAGTGAGACCCCATCTCTACAAAAAAATTAAAACATTAGTAGGGTGTGGTGGCACATGCCTATGGTCCCAGTTACTCAGGAGGCTGAGGTTAGAGGATCACCTGGGCCCAGGAGGAGGAGGGTGCAGTGAGCCATGATTGCACCACTTGCACTCTAGCCCAGGGCAAGATCCTGTGAAAACAAACAAAAAAAGATTTTCCATTTCTGGAATGCGATTTGGTCATGATTTTATGCGTGTGTGGTAGATTCACTGGTGAAACCTTCTGGACCAGGAGTTTTGCTTGTGGATAGTTTCCGTTTTTTTGTTTTGTTTTTTTTTTTTTTTCTTTTGTAAATCCCAAAGACTTCAAAACTAGTGGGTAGCTCTTTCCACTAAGGATCATGTTTAATAGGACTATTCAGATTTTCTATTTTCTGCTGTGTCTGTTAAGTTGTAGTTTTCTAATAGTATAACTTCATCTAAATTTCAAATGGACTGACATCAAGTTTTTATAATATCTTCTCATAAGCTTTTGTGATATCCTCTTCACCTCAACATTGGTTAATGAGGTCTTCTCTTTCTTCATGGTCCGCCTCATCAAAGGTTTAATTTTATTAAGTATGCTGTCTTATATAGGTATTTTTTTTTAAATTTTGGTCTCATCTTGTTCTATCAGTTACCAACAACAATGTATTAAAAATCTCCTACTTAAAGTGTTATACTGGATAATACAAATTCAGGGTTGTTATGCCTTCCTGATGAATAATACCTTTTATCATCATAAACTGCCCTCTTTATTTCTAGTAAAGCTTTTTGCTTTATCTGTTATCAGTCTGACTACACCAAGCCTTCTCTGCATCAATTTTTGTATGGTATGTCTTTTGTCCATCTTTTTACCTTTACCTTCTTCTGTTTCCTTGTATTTTAGGTTTATCTCTTGTAAAGAGTATGTGGTTGAGCTGTATCTATAAATGAACACTAACAATCTATTTGTTCCAACTGTTTTATGTTCCTTTTCCTTTCTTATCTTTTGCTGGAATTTTTTATATCATCTCCCCATATTTTTATTTTTTAGTTACCTTATATATTACAATATTACAAAAGATTATGCATCCTTGACTAATCAAAATCTAATTACTCCCTAAACTCATCCACTATGTTGATTTCTGTTTTAATTCTGTTGCTCTCTCATCCATACACATATGTGTGTATATCTACTGTATTCACAAGACATCCAAATGACCATCCAGCATGGATAGAATCAGACTGAAAGATGCATCTGGAAGGAAAGATGGGTAATTCTGTGACATCCAGATAGCTATGAAAGAATTACAAAGAAACAGGTAGTTCCCTTGATTACTGCTGTTATCACTACCCTCCTGAAATACTTGTTTCATTTTTTGAATCTAGATTGAGTGAATTATATGCATTAAATTCAACAAGCACTTACTGAGGGGCTGCATCAGCACTGTCTTGCGGAGGTGACAATGCCATTCATAATCTGTAACAGCACTTCTTGGACTTTAATGTGCCTGCAAATTGTTTTTCAATCTTTTTAAAAATGACGGTTCTGATTCAGTAGAGCTTGAAAGTCAACATTTCCTTTTTTTTTTCTGAGACAGAGTCTTGCGCTGTTACCCAGGCTGGAGGGCAGTGGTGCACTCTTGGCTCACTGCCACCTTTGTCTCCTAGGGTCAAGCAATTCTCCTGCCTCAGCCTCCCAACTAGCTGGGATTACAGGCACCCGCCACCACCCATAGCTAATTTTTGTATTTTTAGTAGAGACAGAGTTTCACCATGTTGGCCAGGCTGGTCTTGAACTCCTGACCTCAGGTGATCCACTCACTTTGGCCTCCCAAAGTGCTAGGATTACAGGCATGAGCCACCATGCCTGGCCAAGGGTCAACATTTCTAACAAGTCATCAGATGATGCCAATACTATTTTGAAAAGCATTGGTCACCTTAATAAAAGAAAGCTGTTCTCCAACTAATTCAAGTAGTGGATAATCCAAAAATAAGTTATAGTCTATCTAAACAATACACTAGAGGGTTTTTTTTCCCCAATAGATTTACTTTTCTAGTTATAAAGTTGAAACTTTTTTTAGGGAGAATAATACACATTCCCATGCATAACGGTGATATGCTAGGTGACAAAGAATCTGATGTTCTTTTTGGAATTTGCTGTGGATGATCTGAATGTGAATTGGCAAGAAAAAACTTTTTCACTTCTGGTACCTTTTTAGCTATGTATTATAACACCTATCATAACTAGTTAGTGACATTATCAGTTATTTAGTGAAAGTGAAGAAAGATTAAGCCACCAGTACAGGAGGACTGCTGGTAAACATGGTATATAAACGAGGTGTGCTTGCCACATGCTCATTGTCTCCTTTCTTAACTCGACTGCTGTGTATGAAATTCAGAATAAACCTAAGTTTAATTTCCTCCTGCAACACCAAAAAGTATTTAAGTTATCCATTCATTCATTCCTTTCCTATGATAAGATTCCAAGGGGACAAAACTAATATGCGTATTTCTAGTTAACCTGATTTCATAATTAAGCAAATTACCCATGTTTTTACTCTTAAGTTTCTATCTTCCTAAAATTTTAATGCAAATGTTAATGGAAAAAATGACTCAGTTCATCCTGTAACAGGGATGATCATATAAAGTATTATGCGGAACCATATGAAACTGCTGATAGATTTCTGACTACCCTTGGCTTACAAAAACAGTAATTTCATATGGTTCAACCTACTATCTACCGTATTATATAATCTTTATTCAACTCAGTATAATAATATCTTAGCTTAAGAATGTATCACAATACATGTTTTAACATCAGATAATGTTATAATTTAATGATGAACTTAACAAATAATTCAAAGCTATCTAAAATCATCATTTGGAGTGCAGTTCCAAAGTATTTTCAACTGCTGTCAAACAGTATGGAAAGCATGTTGGAGAAAATCATGCATGTGGAGTTCTGTCTTTACGTGCTTCTGAACTGTATGGATCATTTTTACCATGAGCATGTTTCTGTAACTTTGCTAAACTTGGGAAAAATTCAATATTTTACTAAAAGAAAAATGAAGCAGCTTTCTTACTTCAGCCACGTTACTATGTTCTAGCAAGGAACTATAATAACTAGAGACCATATTACCAGTATGGATCAGCACTGATTCTACAGAGAAATATTTCATAAACAACACATCTCAAAGACTGGGACATAAGATTCAAAAAGATAGTGGTAAACACAGAGGAAACAGCAAATACAAAAAGCATGAGAAAAGACCCTAAGTTTAAAAACAAAAAAGTAAAAATAACAAGTATCAGAAGCCATCATCTCTGATACATAACCCACACGTAGCTCTACTTGTAGATCTGAATGTTATTCTTACCTAACCTGAATTTCTTTGTTAGTAATGTGTTAACAGGGGACCATTCCTGTGACAGTATTAATTGATAGTAGATTTTAAAGAGAAACAGTTAAATCAAAGAACAATATTAAAGAACAAAAAGTAAATGAAAATAATTTAATTAAAACTATAGCATCTAAATGTGGAAACTTATGAGGCTGAGGTTCTAAGACAGAATCCACTAAGAAATGAGGAGGGCAACCAAGCTTATGTGGGCAAAAACCCACGAGGTCCCTAGCAACAAGGCACATCCAAAATGAATTGCACCTCTAATGATGGCCGGAAATAAAGGCACATGATTAAGAGGGTAAGTGAACGAAAGTCCATGAGTAAGCTTTGTTCACGATTTTATCATCAGCACCAAGAACAGTGCCTGGCACATGGCCTGCATTCAATAAATATCTGTGCAATAAAGGAATGAACTGAATCCATCAGGAATATTTAGACTGTGAAGAAATCATTGAGAGAGGGAGGGAGGGGACTGCACGGGAGGTAAGGATGAATGTAGTATTTTTTAAATGAGGGGTTCTTGAATCAAAAGCAGAGAAAAGTCTTATAGCACAGGCTACAGCTATTGCTCAGTCAACTGCTCTTACTCATTTTTATATCCCAAGCACACAGTGCAGTGCCTGGCTCCACAGAAGGTGTTAAATAAATATATATTAAAGTGAAAGTAAGCAATGACTGTGACTATGCAAAAAGTCTAATGATAAGGACTATTTAGTAACAGTGAGCCAATAAGAACAAATGAACTGCTTTCTTATTACCCTCTAGTGGCCAATATGTGTTACTACAGGATACACACACACACACACACACACACACACACGTGCCAACATTAAACACACACACACACACATGCACACACAAGCTTGTCAACCCACTAGCCAAAAGAGCATACTCAATTATCTAGAAACACAATGAAATTGCTCATATAAGACGTAAATAAAATCTCAGGTTTTTCAGCATGAAAGATTAACTGAATCTATATATTAAAATTGTTAGTAACAATGGGTTATGGATAAAAACATGTTACCCTTAGGAATTTGTATTATCAGATTTCCACTTATGACCTTTGTAGAGTACCTGGTACCAGACTCCCTCATTCATCATAAACAACTAAAGAACTAGTCAAAACATACGAAATAACCGTTTTCAAACACTGGACAACAGGCAGTGCAGAATCGTGATGACTGAAAAAAGAAATCACTCTTGGTGAGCCCTACAATCCCCCTGGTTTCCTATCTAGAGGCACTTTCCAGGGTACAATATAGGAAGGGGGAGCCCAAACAGAACACAGCAATCTCACTGTGCTGCAGAGACAGAAGGAAGAGTTCAAGGCCACTGAATTGGCTGGAATTTGTGCAGCAGGTAACAAAAAGAGAAGGAGCTCCATCAATCCGTACATAGGGTTCTCCTTGACTCTTTGGCCAAATGCTAAGCTGCACAAGCACTGGGAGAAGGACCATGAAGCCAGGCACAGAACAACTACCAGGGAACTGTGAACTGAATAACTACTAAAATTCACACAAGACTGTAAGACATTGAGTGTTCAAACAGGCTACAGTGGAGAAACCCACAGACATTCAACAGAGACCCCAGAAAATCCACATTTAGGGCTAGGGCTAATCCAGCCCTACAGTAAAGGCTGGCCCCTGTTCTAACAGAGACTGAAACAAACCTCAAAGGATCAAGATGGTCTGCAAGTGAATTAACAGCCTGCCAGGACGACATTCAACACTCTTTAAAGAGAACAACAAAATCCAAACACTCACGGGCCAGCATTCCTCATCCCCATAGCCAGCCCAATTCACTAGGCACAGCAAGAAGCAAGAAAATGTGGTCTGTATTCGGGAGGAAAAAATCCATTTAAGACTCAGAAATGACAGAAAGAGTGAAGTTAGCAGACCAAAACCACTATTATGAATGTTTTAAAATATAAAGGAAAACATGGACAAAATAAGGGAATAGTGAATCTTAATAGAGAAATAGAATCTACGAAAAGGAACTAAATGGAAATTCTAAAAATGAGAAACAAAATAACTCAAATGAAAAATTCACTGAACGGACCTAATAGCAGTTCAGACACCGCAGAAGAAAAGATAAGTGAATGGAAAAACAAAGCAATATAAATTAACCAAACTGAAAACAAGTTTAAAAAAAAAAAAAAAAGGAAAAAGTCACACAAAAATCACACTGAGGCAACTCAACCAAACTGCTGAAAACCAATGATGAAGAAAAAAATTGTAAAAGCAGCCAGAGACAAAAACACCTGTTTCCATATAGGGGAGTCACCACTTTCTCACCAGAAACCATGTGCACCGCCAGAAGAAAATAAAACATCTTTAAATGATGAAAATAAAAAAGACCTTTAACCTACAAATCTATATCCGGTGAGAACACCCTTCAAAAACGAAGGCAAAATACTTTTTCAGACCCATGAAAGTGAAAGAATTTGTCAACAGTAGATCCGCCCTCAAAAAATGTTCACACAAGTTCACAGAAGGAAAATGATTCCAGACAGAAACTGAGATTCACACAAAGGAATAAAGAGCACCAGAAATGTAAATATGTATGTAGATAAATATAAAAGACATTTTTTCTTAATATTTTTGAAAGCCAACTGACTGTTCAAAGCAAAAATAACATTGTGGAGTTTATTACATATAAATAAAACAATCACAGCACAAAGGACAGGAGAAATAAATGTAAGTATTCGGTTGGTGTAAAAGTAGTTGTGGTTTTGCCATTTTATTATAACTTAGATAATTTAAATAAATGTATAACTTAAATAAAATGAAATACTACCTATATTTGAAAATCAAAAATAATCATCTTAAAACTTTAAGACTAATATGCAGATGTGTGCTTTTCATTCATTCTGTATTTAACAAGCACGTATCATTTTTTAGGAACTGTACTATCCTCAACAACTAAATAACAGAAAATCTTACTTAACCCTACAGTAAAAGGGCCCTTACCACTCTTGATTACAAAAGGTAAGCCAAATTCTTACAGCTGAAATAGGAGGCCAAGGATTTATTTTTGGTAATACCATCTGGAAGACAGAAAAGATTAAAATAGTAATCCAACATATAGCTGCTGGATTCCATAAATTATCATATTGTACAGAGGATAACATATAATATGGGTAAATTTATATTTTCTTTAATATCCTAAAGTTATAAAATATTTTAAATAATAAGAATGAATAAAGCAGATAATACCACCTAGTACTAAGTTATTGGCAGTCATGAAAATTCCAGGTAGAGAAATAGTTTTTCTTGTAGTGCCCATAAATTTTAAATTAATAATCAGTAATGAAACCTATTTAAATTAAAATTCTTCCCTACTTAGTACAAAACAAGGTATTGAGCAGTCTTTGAGCCCTTAATTAAATCTAGGAATGAGCGTAGGGACGTTTGGAAACAAAAGACAGGTAAACAAAGACACGCAATGTCTCAAGACAAAGTCTGGAGGTGAAATTAAACCTTTTTAGACAAGTCCAACCACTTAATGAAAAGAATGAAGACCGGTGGTTCTCTAACTTTGACTGGAGGCTAGTGGCTAACAGTGGATTAGAGGCCAAAGTCTCCCTCATAGCGCAGTAACATTTCTGAGATGTGAACGCCGCAAGACTCCCCCACCCCTTTTGTTCGCTACTGCCTCCCCATGGCTTAAAACAGCAGAAGCTCTCTAAGTATCTGCTGCCTGACTTAATAATACAAAAAGAGCACAGACAAATCAATCTGCCATTAGGAGATTTTTAAAATGTCAACAGGAAACAAAAGATTCTCAACATGTTGCAATAAATAAAACATACAATCTGCCGAATTTTAGGTATTAACTGACAATTGATTTTAAATGACTGCAAAAAAAATCTTTTGAAACATTAAAAACTAACACTTTACCAAAAAAAAAAAATCCATGCTAAAGAAAGCAACAAATCTAACATAGCAACTGAAATAATGGTCGCTTATACAAAATACTCACAAACATGTTTAAGTTTGAGCAAATGCAATTTAAAAAGTTTATCTTCATGACTATGGCTGCAGGATCCTTCCTGACTTAATTGGCACTTGACCTAATGCTCCCAAATATTTATGAATATATATATTTTTAATTTGCATACAAGTATTCTCAAGCCCACTCACTCCAGTCCTTTGCGGGAAAAAAACGAAACTTATTTCTGATCAAAGTTTAATTTTAGATGACTCACTGGACAGCCCTGCAGAGACACAGAGAAGAATGCCTTTTAGGCTAGCAGAATCCATATAACAACACAAGAAACAACAAACCAGATGACAGCTGCTGAAGCAGCCCTGTCAGGCAGTATCATGTCTCAATACGAAAACAGAACGTTACATAGAAATCAGAATTTCAATTACATAAATTTCTTCCTAGCAGGGTATTAGAATAACATTATTTATTCAGCAGGTAACTAATCAGGCTAAACTGAAAACATGCCCCCTAAATAATTAAATAAACAAAATCTACCACCACTGTGAGACAGAAAGTACTTTCAAAAATCTACAAGATCTACACAGGACAGTGATGATTACTCCATCGGGCATCCAGGTTAGTAGCCCTAAAGAAAATGAACAAATATTTGGGGTCCTAATTAGACTGCTTATATAAATGCTAACCACTTATTTAATTAAAGGATTCATACTTTCACTGCAGTCATTCAGCCTTCAGTAAGTTTAACTTTCATAAATACATAAAGATTTCACAAGTTTTACAAAAATGGCTCAAGTCATTCCAACTGACACTACAGTGATTATAACAGAGGAACTAATTCTTTCAAGCAAGCTAATAAAATGATTGTCCATCAAAGATGGTAAGCCAGATCCTGAGAGTCCAGGATCTTTCAAGAGAAAAATGACAGTGACCACAGCTTAAGGTTATCAGACGTCTTGATTTCAAAGCTGTCCTTCATACTATTATAGTAGTTGTCAGACGGTATATCCTTATTTATGGCTTAGCAAATAGCAGAGAGCATCAGAAACAGTCCTCCACACACAAAACAGTGAACTGCCAGCCTGACATGCAGTAATGTCACACGGCAAGCACATTCAGTGACTGCCACTTCCCACTCTCAGTCAGGAGATGAGGGCTTCTCTTCCTTCCTCCCAGGTCAGAGGCATCTGTAGGATAGTTAAGGAGAGCAGGGGAAGAGCCTGGACATGGTAACCACAAGCCTCCAGCTGCTCAAAATGCCCTTTATGAAGCCCCATGGACCTCGGCCTGCTCTCTATATCTCACATTCCTCTGCGGCGTGCAAAGTTAGCATATTCATTTACAAAACAGGTAAAACGAGAAATACCTTTGAAAGTTCAGCTTGCTCTACAGAAGACAGACATTAGGCTAGGACTTAGGCGTCCCCTTTTGCTTGCCTTGGCCCCAGCATCAGTGTGGGGCATGGCAACAAATAACCCGGTCTTCTTACACATGAAATAAGAGGATTCATCATCACCCTCAACCATGTAAACCCAAAGTACTCCTCTCCCTTGTACAATGCCTTGGGTTTGAAACGTTACACACAGAGTTGCCAGGGGACAGGAAATGTGCCTCAAAGACGATCTGGAGCCTCTGTTTAGAGCTTAAAAGAAATGTTTTAATAAATGGTGGTTAAAGTTCAACTTAGTTCATTTTTTTCAAAATCAAAAAGATAGTGAAATACTAGTTATGTAAAATTTTTAAAATATAATACATATGTATATGTACACACACACACACACACACACACACACACACACACACAGTAAATTACCCAGATGCCCTCCCCTACCGCCCCCTTGACCATAACTTTGTCTAGCGTGCCTACAGGCATATTACAGCTGTCTTCCAAGAAACCCGTAAGTACAAAAAGAGGGGGAATGGCACAACACATCTAAATGCTGTAATACTATGAAGCCATTCAAAAGTTGAAAGGTGCCTGCTTAGCTGCTTTCCTCTCTAGAGGAGCAGGGTCAGAACACACAGAGGCGGCCAGGAATACAACACAGGCAGAAGGTTACCTACCACAGCCTCAGACCTTCAGCTATGCCATAACCAAGCCATTTTAAGAAGTGTCTGAAGGTGTTACTAAGTTTCAGGCACATAATGTTTCTTTGGAAACAAAGTTGCCTTCCCTGATCTTTACCTCTGTCTTCTTCTAAAGCAGGCACAGCAACAGCAGTCAAGGGGGAAAAAAATTAACTTTTTCCTTCTCCCATCCCAGGGAGAAAAGGGGAGAAGCATACACATAGAGGACTTGCTCTTTTTTAGTTCTAGCTAAACAGCTGTTAAACATACAAGATATTTTTAAGTCTAGTTAAGTACTTGGTACCTATATTGAATTGCAGCATAATACTTAAAATTATCCAATGAGGCAATCATTTGGCTTTGTGATTCTAATTAAAACACTGATTATTTACATAAATTTTCCATTTAAAAATACCCAAAAGGCAAAATATTCATCTGACCAGAGACGCTTTAAAAGTTAAACACAAAAGGCCAGCCGCGGTGGCACATGCCTGTAATCCCAGCACTTTGGGAGGCTGAGGCAGGCGGATCACTTGAGGCGAGGAGTTCGAGACCAGACTGGTCAACATGGCGAAACCCCACCTCTACTAAACACACACACACACACAATTAGGCGATCATGGTGGTACACGCCTGTGGTCTCAGCTAGGGAGGCTGAGGCAGGAGAATAGCTTGAACCCGGGAGGTGGAGGTTGCAGTGAGCCGAGTCCGTGCCCCTGCACTCCAGTCTGGGCAACAGAGTGAGACTCTGTCTTGCGGGGGGGATACAAAAATTAGCCAGGTGTGGTGGCATGCATTTGTAGTCCCAGCTACTCCGGAGTCTGAGACAAGAGTCACCTGAACCCAGGAGTCAGTTTGCAGTGAGCCAGGATCGTGCTACTGCACTCCAGCCTGAGCAACAGAGCGAGATTCTGTCTCTACTAAATAAATAAATAAATAAATAAATAAATAAATAAATAAATAAATAAGTAAGTAAGTAAGTAAGTAAGTAAATTTTCTTTTTACCTCTCAAGCAAATTTTCCAAACCAGAAAGTATTCTCAGTAATGATAGTATGGATAAAGCAGGTTTCTATGACCCTTTATTACAGAATCTGTGAGTTTTTCACAATTAAAAAGTAATAAAAAGTAGTGACAACATTCACTGAACTCTTATTCTATGCCAACTTGTTCCGGTATGCCCTTACACCCACAAAAGCCCTATGCATAAGGTGGCATTATTCCAGCATGTATTGCATTGTACACACAAAGAGGTCAAGCACTCCACCACGGCCCTAAGCATGGTGGCTGAGGTGGGAAGGCCAGAGGTAGGTGGGCCCGCGCCCTTTTCCACTCTGAACCATGCCTCCAAGATAGGAGGGTGGGAAAGTGCTCAAGACACATTAGAAATTCCCCATAAAAGACAAGATTGTTGAACACCTGCAAGTGAATAAAGATAAACTGATCTCAGAGGGGAAAAAGACGCAGGGTTAGGAAACAGCACCCTGCTCGAGGACGTTCTTTCCAAACAGCCTGCTCATCACCCGTGTAAACTGGCAAAGGGGTGGCTGGGCCAAAAGACAGAGGAATTAAGTAAGAAGTCCAGGAAAAATGAACTTCACATCAAATTTTAGAGCACGGTAGCCATGAATCTTGTGAATAGCTCCCAAAAATGTCCTGTGGAAGACAACTAGAAAGCATTCTACAATCAGGCACCCACCTCCACCTGCAGCCTCCTGTGTTGTTCTCATGGGGCACCTCTGGGCTCCAGCTCCTCCAAGGCACCTCCACACTCTCTCAAGTACACTCTTCACTCTTCCCCAAACATGATTCCCCTACTGCTCTGCCTAACTCCCACTTCTCTTTCAAGTAGCAGCTTAAACGTCACCTCATATTTGGCTGGAAAATAGAATATAGACAGAGGGGTAAGTTAAGGCTAGAAAGGCAGGCTGGGTCAACAGAATGGCAAGCTAAAACATGGGATTTTCTAAAACAGCCTAAGAGGGTGACAGATAAAAGTGTGCAAGGAGTGGCACAACTCCAGTTTCATCTTTAGCTATAGCAATTAACACCATAAGGAGTCTGGATTCAATTTTGCCATTTACTAGCTAGCTACCAACTTCTGTGTCGCTTTGGGCAAATCAATTAAATCCATACCTCCCTTTCCATCTGCAGAATGGGTTTATAACAGTACTTAAACCTCAAGGTACTAAGAACAGTAAAGAGTTAATGTTTAAAATGGTACCTGGCAAATGGCAAATGCTAAATGATAGAACGAATGTGTAAGGTGGACTGGAACCAGGAGGAACCACAAATAGAGATCTATCAGTTGCTTACTGCACCAGCCCAAGCACGGGACGGTGAGAGCCCTTAAGGAGGGAATTGTCAGCAAAAGAAAGGAAGGAGATGCATGAAGAGACACTCTGAGAGCAGACTGACAGGACTTCAAAACCTGTTTCAATACGGACGACAGATAAGAGACAGCTGGATTCAAGAATGACTCAGCGGTTCCAAGCCATGGTGACTTGGAAAAAAGAGGTGACTTAAAAAGTCAGAAAAAGAAATTAAATTAGTTGATAATGTCTCCATAAATGTACCATTATTTAAAATTTAAAGACTGCTTCTTGATTTATATCAGCAGTTTCCATCTTATTAAACATATGACATTTAAAATTCTATTGAAAATAGTAAGAAAAAAGGGTACAAAATAAAAGGAAAGAAAAGGGTGTGGCTGAGAAAATTAAAACTGGCACAAGGAGCAAGTCCAGGGTTCTGGTCCCAGCTCTAAGGTTAACTCCATAACACTGGAAAAAACATGTCATCTGTCCAAAGAGCCCAGGCCCTCACACACAGGGGTAGAATCACTGTGTAGTTAAGACCTCTTCAAAATATATACACCACTCTCTCCCTCCCCCATCTCCCAAGAATTGTCCTGGGAGCCTGTTTTTTGCCAGAATGTAACCTAACCTGCTCAAGTATGCTGGGGCACGAAAAAAAAAAAAAAAAAAAGGTGACCACCCCTGAATAACCATCTCTACAATCACTACCGGCTTTGACATTATCACATCTGGCTGAGCACAGCACACTCAGGAATATAAAGCTGTCCCAAAAGCAAAGAGATAAGACCAATCTCACTTATTAAAATCTGTCTGGATAAGGTGCCCTTCTCAATATAGTGGAAAGCCTACTCCATCTTTAACATCAGCATCTTTGTCGTCATTAAATCCTCTTTAAGTCATCTGGTTTTCCGCAGCACATAATCTTAACTTCTAAGTTGTTTTAGATACAACACTTACTGAATCCCTGTAAAATACTATAACTGGATATTTTATCTCAAGTAACAATGAGATAAAATTTTTTAACATCAGAAAGGTGGTGTTTTCCATTAACCCAATAGGTACATTAATTATTTTCACTTACAACAATACTTTTTAAAATGATTTTTTGAAAGATTTAGAATATCATTACCTGAAAATGTGAGGTCATAACCTAAAAAATCTGTTACATTTCATTGCTTCACTTTTTAGACTCATTCCATCAAGTGACCTCCATAAGCATCCAAAACTACTATTGACAGAGGTTGCTCCATGTCTATGTGTCAACCTCAAATAAGACTTTGTTACTCAAAGTAATGGAGATCAGGTACGGTGGCTTACACTTACAATCCGGCACTTTGGGAGGCCGAGGCAGAAGGATGGTTTGAGCCCAGGAGTTAAAAGACCAACCTGAGCAACACAGAGAGATCCCATCTCTACAAAAACGTTAAAAATCAGCCAGGCATGGTAGCGCACGCCTATAGTCCCAGCTATTTGGCAGGCTGAGGTAGGAGAATCGTTTGAGCCCAGGAGGTCGAGGCTGCAGTGAGCTGTGATCACACTACTGCACTACAGCCTGGGCAACACAGTGAGACCTTGTCTCAAAAAAAAAAAAAAAAAAAAAAAAAGGAGACTACATCTCATAATATGAAAGACAATGTAGGAGATTGAGGACTCAAGTATGTAAAGACTGAGGGACAACAGTGGGGAAAATAACCTTATTTTATATTGACTGCAAAATATATAATTTATACAACTCCAAATATAATAATGCTAAAAATCAGATTCAGTAAATCAATTTTTAGTATAGAAAGTACTTATTTTTCTAGCTGAGTGATACCAAAGTAAAGATGTTGAGATACACCAATAAGACTTTTCCTATTTTGTACGTAAAAAAAGAGGCTTTTATTTTCCTTTCTTTTGTTAAGTCACTAGGGAAACACCTTAAGACTTTAAAAATGACCCTCAACTAACCAGCACCTAAAATGTGGGGAAGGAAGAGTTATAATACATTTCAATGAGAAGTTTATGCCAAACAAACTGGAGTTAAGTCTCTTAAAATGTAACTGAAGATTATCCTTCAGGGAAGTAACTAGCAAGGCATCTCTCCTCCCATCTACCTGGCTGCAGACCCCTGGACCAAACACCTGCTCGGGCTTTCCTCCATCAGTCACGTGCTGACTTCTGTTATCTCCGCCTCTCTCTCTCCCAGCTCTGTCTTAAACATAAAAATATGCTCCTGCCTCACTGTGAGAACAAAACCCTTCCTCGATTCTACAATCAACCTTTAACAACCAACTCATCTTCCTCTCCTTCATTCATTCAACAAACATCTACTGAGCCCCTACTATATTCTAGACTTGCACCGTCCAATGCAGTCAACAATAGTCATATGTGGCTACTGAATACTTGAAATGTAGCTACAAAGAATTAAGATGTGCTATAAATGGAAAAAACAAGATTAAGGACTTAGCAACATAAAATGTAAAATACCTCAATTTTTTTTATTATAAATTGAAATAATAGGTTTTGGAAACACCAGGTAAATTAAAATATATTTAAGTTTAATTTTACTGTTGCTTTGTACTTTTTTCTTTTTAAAGAGACAGGGTCTCTCCCTCGTCACCCAGGCTGGAGTGCAATGGTGCAAGCATAGCTCACTGCAGCCTTGGAACTCCTGGCCTCAAGCAGTCCACCTGCCTTGCCCTCCCAAAATGCTGGGATTATAGGCGTAAGCCACCACTCCAGGCCTCTTTTTACTTTTTTAAAAATGTGGCTCCTAGAAAAATTTAAATTACATAAGTGGCTTACATTTCTATTGGCAGTGCTGTTCCAGACAACGCTCTTAACATTAAAGGCATAAATGCAAAAATTATGGGCCAAATCTCAGGCCTCCTGGAGTTTGTATTTTGCTGGGCACAGAAGAATCCTCAAGCAAAAAAAAAAAAAAAAAAAACGGGAGTGTGAGATCAGAAAATGATGTGTTCTGAAGAAAAGAGCGCAGGGAAAAGAGGGACTAGTGTGGGTGGGATTCCTCTCCCTGCTCCCCTTCCCTTCCCCTCCCCATCTCCTATGACAGGGAAGGCAAATAGGTTTCCTCTCCAGTACAAACTCAAATAGATTGGCAGTGGCTGTCTGGAGCACTCACTGCTATAGAAAAGATTCCAAAGCTAACTCAAGCCTCAGCTGGAAAGCACGGCATGCTATATTTAACTGTGTCTGCACAGGCTGGGGAGCAGGCAGTAGCGCCAAGTTTGACCCAGTTCTATAAACGGCATCTCCACCCATCCATCCACTCAAGCTAGAAACCTCAATCTTATTCGCTCTCTTACTTCCACCTCCCCACCCCCTTTACCTCAATCCCCCTCAATCTAACTACATTCTGTGACTTTGGCCTCTGGAATGTCTCATGAATCCAGCTGCTTATTTCCATGCTCTGTCAAGATCTTAATCCAGAAAGGGGCCAGGGGAATCCCCTACAATAACTGCTCCTTATCCAGGCTCCATGCCCTCCCTCAGTGTATTCCCCCTACTGCTGTCAAAGTTCATGTCCACAACCAAAAAAAAAAAAAGCTCAAAATCAATACTTCACAATACTTTAAATACCCAGAGTACCCAGGTTAAGTGTTTACACCTCTCGTCTTATTTCCCACCATTTCTCTCCATCCTGTCCCCTCCATGACATCCTTTCCCTTAACTGCACCGACCTTCTCACCATTCTTCAATGGTGCTCTTCAGCAGCTCTTCGCTCTTCTCTTCAGCAACTCTTCTCTCCAACTAGCATGCTATCCCCGCCCTCCTATTTTCTCCTCCTAGAAGTCTTCAACTCAAACTTCAAGACCCAGGATCAAATGTCATGCTAAGAAACGTTCTCAGAATCTTACAGGGAACTGGTCCCCTACTCCATTCTTCCCTCAGAACACTTACCTGTCACCTAACCATGAGGATATGTTCTAAGAAATTCACTGTCAGGCGATTTCATGGTTGTGAGAACATCACTGAGTATACACTGCACGCCCACGCTAGACAGTGGAGCCTACTGCACGCCCACGCTAGACGGTGGAGCCTACTGCACGCCCACGCTAGACGGTGGAGCCTACTGCACGCCCACGCTAGACGGTGGAGCCTACTGCACGCCCACGCTAGACGGTAGAGCCTACTGCTCTTAGGCTGCAAACCTGTTCAGCCGTGCTGAATAATGAGGGCAACTGTAACCCTCATTATTTGTGCTATAGGCATGGAAAAGGTACAATAAAAATATGATATAAAAGATCACTTGTGTGGGCGTTTACAGGAATGGAGCTTGCAGGACTGGAAGTTGCAATGGGTGGGGGAGGGATGGAGGGAGGGAGGGATGGAGGGACGGAGAGGAAGAGAGATGAGTGAATGAATGCAAAGGCCTAGGACATTAAACCGTCTACTACGGTCGACTTTATAGACATTGTACATTTAAGCTACACTAATTTATTTTAAAACTTGTTTTCTTCAGTAATAAATTAACTTTAGCCTACTTTATATAACTTTTTAATCTTTTTTTAACTTTTGGATTCTTTTGTAATAACAGCTTAAAACACTGCACAACTGTACAAAAATGTTTTCTTTCTTTACATTCTTATTCTGTAAGCTTTCATTTTTTTAACTTTTTACTTTTTAAACATTTTTCTCAAAAATTAAGATACACATACACGTAAGCCAAGACCTCCTTGGGTAAGGATCGCAAGACATCACTAGGTGATAGGATTTTTGTAGCTTCATTACAGTCTTAGGGGAATACTGTCGTATATGCAGTCCAACACTGAAATGTTATTTGGTGCATGACTGTATTCTGCTCTTATCTCAACACAGCAAGCATGCTGCCTGCTAAAGCCATCAGCATGCTCTCACAATTAGTGCTTTGGAGGGAAGTACTGGTCTTATTTATTTTTGTATTCTCATAACAACAAGGCAAAGGCTTAAAGGAAACACTAAACGAATGAGTGAAAGAAGCGGAGTGTGGTCCCTGAATCCCCTACTCCAACACTCTCTGCCCAGGCTGGCCTGGGAACTCTCACGAGCTCCTAAACCCCTGCCCAAGGCTAGAGTATCTGAGCACTTCACCCTAACTGTATCAGAATGACTTCTCTGCTGACTCACCCAAATATAGGAAGGCAAGGGTGTGATAATTCTTTTGTGTTGGCACATAAAAGGCACTTACTAAATATTTATTCAATGAGTGAGTAAATGAACAGACACTGTCAGACATCTAGTTCCCCCACCTCACTTTACAGAGGGGGCGGCTGCAACCCAGAGGCTTAACAACGTGATAAAAATCAAGATTGGAACACAGCCTCCCATCTTATACCACAACTTATTTCTCCTGATGAAAAAGGTTCCCACATAGGTATTTGTCATTTTTAGGCCATTTGGTATCTGAACACTCTTCACAGTTCATGAGAATCATGGAAGGCAAAAAAGCCATGCCACCAAGTATAAAAACCAAACTAACAAATCTCCTACCTTACCTCCCTGGTAACCAGGGCTTTGCTAGTGACCAAAGTTTTGACAATCACATGCTCCTGTTCAGACTCTGGAGTCTTGATGGGTCACTCCTGCAAGATGTAGGGACAGTAAGAGACTATCCACAGTGGAGGCAGGAAAGTTGAGGCTCACATAGCAATGCATTGCACAAGTGCCAGGTGTGGGATCCGAAGCAGACTGGTCTTCTGCTGCGACCCTGGCTGTGTCCTCTGCTGCCACCTGCTTTGGCCCCTACTTATTTTTCCAGCATAGTTTCCAGCTTTCAATTAATTCTATGGGTTAACATATAGCCTTCCATTACATTTGTTTTCTGCCCAACTTGGCCAGGAATGGGTTTCTGTTGTCTGCATCCAAGAGACTTGACTTGACTAGACTTGAAAGTAAATGAAGAATGCGGGCCATCACCTCAAAAACAGGATATTTATGGGGAAAAGTGGAGAGTAATTGCAAAAACATGGGAAAATGAGAAAAGGAAAAGCAAAAACGAAATAATTAGGTAGCTCACAGAGAAGTCAATGTCTTGCTGATGTTGTTTACCTTGACCACACGAAAGAGACTGCTAATTGATAACCAAAGGCATTTTTTTCCCTGAGTCAACTAGACTACATTTCCAGCCTCCCTTGCAGTTAGCATGGCCACGTGACTAAGACCAAGCCAATGAAATGTCAACAGAAGTGATGTGTGCCACTACCACGTCTGACCCATAAAAATTGCGTGTGAAAACCTCCATGCTCTTCCCCCATTCAACAAATGCCAAAACCTAGGATGACCTTTGGACACTATTAAATTTAAAATAGGAAAAATGCCCATAGTTCAGAGCCTGAATAACTGCAGAGCAGAGCTGTTATCCCATTGTACTAACAGTCATTGGACTATTATATGGCAAGAAATTCTACTGATTTAAACCACTGAAATATTAGGTGTGTTCGTTAAACCAGTTAGCTTACCTTAGTAAATACAGAAATTACTATCTACCTAGAAATGATAACAAATAATTAAATGTCATTTCTCAGCTTGAAAACACTGGTCAAACGTATTCCAGTATGGACTTGAACTAATACAAACAAAACTACCTCCCAGAAGTTAAGAAATGTGTTTTCGGTTTTTGAGAGAGTAGACTTTTTTCTTGGAGAAGAGGTACAAAAGTAAAGCAGGGGAAAAATGATATGACTCTTCAAATCAAATTACGTAATTCCTAGGTCCACGCATGGTGGCTCACACCTGTAATCCCAACATTTTGGGAGGCTAAGGCAGGCAGATTGCTTCGGCTCAGGAGTTCAAGACCAGCCTGGACAACATAGCGAAACCTCATCTCCACAAAAAAATTTTTAAATTAGCCAGGCATGGTGGCATGTGCCTATAGTCCCAGCTACTTAGGAGGCTGAGATGGGAGGATCACTTAGGCCCAGGAGGTTGAGGCTGCAGTGCTCCGTAATTGTGCCACTGCACTCCAGCCTGACAGCCTGGCAACAGAGTAAGACTCTGCCTCAAAAACAAACAAAAAAAATTTTAAATACTTGTTTTATATATATTTCCCTCCTTTGCTCAATATTTGAGTTTAAATAAAATATACAAGTTTTTTCAGCATAAATCATGACCTGTACTAGAAATATAAATCATACCTATAATATTTCATGTTAAACCTTCCTATTTTCCCACAAATTATTATAAAAACAAAGTTATGTTATAAAAAGTGTTATCTACTCCATAGCTCACTTGCAGAGCTTTTACAAATGTAGATGATCTCCTGACCTCTAGAGTTTTGGACTTGCTAGGCCTGAAATGGGGACCAGGCACCAGCATTGTTCTGAAGTTTCTCAGGTGACTCTGATTATGGGACCCTCCACCAGAACAAGAGTTTTTAAAAAAAATTGTAAAAATTTAAAATACCAGTAATACAGTACAAAGTGCTTTAATACTTGTCATAAAAAGCCTAATTCTAAAACTATTTAGAAAAACAATGTCAACTCATCAACTGACAGGGAGATGTCTATTAAAATCTCTTCTGAAATATTTTACACGTTAATCTTCTATGTAACAAACACTCAACTGAACAATCCCGACTACATTTTGGGAATCAAGTGAACCTCAGGGTCACAATGTAAAAAAAGATGGTCTAAAATATAGCAGATTTTTAAATTACTAAGTAGAAGTTAATACTCAGAGGGGGAAAAACTCCATCTCTTAACAGCTCTTAACACCTTGAAGAGTGGGAATTGAGGGGACAGCGGCAACTCTCACTTTCTAATTTACATAAACTTGTTAATTCCGAATTTTAATATACAATTTTTTTAATCGCCACAATTCACATTTACTAGAAAACACCAAGTGCTTTCTTAAAAGCACAAGTTCCCCACCTCTAAGCAAAGATTAGCCACACTTCCTGACTTAGCACAGTGATCCCACACCTAGAGGCTAGAAACTACCCACTCCACTGCTAAGTTCCACCCACCTGCCATGTCCATCAGCTCGCCAACTCAAGCCTTCTTTTCTAAGTCTGCAGCTGCACCATGGCCGTGAGTATAATGCCGTGAGTACAATGCTTGCTACATCCTGAGCAGGGGTCAGCAAGCTTTCTCTTAAGGGGCCAGAGTGTGAATGTTTTAGGCTTTGCGGAAGATGAAGCTTCTGTTGCAATTAATCAAAACTCTTCCCATGTAGCACAAAAGCAGCCACAGATATAATACATAAACCAATGAGTAGGGCTATATTCCAATAAAACTTTATTTACAAAAAGAGGTAAGCAGACTTTAGGTCTTAAAGGCTTGAGTGGCAGCAAGATTCGTGTGAGGCATTCTGAAATTATGTTTTTTTAATGTATGTTCACATATAAAAATGTGTATATATATGTACACTTATATATTAGTATCATAAAATATATTTATTTATAAGTTACATGGGGTGTGTCATTGTCACTTTCCCCCCAACTATAACATAAGATCCTGAGGGTGGAAGTGCTGCTTCATTCACTGACAAATCTTTAGTGAATGAGCAGGAAACAAGGCCCTCAGAGAAAACACTGTCTCACTCAACTCACCTCCTGAGATCCAATCATAGATTGACAGGGAGGAAGGGGATATAAAAGAAGCAAGTTCTCCTGTTAGGAGAGTAGAGCATTTATTACACATAAAGCTCTGCCTCTGTAATCAGATGTTAAGTGCCCTCTCTTCCCCTCCCAACCCATCCCTCTCACACAGGGGACAAGTGGTAGCAATGAGGAATGGTGGCAAGACTAGTAACAATCAGGAGAGTGGGGATTCTTATGAAGAACTGCATGCTCCCAAATCACAGAGGGAGCACAAAAGGAGCAGAACTCCTCCTCTGGCCTGACCTGTGTGCTTCCACCGCCACAAGGTGGGGCGCAGAACAAGATCTCTTGCGTACCTAAGGCATATTACAGGCATTCAGTAAACAATATGATAAACAGAAAAGTCCATTTTAGCCTCAGATCTACTAACTCACTGTGTGACCCTGACCTTTTCCAAGGCTCATCTGCCATTACTGTAAAGTTGGGATGATAAGCCACTCTGACATCTCTGTGAGGTTCACGTGAGGTAACACGTGTGAGCACACTTGTAAACTCTGAAACACCACTCAAATTAAAAAAAAAAAAAAGAATTTCAAACCTGCCTATACATTGTAGATTCTCAAATGTCAGGATAGGAATATTTTAATAGCTGGAAAGCCATGTGAATTTTCCCATTAACTACTTTATTAAATAGGGAAAATCAATTTAAATGATTTTCTAAAAGTTTTCCCCACAGACCTTAGTAGGCCATTTTCATTTTGAATTTCTTGAAAATGCAACTTGTTAGCTTTTTTAAGAGTTGCATCCACTACAGTATTTATCTTAATAGTAATGCATTTAGTTCAATGCATTCTAGAAAAAAAGCAAATATGTTTTCAGAGCTAATACTTCTTAGGAGATGGCTAAAATAAGACAGCAATGTAATCCATTACATGCAAAATGAGAGCGTTGAGAGGCCCAATGCTCAGGAAAACTTTTTCAAACTTGCAGTTGTAGCATGTTCTTCAGAGCAACAAGGACAGCAGGTGTGGGTCACTAACAAGGATTTTCCAATACATTTTCCTGCACATCACTGCGTTCACTTCTTAACGCCTAAGATACTCTGGTAGCAACACTGATTTACCGTTTTAGAAGCAGGGATGCTCTTCCTCCCACATCAATTACAGTAAGAATGTTGTTTTTTTATTTTAAAATACAGATGAGGGTCTCACTAGGCTGCCCAGGGTGGTCTCGAACTCCTCAAGCAATACTCCCACCTCAACCTCCCAAAGTGCTGGGATTACAGGCATAAGCCACTGTGCCCTGCCAGTAAGAATGTTAAGACTGCTAATATTGGTTAAGGACAGGGTGCTAAAATTCCCAACTTTTTCTTGGCATCTGATTACAAATGACTACTCTTTTATATAGAGGGTGCTGGGCTTTGATATGGAAAAACTGTTACTACTGTACTCCAATGGGGAAAAAATGTCACACTGTTCATGATACAAGAGATCTGCATGACTGATGGGCACTTCTATAAACCAGACTACCCCACAGATGTATTTGCTCATTTGAAATAAACCAAATGAAATAGAAAAAAAGCACTCCCATGGAAAGACTATCCCTGATCTTCCCAGCAAAAACTGCATCTTCCCCAACTCTATTTGTTCAGATGTTTACTGTGTATCTCTCTCCATTACAAAACGAGCTCCACAAAAGCAGGGACTCTGTCTTAGTCACTACTTCATCCCCCGCACCAACATGAAATGCTTGGCACAGTAAATGCTCAAATACTTGTTGCTTATTTTCCGAAACATTCCTCATCATCTTAAACCTCCTGGCATCTAACAGAAAACACCCCTTAGTTACTAACTGATCACAAATAGTTCCATTACTTTCCGGTGTGCATTCTGTTTTGTTGAATTATTCTGCTTTCCCTATATTCGTGTTTACTCTTGCCTTCTGTAAGTGACAAGCAGGGCTGGTGTTCTAACTTTATAGTATTAATTCCCTATGAAAGCAAACTAACATATTAAAAAGTTAATAGATTTAAAGAAAACTATCAGAAGCACCATCCTGTGCCTAGGAGCACAGATTCTGCCGCCATCCTGCCCAGATTTCCATTCTGGCTCCACCACTTACTAGCTGTGTCCCTGGGGCACCTTTCTTAACTTTTAGGTGTCCCAGTTTTCTCATTTGTAAAATGGAAATAATTGCATGTCACCTCCCAGTGCCCCAGTCACTTCCCCTCTTCCTACAAATATGTTCGGTGTAGCACCTACCCAGAAAAATCTCTGCTCTTGACTGTCAGCCCCTTCACCCAACTAACTGCTGGTGCTCTCTCTCCCTTTATACCCAAGCAAGAACATCTACCACTCCACCATTCAACTGTGAGTTTTCTGCAATCTGGATTTTCTACTTAGATGTTCTACTCATCTTATCTAGAAGCAAACTAATTTATCATCCCCTACCCACCAAATGCCTGACTTCTCATTTCTACTAACGGTCCTCTCTCATGCACCCAGGCTTGGCATCATGTTTTTCGATGCTTCATCCTCACCCATGACTAATCATTCTCAAGGTTTGTCTAGGGTTCCTCAGGAAAACCCTTCTTGTCCATCTTTTCTGTTCTTACCTCATGACTCCCCACACACAGTAAGGTCCATGGGGACAGAGGCAAATTCTGAAATTGTCACAGGTCTACACCTGATACCCAGTGAAGGCTTCCGTACTTAGTAGGCTCAATTAATAAATTAATGCGTGCCTGACTTACTATAATAATCTCCAAAATGAATTCCTCACTCCAGATGCCTAAGCCTCCAATCCTTCCTGCAGTTACTGATCTTTCTTAAAATGTCCATTCTGCAACTTGTCTGTTCAGACATACTCATTAACGTATTCAATTCGGGTAATCACTAGTTATAAAGTACTACAGGTGGTACTGGGAGACAGTGAAAGAAGTGGGACAAATCCTCTCCAGGTCTTCAAAAATGTTTTATGTGCAGAAATATGCCATGTAAATATTTATAATAAAAGGTACAATCTGATAAACCTTCTAAACAGAGGTTCTCATCAGCAGGTGGCTTTTAAGAAAGAGAAGCAGAAGAAAGGAACGGGGGCATACCAAGCTGAGAGAAGGAGGTGTGTAACACCCTAAGAGCACAGAAGTATATTCAGGAAACATTCCAGGGGCAACGTTACAGGTCAACTTGTGTCCCCTCAAAATTCTATGCTCAAATCCTAACCCCAGTACCTCAGAATGTTACCATCTTTGGAAAAAAGCTTTGCTGCACACATAATTAGTTAAGATGAGGTCATCAGGGTAGGCACTAATGCAATATGACTGGTGTTATTATAAAATGGAGAAATTTAGACAGAGACAGACACACACACAGGAAGACCACCGTGTGAGAAAGAAGGCAAAGATAGGCGTAATGCAGCAGAAGCCAAGGAATGCCCAAGATTGCCAGCAAACTACCAGAAGCTTCCCACACCAACCAGAATGGGAAACATCGATACTCACCGAGCATTGGATAAACTACACAGGACTACACTGCTCCCATTTGTGAAGAATAATTATCATTAAACACTGCACTGGTCCCACCTAAAAAATCTCAGAAGTAAGACTCAAAGATCAAACTATTTCTAAGTAACCCGACTGTTCCAGAACAAAAGCCAAGAAAACTTACAGAAGAAATACAAAAATACTCGGCACCCGACAAAGTGAAAATTCACAATGGCTGGTACACAATAAAAAATGTCCAGGTACGCACAAAAGCAGAAAGACACAACCCATACGGGTGGGGGAAATCAATCAATGGAAACCAATCAGGAATTGATACAGCTGTTAGAATTAACAGAAATGGACCCAAACAGGTACTGGCCAGGAGCGGTGGCTCAATCTGTAATCCCAGTGCTTTGGGAGGCTGAAGCAGGAGGATCTCTTGAGGAGTTGAAGGTTGCAGTAAGTTATGATTGCACCAATGCACTTCAGCCTGGGCCCCAGAGCAAGACCCTGTCTCTAAAAGAAAGGGGAAAAAAAAAGACATCTCCTACCCTGGTCTATGGTTGCGGACAGTGGCTCACACCTGTAATCTCAGCACTTTGAGAGGCCAAGGCAGGAGGCTCCCTTGAGACCAGCCTGGGCAACACCAAGAGACTTCGTTTCTACTACAAATTTAAAAATTAGCTGGGCTTGGTAGTGCATGCCTGTAGGTCCCAGCTACTCAGAAGCCTGAGGCAGGAGAAGATTCCTTGAGCCCTGGAGTATGAGGCCCCAGTGAGCTACAAAAGCACCACTGCACTCCAGGCTGGGTGACAGAGTGAGACCCTGTCTCAAAACAAAAAACAGAAACAGGTACTATAACTGTACTCCATGTATTCAAATATCTAAGGGATGTCATGGAAAATATTTTTAAGACACCCAAATTGAACTAGAAATGAAAACTACAGTTCAGGCATGCTGGCTCACACCTATAATCCCAGCACTTTGGGAGGCTGGGACAGGAATATCACTTGAGGCCAGGAATTCAAATCCAGCCCGTCATAGCAAACAGAGACATAGGAAGACCCTGTCTCTATTTTAAAAAAAGAAAGAAGAGGAGGAGATGATGAAATAGAAATGGAAATAAAAACTACAATGTGAATGATAAAAAACACAAAGGGTAAAACTAATAAAAGGTTAGATAGTACAGAAAAAAGGACTAGTGACCTTGAAGACACAGCAATAAAAACTACCTCAGAATTCCAAATGAGTACTCAACAACTGAAATTGGATGTCAAAACAGAAGAGATTTTAAAAAGTTAACAGACATTCACTGAGTTCTGGGACAATCTCAAGCACCCTAATAATATACATGTAACTAAAGTTCCTGACAGAGAGGAGAACCCAAAAATTTTGAAAAACTAATGGTCAAAAATCTTCCAAATCTGATAAAAACTACAAACCCATAGATCTAAAAGTTCAACAAACCACAAGCACAAGAAACACAAAGAAAACTAAACTAAGGTACGTAATTATCAAACTGCTAAAAACCAATGATAAACAGAAAAATCTTAAAAACGGCCAGAAAAAGAGACATATTATATACAAATGAATAAAGAAGATTTTCTGTAAGAAACAATGCGAGAGAGCAGATGGTGCAGCAACATTTTTAAATTACTGAAAGAAAAAAGTGTCATTTAGAGTTCCATACCCACTGAAAATATCTGTCAAAAAAAAAAAAAACAGCAAAATAAAGGCATTTTCAGATACCTAAAAGGTGAAAGAATACATCATTAGTAAATACGCACTACAAAAAATGTTAATAGAAATACTCAGGATGAAGGAAAATGAAACTAGATGGAAATATGGACCTATACAAAGGAATGAAGACCAGAAAAGATAACGAAATGGATAAGAATACAGGAATTCTTATTTAAATCTAAGTGTTTAAACAATAATAGTAATGTAGTGTAAGGTTAATAACATATGCACAAACAAAATCTATTTTAAAGTCAGTAAAAAGGACAGTAGTAGAGAAATAGAAGAATACTATGGTATGGTCAATACACTATACGTGAAGTGATCTAATATCCTTTGGAAGTAGACTGTGATAAGATAAAGAGAAACCACTAAATTTAAAAAACAAGGTTAAAATGAATAAACCAATAAAAGGAAGAAAATCAAATCATTTAAAAATTTCAATCAATCCAAAAGCAGAATAAAAGACGGTAGGAGAAAAAGAGGAAAGGGGAAAAACAGACAACACAAATAGGAAATAAATAGCAGGATGACAGATTTAAACCAAAACATACCAATAATCACATTAAACACAAATGATCTAAATACCTCAAATGAGAAGCAGAGATTTCAGACCAGGAACAACAAGAAAAGCAAGTCAACTATATGTGTCTGTAAGAAATAAATTTCTAATACAAAGACATTAATAGATTAAAAGTAAACATCTGGGAAAAGATATATCATGCTATCAAAATTAAGACAGAATGGCTATATTATCAAAGAAAGTATGCTGCAGTCTGAAGAATATCACGAGATGAAAGTTATTTTCCAATGATAAAAGTGTCAAATCACCAAGAGAACATACTAAATCCTGAACATCTATGAACCTATTAACAGAGCTTTAAAACACACAGACCAAAAAAAATGATAAAACTACAACGATAGACACAATTATATTAAGAGATTTCAATATCCGTCTCTCAATATTTGATAGAACAAGTGGAGAGAAAATCAATAAAGATATACAAGATCTGATCAACACTACCGACCAAGTTGACCTAATTAACATTTAGAGAATATTCTACCAAAGAACAGCAGAATATACATTCTTTTCTAGGGACAAAGCAACTTTAACCAAGATAGACAACATTATGGGGTACAAAACAAACCCTAATAAATTAAAGGAAATCGAGTTATTCAAAATACGTTCTCTGGTGACAAACTAAATCAGAATAAAGTAACAGAACCATGTAAGTAAAACAAAATAGTCCTAAATAACCACAACTCAAGGAAGAAACCATAACTCAAAACAAAATAGTCCTAAATAACCACAACTCAAGGAAGAAAGCAAACAGCAAATTATAAAGCATTCTGAAAAGAATGAAAATAAAATATATCAAAATTTTTGATACAGCTAAGACAATAGTTACGGAGAATATTATAGCATTAATCATCTCTATTAGAAAGGAAAAGAGTTCTTAAATCAATGGCTTCTGCTTTTTACCTTAATACACTAGAAAAAGAGCAAATGAAGCTGGGCGCAGTGGCTCACGCCTGTAATCCCAACACTTTGGAAGGCTGAGGCAGGCGGATCACTTGAGGTCAGGAGTTCGAGACCAGCCTGATCAGCATGGTGAAACCCTGTCTCTACTAAAAATACAAAAAATTAGCCAGACGTAGTGGCACACAACTGTAGTCCCAGCTACTCAGGAGGCTGAGGCAGGAGAATCACTTGAACCCAGGGGGCGGAGGTTGCAGTGAACCGAGATCACACCACTGCACTCCAGCCTGGGAAACAGAGTGAAACTCCGTCTCAAAAAAAAAAAAAAAAAAAAAAAGGAGCAAACAAAATCAAAGTCAACGGAATAACAAAAATAAGGATCCAGAGTAGAAATCAACAAAACAGAAAAACAGAAATCAATAAAACCCCAATATCTTTCATGAACATAAGATATAAAAATTCTAAACAAAATTGTAACTATTTGAATCAAACAATCAAAATAAAGACCATCATAACAAAGTGACCTTTATTTCAGCAAACACTATTATCAGTTTAACATTAAGAAATCAATCAGTACAATTCATCAAATTAACTAAAAAATAAAAACCATGTGGTAATCTCGGGAGATGCAGAAAAAACATTTGACAAATCCAACATCCATACTTGACCTAAAACAAACTTTCATTAACTAGAAATAGAAGGTATCTTTCCCAATCTGATAAAGCAGCGGTCCCCCAAACTTTTTGGCACCAGGGACTGGTTTCATGGAGGACAGTTTTTCCATGGGGGGAGATATGGTTTCAGAATGAAAAACTGTTCTACCTCAGATCATCAGGCATTAGACTCTCATAAGAAGCACGCAACCTGGATCCCTTGCATGTGCATGTCTATGCGAGTCTAATGCTTCAGGTGACGTGAAAAGAGGCAGAGCTCAGGTGGTAGTGCTCGGCACCTCCTGCTGTGCGGCCCAGTTCCTAACAGGCCTCAGACAGTACCAGGGGTTGGGGACCCTTGTGATAAAGGACACTGACAAAAAAACTCTACAGCTAACATACTGTTTGATCCTCTAACATAAAGAACAAAACAGAATGTCCTCTTTCACTACTTCTATTCAACATTGTAGTCTATGTTCCATATATATTCCACATTCCATAGAGGTTGGAGCCAATGTAGAACGGCAAGAAAAAGAAATACATACAAGGTAACCAAACTGGAAAGCAGAAAAATTGTCTCTCATCATAGGAAATGTGATTATCTAGATAGAAAATGTGATGGAACCTACCAAAAAGCTGCATTATTAAGTGATTTTAGCAAGGTCACAGAATACAAGGATATATTTATATCAATTGTATTTCTATGTGCTAGTACTGTAACTATATATCAGAAACTGAAATTTAAAAGCCATTTAAAATAGTGACAAAAATATGAAATACTTAGGCATAAACCTGACAAAATACATGAAAAAACTGCATACTGAAAATTAGAAAAATGAGAGAAAGGGCTAAATAGATATATGTGCACGGGTCCAAAAATCAATACAGTTAAAGTATCAATTCTTCTGAAATTATCTATATATTCAACACAACCCCAATCAACATCCTAGCAAACTTTATTGAAGAAATTAGCGAACTGATTTGAAAATTCATATGAAAATGCAAAAGACCTAGAGTAGTTATAAAAACTTTGAATAAGAGGAAAGTTGTAGAATTAAGACTACCTGATTGCATTAATTATTATTAAGGCCACAGAAGGTCAACACAATATGGTATTGGTATCAGGACAAATAGATTAATGGAACAGAATGGAAAATCCACAAACAGACCCACACATATATGGAAGACTGATTTTTGACAAAGGTGCAAAGGCAATTCAGTGGAGAAAGGACAGTCCTTTTGACAAATGGTTCTACAATAAATGAATATCCATTTGCAAAAAAAAGTGATCTTTGATCTATACTTTGCAGCACACTATTAACAAACATTAACTCCAAATGGACCACAGACTTAAATATAAAACCTAAAACTGTAAAATCTAGTGGGGAAAAAAACAACAACAAACATAGGCAAAAACGTTTTTGATCATGGGACAATTATGCAAAAACTTTCCAAAAGCAGCTTTCATAAAAGAACAAATGAATAAATTAGGCTTCATAAAAATTGAAAACATCAGATCTTCAAGACACTTTTAAAGAGAATAAAAAGACAAGCCATGGACTAGGAGAAAAGCTTAGCAAATCATGTATTTGATAAAGGATTTGTATCAAATGTATAAGAAACTCTAAAAGCTCAATAACCGAAAAAAGAATGACAAAAGATTTGAACAAACACTTCACCAAACACGACATACAGGGGGCAAAAAAGTACATACAAAGATGCTCAACAACATTAATCACAGAGAAACACAATGAGATATCACTACCCAAGTATTAGAATGGCTAAAATTAAAAAGGCTGACCACCAAATATGGCAAAATGTGAAGCAACTGAAACTCTCCTGAACTGCTGGTGAAAATGTAAAACGGTACAACTACTTTGTAAAACCATTTAGCAGTTTCTTTAAAAGTTAGGCATATACCCACCACATGATTGAGTCACTCCAATGTTAGGAAATAAAGAGAAATAAAAACATATGTCCATACAAAAAGTTGTACAACAATATTCATAGCATCTTTATTTGTAATAGACAAAAACTGGAAACAACCCAAATGTGCTTCAACAGGTAAGTGGATAAACCAAAGTATATACACACAATGAAATACTACTCAGCAATAAAAACAGTGAACTACTGATAGGTATCACAACACATATGACTCTCAAAAGAACTAAAACCAGGCAAAAAGAACACATATAATCCTGTTTATATAAAATTCTGGAACAAGTGAAGTAATAAATCTTCATTATCTGACTTGTGGTAAAAGTTTCACAAGTAATACTTGTCAAAATCCATCAAATTGTATACTTTCAATTATGTGAAGTTTACTGTAGGCCAATTATAACACAATAAAGCTGTTTTAAAAACTTTTAACCCATTCAAAACCTGACTCTAAGTACAATCAATCCCTTCCCTCCACTCCACAAAAAAATCTGCTTCTCCTACAACATATCTCGTTTTAGATGATGGCAACTCAAAAACCCCTTGAAATTACTCAATACCACATTTTCATATTTTAAAAATCAAAGAAATGTCTATTTTGAAACTTGCAAACATTCATGGAGGGCATGTGTTTTTAAAAAACACATTGTGAACCACTGCTGTAAAAAATTCAAAAATCCCCCACTTTTTACAAGAAAAACTTCAAAGTCTATACTATCCACCACTTAGGGCCCTCAACAACATAGTCTCCTCTACCATCTACCTTAGTAAATGCAATTTTCGAACAGGCCCCCATCTTCAACTGGTATAGCATCTTCCACACCCTGTAGCCTTCAAACATCACCTGTTAAAATACTGCCCATTCCTCAAGACCATATGAAATACCATTTTCGCCAAGAATCTTTTCCTAGTCCCAATCCAAAAATTTCTCCCTCTTCTGAATTTCCACCTCTCTTACAGCATGGATACTCCATACTCCACCATGTCATATAGTTATGTAAAGACATATCCACCTCTGTTAAATTATAAATTCTGTATCTAGGTCCCCTCTGACTGGTTGAATAAAGCATTTCTGTAAATTTATTTTAGAATACATGTTCAGTATATATGCCTGGGGACGTGTGATTAAGAATCAAATGTTATGGTTTAATGTTGGTTTTCATTCTTTACTAGTCTGTAAGATTGTCCAGTTAGCTTGTCTAATTTTACTATGCTCTTAAATAAAGGCCAGAACAATTAAAGGGATACACTTTACAGAAAATTTAATACAAACATCTAAATTCACATGAATTATTTTTGGCATCCGTGTTTCAATGCTTTAGGGCCAATGGGAGGGACAAAAGAAGGCAAAAGAGTCCTATGCTTTAACCATCAGACACAAAAAGTGGACAGCCCTGCTTCCAACAAAACCAAGTGACAAAAAGCCAGAAATGGTGCTAGCTGGAACAGTAAGACACCAGGTCTTATTTCAAGGGAATGACACAAGCCTGCCTGGAAGCTGGGGCACTGACACACCTAAGGCCCCGGAGTCCTTGATCACTGTGACCACTTACATTTGACAACTGAATACCAGAAACATTACTTTTGCTCACCTATTCCTCACCCTAAAATGCTCTTTCTTCTTATTACTCTCTAGCTGTTTGAAACCTAAGTGATATTTAAAACCTTAACACAAATTCTATGGGCTTCCTCTTTAACCCTTTCCCAGACTCTCAATCCATTTCCCATGTCCCTATCATAAAAAGGCCTAGAATTTTTTCCCCTATACCCTTCCAGATAAATCCTTACAGCACTTTTCCATATGGTCATCTTGAATTTTTAATCTAACGTCACATGTATTTATTCTTCACCTCATGTTCCTTAAACAAAGAACTGATTTTTTTTTCTGCAGAACCTACCATCTGACAGTACCAATAAAGACTTCACATACACCAACATAACGGTACAAGCAACAGTTAAAACATCTGACTTCAATTAGAAAAGTAATAGCAGGAGGTAGTGAATAACAACCTGATCTTCAAATTCAACAGAAGAAGAACAGGGAATTCAAGTTTATGCTCTTATTTGCTAGACTACACAGGCAGTACAAGATAAATTCTGCCCAAAAGCTTGCAACATTTTATTAAATACAAACGTGTATCTTTATAAAAGGTCAAAGTCATAAGAAAAATCAAGCATGCTACTTACTACAAGGGTACTGTTTCTGATCTGAAAAAAATGATCAGTTTCACAGTTTTAGGAAACCTGTGCATAGTGCTGCTACCTGAGTTATATTTTAAGAGACAAAGCTAAAGTATTTTCCTTTTGTGTTATGAAGTATTTAAGATTTCATACAACTTAATTTCTAAAATGTAATACACATATTTTGGTTACAGTTATTTAACAGAGCAATTAAAGCCTTATTTCCACTTCTGTTCTAAAATCCGCCTGCCCGCAGTGAGTGGGAACTGCTGCAGATCATTAAACGCTCATTTATCAATGTCTCTCACCAGGCAACACAATGCAGCAGAACAGCACACAGAAACCATCCCTGAACCCCAGCAACAGCGGCTAATTAGCATAGCCTACCACTAAACCGACACCATATGATTGGAACTGTTAGTCAGGATGCTAGCCAATCAAACTAGGTTATGCAAATAGCCTATTTTAGTTGCCAGGGCAAAGCTACTTCCAATTGTCCAATAGGAAAACAAGCAATAAACAAGAAATGAAATTGAGCTTTGTCACATTTTCAACTTGCTGTTAACACTTTCACGTTTAGAACAAAATTAACACCAACTATAAAAGACTAGAAACATATTCTACTTTACTCCAAAGGCGATCCCATGGAATAACATGCAGAACACAGTTAAAGTAGTGCATTTGTTGTAATTTTAACTTTTTACTATATAGACATGTGAGTTTTTCTAACAGATGCTGCCATCAACATTTCAACTTTTTTCCCCACCTACTCAAAAGCATTATGTAAATGTCTTTCTATACATTAAAATAGATTCTCAAACATTACATTTTAGAGAAATCACACAAAGCATGTTTATTCTATAATGGAAAGACTAAAGAGGTGGGCATAACAGAAAGCGTGGCTCACTGAAGTCTCAAGTATTCCCAGGTGGAGGAAAACTAACATTTGGTTTATTACGACAAACTTTAATATATAGCTTCAAAAATAATTTTAAAATAAAACCCAATTAAGTATTAACCTATAGAGCTTAAAATATGAAGACTGAGACCAAGTAAATAATACTCATATCTGGGAACCAAGTTCAGTTAAGATGTAACTGTAAATAAAAGACATTACATTCATATGCAAAATGTCTAATAATGAATAAAACATTAAAAACTTCAACTGTGTCAGTACATACTAACAGCTACAAAGATAGTTTTAAAGAACATCAGTGTTCTGACAATTCTGAGTGGTTGAGAGTTTCTTTAATCTCACATATTCAGAGAAATGCTTTGAAACATGTCAAGGAGACACAGTTCCCATTTGTGCCTTATAAAAGATACAATTTTATTTTAAAATAGATCAACTTGTCCCACCTAGCCTAGCAATTATCTCCTCCTAAATAGAGTACAGATTCATTCCACATCATGAAAAATTTCATGATTTTTAGATATTTTTCCATAGAGTGTCTATAAACGTCTCCAGAAAGACGTCTAGCATTTGTAAAGTATATTTCATTAAGACAGAGTAGATTTCAAGCATCAGATTCCAAGAGAAGAGCATGCTGGTCCTATCCCTAACACTACAATTTCTCTTCTCCTGAAGCCACTTTTCCACCATCTCTAAGCACCCATCACCCACACCTGTCCCTTAATTTCTTCCCATGTTCTCTCTACTCAGGAATTCTGGAACCCGTTAAAGTCCAATGAAACCAAGACTGGAAAAGTCAGGTTCTAAAAGTCAGAAAAAGGATCAATAACTCTAAAACTAGAAGGAAACTTAAAAATAATCTAATATTAACCCCCCCATCCTAGAAACAAAGAAACTATATTTTTAGAAACATAATGCGTAAGATCCCACAGATAAAAAGCAAAGCTCTCGCAGAATCCATGAATAATCAATATTTTAGTCACACATCAATGTCTCTTGGTTTCTTGTCCATATGAAAATTTGTTTAAATGTAAGCTTTCATGAGATTAGCTCAGGATCATTCACGATACTATCATCTACACACTACGAGTCAAGGCTTAAGACAGGTTTGAAAATCACTGTCGAAACCAAAGTATTTAATCCATTCCCTGAAAGACTCAATCTCAGCCCTTTAAACTTCACAACTTTTGGTACATTTTTGAACTACTTGGAACCTGCATTAGCCTCCTTTAATTCCGAAGGATAAAGGTAAGAGAGAAATAAAAGGGAAAGATTTTAAAGCCAATTTCATTCATACTCTTACTCATGAATCTTTAATATTTTGGTTTGTTCTCCCAGGTTCTTATTCCCTCCATATAGATAAAGCAATCCTAACTCAGCCTGGGCATTTTCCATGTCAAGGGACTGTTTCCTGGTCCACCTCTTAAACATTTTTTGTATCACAAAACTTTCCCCTTCTTGAAAGGGACAAATATTAAAAACTTGGCACTCCTACTTTCCTTTGGGGACTAGAGACATAAGGAAACATCATCTGCCTAGTGACAGATGCTCTGGGATAATCCTCAATTTAAATGTTTAGCTTAGCATCAGTTCTTTTTAAAGTTACTTAAATTATGGAGTTTAGGAAAGTACCAAAAAGTACTACTTTTAGAATCAGAAATTAAACATTAAACATGTTTTAAAATAGTTAACTTACTAAACTAAAATCTTCATTACATATATATATATATATATATATTTAGAATTCCTAGTAAAGAAAGTAAGTTTTCTAAGTATACAATTAATCATTAACTTTTTTTTTTTTTTTTAGATGGAGTTTTGCTCTTTTGCCCAGGCTGGAGTGCAATGGCGCGATCTCGGCTCACTGCAACTTCCGCCTCCTGGGTTCAAGCTATTCTCCTGCCTCAGCCTCCTGAGTAGCTGGGATTACAAGCTTGCACCACCACACCAGACTAAAACATACAATATACTGATTACATTTTCTCCCCTATAAGAAATATTTTTAGAATAACTGTTAACTTTTTTTTATCTGCAGTTAATGATGCTTGAGACACGGAAACAGCCTCTATCCTCTCAATGTGTAATAGCCATTATTATGCCCAGTAATGTATTAGCCAAGATCATCTCAAATGACAAATCATACCATACTAACAATTTTATATTTTAGGTAGAAATAGAACACAGCTTTATAGTTTTGAAAAATATCAAGTGGATAAAATTTTTCAATTTGAAGCCATCTTATTTGGAAAAATATTCAAAAGTCTGGCATGACTACCTTGGTCAAGTTTTTAATACCTCATTCTCTAAAGTGAGGCTGCCACCACAGTTTTGCTGGACATCTTTCATAAAAACGTTAAGCCAAGTAGATATTTCTATTCTCTAACCTAAGGGCAATCCTGCTTCTTTTTTGTCCCCTACTTCTCATTAAGACTGTTTATAAAGCTAGAAGATAAACTGGTATTTAAATCTGGATTACAGACATAAATTTTTAACTACTGGACTATTGGACTATTCTTTACTCTTCTGAATCAACTAACTCACATTTGGGTAACAGTGCCATCCTCTTCCTCCCTCCCTTTCCCAGAACAAAAAAAAAGGCTCCTAGAACCTTATGAAAATTCAGTAGTATATGACAGTATACTGTCATATACTAAATATACTTTTGCTCCCTCATTTAGGTATCATGAAAACATAAAAGTTGACTTAAGATTTTATTCAGCTAAAAGTTATAATAGTATATTGTCAAAACAAAAAGATTCTTGCAAATTAACTTTAGGGTTTAAAAACTGGTTTTTGTACTGTACTTATCCAGACAACAAAATAGTACAGTAAGTGTCACCTTTCTTAGCAACTTCATCTATACAAACTACATAAAGTATTTTTGTATCAATTTCTTGCAAATTAACTTTAGGGTTTAAAAACTGGTTTTTGTACTGTACTTATCAAGACAACAAAATAGTACAGTAAGTGTCATCTTTCTTAAGCAACTACATCTATACAAACTACATAAAGTATTTTTGTATCAATTTCTACGTCATATGAAAACAAGCAGACTTAAGTTTAGGGGGTATAGCTGGTCTAACTTTTTAAAAAAATGAACATTATGAAAACTTCCCTTTCAAGAACCTTGGTGGGAAGCTACTGCAAGGGGTAAGTAGTCATCCTCAAAGCAGCTGAAGCCCAGGTGACAAGGAAAGGCCCTGTGCCTGCTCACAGGAGGTAATGGGTAAAACATGTGGAACAAGGTCAAGGACAGAAGAAACAGTGCTTCCAAACACCCGGTCGAAACCCAAAGTCACAAAAGGCAGGGAGTGAAGTACAGGTGCTGACTTTCAATAGAGCCTCATCTCCAATGGGCAACTTCGCAGCTCACTAAAGCTAGGCATTGCAGGAAATGTTTACAAAGGCCAGGAAGGCCACCCAGCTCTTAAAACATACTACCAGAATTCATTGGTAAAAAGAGAACCAAGGATAGCTACAATTCAAGTGTGACTGAAAACAATCCTTTAAAACTAACAGCAAGCGAAGGAGCCAACAGCCACCCCAGCAGCTCAGTTTTCCCAAGCTGGGAAGGAGGGTGCTTCTAACAAGAAAATCTAGAACACTGGATAGAGTAAACATATTGTTCTTATCCTCTATATTCCTCTATATCATCCATAGAAACAAGCAGTGAAAGATCACTAAATAAAATAAAGCATGGGATGGAGACATACCAGTGAACCAAAGATTTTGTCAGTTTTCTGCAAGAAAAGGCAACTGGGATAATACCAATAATTTAAGGAATGTCAAAAAGATCTAGGAACCAGAGCAGAAGTGGCAGATGCCATTCTGGGTGGTAAAGAAAAACTGGAGTAGAAAGAAGGGGAGAGACTGGCTTGATACTAAACAACTATCTGCCGCATGATCAGCCTCCGCCAGTGGCTCTAAAGAAATACCTACTCCAGTGAACCTACTGAGTCCCAGCCGCTCAAACACAAGTGAACAGTCACCCCAAGGGTGAGGCCAAAGAAATGCCTGTGAGGATACCAAGCCACCTGCACCAGGACTAGACACGCCAAAACCACAAGTTCAAACTGCTTAATGAGGCCTCCTCAACCTGGCAAGCAGAGAAAGAGAATCTTCCTGCCAGGGCTCACACTCGCTAAATAAACTGAAGCCTGCCTGTCAGTCCACATGCCTCACCCACAAACACCAAGTCTGCACTCAGTCCTGTCACTTAGGAGAGAGGCAAAATGATGACAGAGGACTCTGGCTCTTGAGTTGGGCAACAAGGGTTCCCAGGTATTTGCGCGGTGCATGGAACAAAGGTGAAAGTAAAAACTATCCTAGTGCAAGTTGAACACATATCATAGAATTAAATCATCTTTTAAAATGTACCAGACCTCAATCCAGTGGTAACATTTCTCCTATGACTGGAACGACCTCAGTGACACAGTATCACATCTCCCTCTCCATGAGTCTTAATACACTATGTTCTTCCAGTATAGTTCTCTGTTTTCAATATTCAGAAGATTCTAAGACAAAAATAAAGGATTCAATTAAGTGAAAGAAAGATGTGTAAGTGAACATACCTATATACAAGCTGGAAGTAACTGGTGGGTAACAGCTGTGAGGTAAAAAGAAATATAAAGGGCTCTAAAGCTCTCATTTCAAATCTTGAGAAATCAAGAGAAACTGTCTAAAACTGATGGCCAAGAATGAGGTTTAAGTTAGTTTTATAAAATTTTAATAATAATCAACAGAAAAACTTTAAAAGAGGATCGGGAGAAACTGGATGGAAAAGAGGTAGCACTGAGAGCTATCTGGTTTCATTTTTCAATAGTTTTTTAAAATACTAAAACACAGCTACAAACATACTAATGTATTAAAAATCATGGAGGCAACCAAGAGAAGAATTTTAAAACGGAAAATAGTAAAAGGGGTTACCCCTGTAAGTGGAAACGAGGAAAAGGAAAACTGACATTTCGTTCTTTTACTTCCAGAATGGATTAAATTTTATTAACATAAGCATGTAAATTGACTGATTAATGCTTAAAAGAACAAGTCTGAATTTAACAATATCGGCTAAGCATGGTGATTATGTTTTGGATATGTGTCCCCACACAAATCTCACGTCAAGCTGTAATTCTCAATGTTGGAGGAGAGGCCTCTTGAAAGGTGATTGGATCACAGGGGCACACCTCCCCCTTGCTATTCTCACGATGGTGAGTACGTTCTCGCGAGATCTGGTTGTCTAGAAGTGTGTAGCACTCCCACTTCTCTCTTTTCCTCCTGCTGGGGCTATGTAAGACATGCCTGCTTCCCCTTCACTCTCTACCATGACTCTAAGTTTCCTGAGGCCTCCCTAGCCATGCTTCATGTATAACCTGTGGAACCGTGTACCAATTAAAACTCTTTTCTTCATAAATGACCCAGTCTTAGGTTTCCTTTATAGCAGTGCAAGAACAGACTAATACAAATGGCCTGAAGAATACTACTACCACCAGTAGGAGAGGAAAGAGCTGGCTGCAACCAGTAGGTTACAAAAACAGCAAGCACTCAACAATGGTTTTTAAGCTTTGGTAACCTTCTACAAAGCAGACCTGGATTTGCGTTAACAACATAAATATTTACATCTCGGTATCTTTTTGAGTATCTGATTCCATGGAGTATATTTTGTGGATGGTTTATAAAAATTAAAATTAACTTATTTGTGTTTCTCTCTAATGTATATCCATTAGCAATATGGATCTCTACACTTTTTTAAAAGACTAAGGAATACAGAGGCCAAACTAAGAAGGCACCATTAAGTAGCCTGGTATTCACCACCAGAGAGAAGAGGAGAAAGAGTGCTTAAAGAAAAGTAAAATCTTGGTCGGGCACGGTGGCTCATACCTGTAATCCCAGCACTTTGGGAGCCCAAGGCAGCAGGATAACCTGAGGTCAGGAATTCGAGAAAAGTAAAATCTTAAATTTCACCTTTTGAGGAGATGATCTACACTATCCAAATCTTAAGCAATGATAACTTTTTATATCAAATAGTTTTAGTTTTCCTATCAAAGAATCTTCTTACACTAAGCCAAAATTTATTCAAAACTTTTTAAACAATGGCCAAATCTATAATTTTCTAAAAATACAAAAAACAAATCCCATCAAATTATTCCTAGAGTGAAATTATTTCATTTCACTTTGAATCTACAATTCAAATCATTATCAATAAATACATTCTTCACAACTCCTATTTGCTTGTTTAAGAACACATGTTCCTTTTAAAAGCAGTGATTACATCTAAAAAACTTTCCAGAAGAGCTAATACAGATAAGCTTACTGTGCCTGATAAAAACCAAAGAGTAACTCATTTATGAAGCCCTGGGAATCCCTTTAAAAGGAGATACATATTACACTACATAAAAGGTCATCACCATCAACAGACTGCTGATGGGTTCATTCTCATTTGTTCAACACATAGATTTGAGAATCTGTTATGTTTGAGGCATTACACTAATAAATAAAACTTAGTTCTCCCATACAAAAAGTTAAAGCTCTTGTATAAAACGACACCATGAACAAAAGGCAAATGCAAACTGGAAAATGTACCAGCAATAAGTAACAGTAAGTATCCCTAAAATCAAAAGCATGATCATTAAGAGGAGGGACTCACAGGCCCTGAATTTGCTCCCCAGCTCCATCCCTTACTAGCTGTGTGACCTGGGGCAGGCTACCGAACCTCTGTCTGGGTCAATCACAGTACCTGTACCAGAGTTATCATTAGGAGTAAATAAGTTAATACCTGTAAATAATTTAGAATAGTCATTGGCATCTAGTAAGGGTTCAATGAGAAACTTTGGTAAATTAAGAAAAAAAATTAAAACCCCAAAGAAATATCAACAAAGAATGATAAAAGGAAACTCACAAAAAACATGAGTAACAAACCCCCCAAAAAACATACTCGGTCTAATATTCAAGCAAATGTAAATGTAAATATTGAGTTATGTTTTGTCTATTGAATTGGCAAACATTTTAAAATACCTAGGATCCTAGGGTGCAGAAAAATTCTGATGTGCAGCTGGTAGAAGCATAAACTGTACTTTAAAAAGGTATTTGAAAATAATGTATCAAAAGGCTTTAAAATGTACATATGCTTCACCTTAACAATTCCAACTTCTAGGAATTGAACCTAAGGCAATAAATAAAAAACAAACAAAAAACACGATAATAGTATCCACTTAAACATTGTTCATGAACTAATTAGCAAAAATGGGGAACCGTTAAACATTAACTAATTCGCAGAATACTGATTAGTCATTTAAAACAGTACTATAGAAGAATATTGATGCTGGAGAATGTTTAAATTTTAAAAGCACACTAAAAAGTGACTAAAGGCCAAGACGGTGACTCACACCTGTAATCCCAGCACTTTGGGAGGTTAAGGCGGAAGAATCACTTAAGGCTGGTCTTCAGCAGTTCAAAACCAGCCTAGGGAACACAGCAAGACCACATCTCTACAGAAATAAAAATAAAGAAGTTAGCCAGGTGTGGCAGCACGTGCCTGCAGTCCTAGCTACTTGGGAGGCTGAGGCAGGAGGATAGCTTTAGCCCAGGAGTTCAAGGCTGCAGTGAGCCATGCTTATGCCACATGGCATTCCAGCTTAGGCAACACAGCAAGACTCTCTTAAAAAAAATCTGCAAAGCAAATTTCAACAAATTTTCTTGAGTTATATTGTTAGTATCTGTTAAGTTTCATTGCTTTAGTTCTTCTTCAGAGCCTCCTGTTATTTGTATGTTGAAACTTCCTTGCCTGTCTTTAGTAACTGTCGCTTTCTCTGGAATGCTTCATTTTTCTTCATTTCTTCTTGGTTATTCATCTCTTTTTTTTTTTTTTTTAGAACCGAGTCTCGCTCTTTAGCCCAAGCTGGAGTCCAGTGGCGCTATCTCGGCTCACTGCAAGCTCCGCCTCCCAGGTTCATGCCATTCTCCTGCCTAAGCCTCCCAAGTAGCTGGGACTAAAGGTGCCCGCCACCAAACCTGGCTTATTTTTTTTTTTTTTTTGTATTTTTAGTAGAGACGGGGTTTCACCATGTTAGCCAGGATGGTCTCGATCTCCTGACCTCGTGATCTGCCCGCCTCGGCCTCCCAAAGTGCTGAGATTACAGGCGTGAGCCACCACACCCGGCTGGTTATTCATCTTAAACAGTTTTTTGAGAAATTTTATATTGTGTTTTTCACTCTGTTTAGGTTTCATTTTTTAAATTATCTTTTACTTCTCTTTCCTGGGTTATCACCACTTTTCTGATTTTTCCTTATTCAGATTTACATTGTGCTTTAGTGTTTGTATCATTTTCTAAATTTCTCTGGGATTATTCTGAAACAAGTTATAGTTTCATTTATTTTGTGGACATTTCTTTCTGGCATGCTTTCATTGTCTGCAGTAATAATATTCGGCTCCTTATGCTTTTCTCTTATAAAAACTCTGTGGGGATTTTGACTATGATCCCTGTCCACTGCTCGTTTTTATGTAAAATAAAAAACTTTGGGGAAACTGGAGTAGCTTTTCTGACTTCAATAAGAGTTCTCTTCCCTTTTCATGAAGGATCCCAAAATATAGACTCATGAATAAGATCTCCTGTGCTTTTATCTTCTCCCACTTTCATCTGACATTTTTTCCTTTGCCCTCATTATCTCCATCTTGTTTAATGTGGATTCTATCCCCAGCAGTGTCTCCTTGGTGTAGGGCTTTGACTGGGAATGGAGCTTAAACTGGTTTTGAGAGTTCATGGGGACCACATGACTCTAACCCCCCTTCAGAACTTATTGTGTCCTCCAGGGAACTCAAAACTATCTCCAGTTCCAGCTGCTCTTCTCAAACATAATTTCCGCAAGTCTCTCACTGCAGTGAGTCTCCTCTGTTGGTTATCTTAGGGTTCTCCTATTCTCAGGTCCATCAGACACCCTCATGCCTCCTTCTGCACAAATGCTGATACCACACAGGTCTTGCTATCAACATTCACTCTCACCTACTTACTTGTATGTGAGTCAGTGGGGATACTGTTCACCTAGTCTTGCAGATGCTGAATGTGACGTTTTGGTTTTGCTGAGCTAGTTACTCTGTCTCTTCTAGAGGAAAATGGGAAAATTTTAAAACTATGTTCTGTTGTCATCTTCCTAGAACTTAGACATTCTTTCAAGGTACACTTAATAAGTATACCTAAAATCCAAAATCATGAATATAAATGTATTTTCTTTTACCTGGGTCTTAAATAGACACACTAAGGTAAAAAATTCAATTTTACAATGTGGCTTACCTCAGATTTCCCATCATTTTTTCTATAAATATCAAATGCTTTTTCATATGACACATACATAATGTAATCATTATTAATTGCTTCCACTTAGAAACATAAATAAAACTATGAAACATAAAAAGCAATGGAAAATAATAAGAAACTCTTAAAACCACTTGAAGAAATGTATTAAAGCAAGCATTAATATACTTATTTTTAGGCATTAAAAATGCCATTAGGATGCCAAAAATTATTCTTTTTGCATTTGCTGAGCACTTCCTGTGTCCCAGAAATCCTGCCAGACAGTCACAGGGCACACAAAGAGGATAAGCCTTAACCCCCTGACCTTCAGGAACTATCGGACTAGCTGGACATAAAACTGGTAAACAACATGTGCAAATGCCATAAACGTATTAAACAAAAACTACTCGCTAGAAAGACAGACTCCAAACTATTAGGAAAAGGGGAGTGGCTGTCTCTTTTTACTTTATGCATTTCTAAAGCACTTATATTTCCTCCACCAAGTATACAATACTACTTCATTTGTTCCAAAATAAGAGATTCTTCTTTTTGCCTGTTGAAGATTTATTTTAACTATAATACTCAATGCTGAGAAAAATAAATTAAGAGACATTCTTGTAATGTACAGAGTGGTACATATTACCAAACAGCTTTCTGAAAAGTTGCATCAAGAGCCTGAAAATTTTTCAAACATTATGACTCCTAGGAATCAATTATAAGAAAATAATTTTACAGCCAAATACTATGCACAGGTATTAGTGCTTTAAAAAACAACTTAATGCCTAAAAATAAGAGATACCTAACTTAACTAGGAAATAAGCATACTGTAAAATAAATATCTAAAGTAATTATCTTCAAAAGCATTCTGAGTACCCTGGATTTGCTCCAAGTTCAAAGTAACAGCAAATCACTATGGTTAGCTTTTGATGATGTAGGGCAACATTTATGATATGTTAGTCAACACGAGTATAAAATGGATCTTACCCAACCACATCATCCTGAATATTCAAAATGACCTCAATTAGTTAAAAAAATGGCATGAAAAACAACTGGAAGGGAATGTGCCACACTGTAGGGGACACTAAAACTTGGGATATGTTTCCTTATACTTATCTATATATATTTATACATTTCAGAATTCTTTCAGTGATTTTGTATCATCTAATAAACAAAAAGTAAAAACATGAGTGCAAAAGCAAATCCACTATCTTTTTAACTTACTAGAAAAATAAATTTATTGAATCAGTAAGAAAAAAGTCAAACTGCTTGGGTTGAGACATGAACGAAAGCTAGAGAAGGAGACACAGACAAAGAAAAAGATCAGACACACACGACCACGACAACAATTCCAAGGGGAGGCAAACTGGTGACAGCTTCCTAAATATTACAATCTACATGCCCTTTCATTCTCCTAGTGTACCCCACATATGATGGGATTTTAAAAGTTGGGGTTTTGTAATTTACAGATCTGATTTCTAACTCTTGTATAATGAATACACCCCATTTGTGATCACTGGAAATATGAAAATTTTGTCCTACAAAATTCACATTTTAAAATGAGTTAAGAGAATCCAAAATTAAAACTCTGCCACAAACGGTTTTAAGTACTTAAATTCATATATATGAGTATATATATAGTGTATGCATAAGAATTATGACATAGACAATATGAACAAATCAGCACATTTAAAAATAAATTTCCATGTTTATTCATCCTCAAAAAGTGATAGCTCTGTATGCTTTGGAACTATTCCACATTTAAAAGTGACTAGTATATCACTATTGTTTAAAAAATTTTAGTTGTTAAAGAAGTTCATTTCAACAAAACAAAGAATGGCAGCCCCTTCTATTTCCAACATGATTTTCCCAAATCATGGTCCACAGGATGTTATTAATAGGTATAAATCAAAAATAAAAGGGAGGGGAGGTCCCTTAATCAAATAAACTGAAGAAATGCTGGTTTACACAGGTTTCTTTATATAAAAGTCTTTATGTTCATATACATGGTAATCTCTGAGGCAGTACTTTTTCCAAATCTAATCTGAGAAGTCATTCTACACCTTAAATAAACTGAATTTGGTTACTTGTGATTCAAAAGGGCAAAGAGTGGTTGCTAGGTTCCCCAAATGATGTTGTGTTAGGGTAGAATGGTGTCACTCATTACTAAGAGGACTGAATGGGGGAGGAGGAGGGAATATGCGGGAGAGGCATCCAGAAAGCAGTTACCTGAGTGTGGAGCTCGGAAGAGAAGAATGGGATGCAGAGATTTTGGTAACCTCTGCCTACAGGTAAAGCCATTACTGTCAATGTCATTACCCAGACAGTGCTCTCTACTTTCTCTCTGCATGCCTTGAATTCAATAGGTGAGTCTTAAAACTTTATCAAAAACCTCCACTGCCTCATTTATTTGTTATCCATAAGCTCAGGGATCCTTGTATGCAGAGCAGCACCTATAATAGTACCTGGTACAAAGCAAATGCTCACCAAATAAATGTTTGTTAACAAATCATTTGTTCTTCCAAAAATCAAAAGAAAATCCAAATGTACTTCATTCATGTTCTAACTGTATTTTAAAACATGCAAAAAGATTCTCAAATTAAGTAAGTACAGGAACACCTATAGATACATGAACTAAATACATCAAAGTCTGACTTTGGCCTAGTGTTCAGTAAAACTATTTTTTTCTCTCCTCCCACCAGCTTTATTGAGTTATAACTGGAAAATAAAAATTGTGTATATATTAAGGTGTAAAACATGATGTTTTGATACACATATACAAAATGAAATGATCACCACAATCAAGCCAATTAACATATTCATCACCTCACAAAGTTACTCTGAAAACCTACTCTTAAGTGTTCACTTCTGAAAGGCCCATCAGCCAAGGCCTACTTCAGTGTCCTTTCCAGCATCCCTGAACCTGTGCCTCATCAAGGAAAAGATGAGAGTAAGTTACCACATCTAACCAACAGAACAAAGCCAGTACCATGAACAATGCCAGAGGGTAAAAACAAGGCCCAGAGAAAGCAGACCACTTGCTTTCAAATGTCAGGAAGCATTCTCTAGAAACAACTTTCGGTGAACATCTACTCATTAGTTTTAATGTGTTGAAATTCTATCAGTCGAATAAATGTGTGCATAGTAATACAAGACCAAACTGCTACATTAATTAATGATGATTCTGAAAGCTGTTAATTTTATGTTCAAAAACAATTGTTAACTTTCAAACTATTAGAAAGGGAATACACCAACAGCTAATATATTTATTAGACAGCTAGATCTTCTTTCCTGGGTTTTTTCCTCTGTAAGCCAATAAATGCTGACAATTTTTAAAGAATACAAGGCTGAATAAGAGATTGGATTTTATCATAAATCTAATCTGTAGAATTTTCTTGTGTTCTAGCATTCATAAAATTAACTAGATAACTATAAACTGTATTTACTCATTAGTTATTTCATTCCATTGAGACCATAAGCCTTTCAAGAAAAAGAGCTATTTGGAAACCCTCCATGTCTTGTGAGGATAAATAGAAACTTTGTAACTCCAAAATTTCACGAGAGAAAATCTCCAAAATCAGTAATATTCATAGATAAATCTATGAGATACCCCAAAAATACTTTGTTCCTCTACTGACCTCAGTCGAAAGTGAGCATCTACTTGGTATAGCCAATGTGCAGTATAGCGCCCAAGGAGCAATCCAGGAGCTGACAATGCTGAGAAATAGTTCCTGCACCAAAAGGTCAAACTTATAAAATCTGACAACAAAAAAATGTGCATAAAATTCTAAAAATGTTTCTGTAAATATGCCTATTTGTTTTTCTATGATGGTGATATTCAGCTTCAGCATCACGTTGCTTTTAACAATCAGCGAGCAACTCAGCCAGAATGTGTACCTGGCATACTTCTAATATGTACAGGCAAACATACATGTGCAAGCCTGTGTGCATGCATGATAGATGCGTAACAGAGATGATTGCTCAATCACCTTTGACGTAAACAAGAATTAACATCGGTCTTAAAATGGTGACTTCTACATGAACGTGAAGTATTATATACTCTCTAATTTAATTTATAAATATATTCAAGCACATTTCTTCATACAAAATAGTACACCGAAACAATTTTTTAAAATCTTAAAATCATAAAATGATGATTTTTCCCCTAGACAAAACCCAGATCGCCAAAAATAAAAACCAATCACAAAAACTACACCAATGATATAATTAGGCATCTGTTAGGTATCAATTCAAAATTTATATAAATATTTCTTTTCCAGTTAGCAATCACATTTTCAAACAGTTTATAAATATAATCAAATAAGGCTCTCTGACAGAGTTTCAAATGTTAAGTCACTTAGTTCAACAAAATGCCTTATAATATGCCTAATTTAAGAACATTTAAGTTCAAAAGTTATTAACACTTTATACATTAGCTGCACTACATTTTCAGAAATTTGAACATAGCCATGTGTGGAATAGCCTCCAGTTTCCCATGTAAAAGATCACCTCAATTAATTATAGAGCAATCAAAAAATATTCTTTCAAAAATGCCTTCACACTGCTTCTTCTGTATAAAAATACAAATGACAAAAGGATAAGAGGGGGAGGGTGGGAAGAAAGGAAATGGGAGGCAGGGATATTGGGAACAAGGAAAAAATAAACAAAATCCCAGAGCATATCTTTTTAAGAAACCGTATGTATGGGTATAATATCCTTAACTTGTCAGTCTTTTTGATGATATCCTACTAACATCTACTCCCATAAAAGATCTGCCATATTCTAATAGAGTTCTGGGGGAGACATGCATTCAACCATAAAGGTGACTGTGTTATTTACATTAACAGAATTATTCCAATTCCCACCAAAATATTAGCTCTTGAAAAGCCTAAGTGCTAGCATTTACTATGCTGTATTTGTAATAACACCACTATAAATCACTGATTATCAATCTGAGTTCAAAAGTAAGTTTAACAAATAGCCCAACTACCTTTGCATTTACTGATCTACAATTCCCCCCACTAACTGCTATTTATCAGAAACCTCCCCCATTCAAAATAGACCATCGATTCCCACATTCTCTTAGCCAGAGTTTTACTGTATTTCAAAACTTGAGTCACCTGTATGCATCGTCTTCTTTCAAGTCTCATATCATCCTGATGGGGTGGGGGAAGGGAGGGAAGAGTCCAGCGGCAAAACTATAACACTGTGTGAAGAAAAACAGATTATGATAAGAGATAATGATGCAAGACAATTACCCCAACTGAGGAATATCTAACATAACTACAATCCCAAAACATAAAGAATAAAATTACTTCAAATTTGCAAAATTCATTTTCTAACATTCAAACTTAAATTTTCCTTAGTCTTCAATAATCAAAATCAACTATATATAAAATATATTCAATTGTCAGAGAAAAAAAAAACAGTTTCAAAATGTGCCTATTACCACGGAAAATTTCAGGTATTTTCTAGGTATCAAATAAACCTGAATATTCCACCATTTACTTTATCTGGGGAAAAAACTCCACATTTTGTAATTTTCATCAGTTCACAAATCAAGAGGAACACGAATTCACTTTCATAGTAGTTTACTATTAAGACAGAGGTAAAGTTACTTTATAGGAAAGACAACATGTCAATCTACCAATGTTATTTGTAAATTAAGTTCTGAGACATTTCTCACAACCGCTCCCCCAAGTCCACAAGCCCTCTTGCTCTCCAAGTGGTTTCTCTTATTTTATTGTAATTCTTTTACAGTACTTCCTACTTATTGCTTCCACTGATAACTCATGGTTGACCAGAAAAATTCATAATGACTTACAGGAAAATGAAAGTAATCTCAGTGTTGTCAACTGATAATCAGCAGAAGAGGTAAAGACAAGTACAAGCTAAAATCTAACTTCTAAAGGAGTTGAGTGAAAACTTTATGTTTTAAATTGATACTATCGAATTTAATTCAAGGAATATTTTAAATAGAACAATGTTGCATATGTTGGCCAAGTTCCTAGGTCAGCCTCATGAAAACTACTGACTCCAAGAGATGTTCCTGGTCAAGGGCACTGGGGCCGCTGCAGAAGAAATACCAAAACTTCTTCAATTCTACATCCTCCAGACAAATTCTAAAATAAGCTGTTTTCCTTTGTTAGCACCCTCTCAATTCCCAATGCCTCCAATTCCTAAATTTCACATGATGTCATCCCAATCATCCTGCTTAATAATCCTTTTCCCTAAGTTGTTTTACACTCCTAAATTACTATACAAAGCTCCTATTGCCTCAGTATAGTTCATTTCAGGTAAGAGAAAGAAAGAAACCAACTGGACTAAAATAATTCACACTAAGATTTGCAATTTCCAACAACCATTATAGTTTGCCCAAATAAATCTCTTATTGGTAGAATTCCAAGTGGTGCTACAAGTGGGTCATAATATAGATTTGAGTCTATACTTATTGCCTCAAAATATTTCTGCTTTTCATTTATTTCTCCTTATACTTTTGAACTCCCAGGTTCTTTAAAAGCTCCAACTTTGTACTCCAAATAGCAGCAATACTAAACACTTCACTGGAAAAGAACCTCAGAGACAATATGAGTTATTTTTAAATTAGGAATTGTCTCTGAAATCTTTGCCTATATTCCAGATTCCATTCCTGAAGAACTACCATTCCAATTCAAATGCCTGTTACGGTATTACATTAAACACTAGACCTACAACTAGCTGGTATCATATTGTGGGGGGTGTATGACTAGATGGATGAACACTAGAGTGCTGCATCAGAATAGTTTTATTTGTAAAAATAATTGAATCAAGATTATCTTTACTCAAAGGACATCATTTTCTAATAATTTTTCCCCTAAAATGGTCAGTCTTTAAAATTATGACATGAACTATGGGGAAAGAAAACATAAATTCAATCTCTAGCTATGAACTATATAATCAAATCCTTTAGGCTCTCAACATCATATTCTTCACCCAGAAAATGTTACAATGCTACTTACACCTCGCCAGTTTCGATAGAAGTAGATATTACTGACACAAAAGTTCTTTGTAAGACAGTAGAATCAATTATCAGTATTCTTTATTAAAAATTGTTAGAAATTAGATTTCATTACTATTTTAAAAATCTAAAGGTAAGACACATCAAAATTTCTGACACCTTTTTGAAACATTATCCATTAATCATTACTCATATGAAAGGCCACCTAAAGTATCTCTGAGTTACATAATTTTCTGCTGACTTATACAGCAACCAAACCATCATATGCTAAGTAACAATAAACTCCAGAAATCTTCACCTTGGATTACTTTAAATAAGGACTCTAGTGATTATTCCATATATCCTTCCTTCAGGCTAGCCACTTTTCAAAAACAAAAATGTTAATACAAGGTCAGAGTTTTTATATGACAATAAGCAGATAATTCCACACACCAAATGTGCTTTGCAGATAAGCTACAGATACGATTTTCTTCTTAAAGAAGCTTAAAAATCTAGACAGTCATATTTTCATTTTTTTGAGAAAAATATAGAGTATATTTTTCATCATCTGCCCCACAAATGGAGCCATTCACAAACTATGGAGTAACAATCAAATGCTAATGACAAACATCTCTCTTTACCACAGGAACCTCTCATGACCCTCAAATCTTCTACAGTATGTTCTAGCTCAGTTTGCCAAAGGCAATGTGAAGGTCTACGAACAATCCAGGAACCGAGCTTACATGGTTTTTTGAAGTTAAACTTACAAACCATTTTTTTTAGTTGTCTTAAAATCACTGCATAAAATTAATCTACAGCGTATCTTCAGGGACAGGACAGTTTCCACAGGCTGTTAAACACACGGTATGCTCAGATAGGTACTGAGCTTAGTCTCTTGGTGTCTGTATTCCACAGGCAGGGGTTGGGGAGAAATCAAGTCACCTAATAAAAAGCACTGATACACCAAGATTTGTAAAAAAAAAAAAAAAAAAAAAAAAAGAAAAAGAAAAAGAAAAAGAAAAGAAAAATAAAAAATACAAGGCCGGGAGCAGTGGCTCTGTAATCCCAGCACTTTGGGAGGCCGAGGTGGGCGTATCACCTGAGGTTGGGAGTTCAAGACCAGCCTGATCAACATGGAGAAACCCCATCTCCACTAAAAATACAAAAAAAATTAGCTGGGCGTGGTGGCGCATCCCTGTAATCCCAGCTACTCAGGAGGCTGAGGCAGAAGAATTGCTTGAAATCAGGAGGCGGAGGCTGCAGTGAACCGAGATCATGCCATTGCACTCCAGCCTGGGCAACAAGAGGGAAACTCTGTCTCCAAAAATATATATATATACACTAATAAACAGAGATCCAGAATGTAAGACTGGGACTGAAATGAATGCATCAGCATGACAGGCAAGTTCAGACTAACCCAGGAGCTAATAAACTAAATGGCAGGTGCAATATGTTCTCTAATGTGACAGTGTTTTGTAATGACACCAAACTAAAAATTATATCTAATTTCAAAATAACTAAAGTAGTATGAAGTATTACAAGTAGCAGATGAAAAAAAATCAGTATGATACAAGGAGCTTCAAAAGTACTAGTTAAGTACTACCTCATTTCTTAAGCTGGAAGAAAATACCAAGTTGTTTTTTATTACTTCATTTTATATGTTATATAAATGCTCGCATATTTCACAATTTACAAAATTTAGCCCATATGAAAAGATAAAATACAGTGCACACTGGGATCTAAAAAGATAACTCAGAAGATGCCCATTAAAAATAAGCAACAACAGAAAAGCTACAAAACAGAAATCAAGAAAAACTAGATCTAAAATTAGATTACATAAATTAAACTTATGTCATTATCTAAAATTTATACAGTTAACTAACATTCTCTTATAAACTTTGGCTCATTTACACTAACGAATTAAAGAAGTGACAGAAGAAAGTACTTTTTCCATATAGCAATTTTAGAAATAATTTTCTAGAATTATAATAGCCAAAGGAGTCAAAGGGAAAATAGAAGTATCACAGTTTTGATGCCTAACACACAAGAAAAAAAATCTCTTATTTCCAATAAGATGATCAAGCAGCATTACAGAGAAAAAGCAGTTATATAGGAGGATTTCAAGTGAAATCCTAAAAACCCAGAACATTTATCACTCCCCTCAAAACCCTAGAAAACAGTCACAGTCTTTAAAAAAAAAAAAAAAAAAAAGGCCAAAACACAAGACTTTATAAAGAATATAATATTGCACCAAAATGGTTAGTAAAACTACAGGGAAATGAACATTTGTGGAACACTTACTATCTATGTGCCAACCACTTGGCTAAGGCATTTTATAGACGTTGACACATTTGACCTCCTGACAGCCCTACGAGTAGGTAGTGTTACTTCCATTTCATCAACAGGGAAAGCAAGGGTCAGAAGGATTAACTGGCCTAAGGTCACAGTTTGTGAACTATGGTCCCACATTAAAGTTCACTATGCCAAGATGCCACTCATTAAGAATCACTGAAATAGTTGTGAGAAAATACAGAGATGCAAGAACCCCCAAGTGTCTAAGTCTGATTTTAGCCCCTATATGCACTACTCTGCATCAACCACCCTAAACATGAAAAAACAAGAGCTCATTAGCAGTAATTACTTGAAAAAGGCATTTAATTTAGAACAGAATACTAAATTTCCCCAAAAGTTCATCTAGTAGAAAAATTTTGATTCCAGCATATAACAGATTGCTATATTTTCCCTTTACCAAAAACATTTTAGGCCAGGCACAGCAGCTCATGCCTGTAATCCCAGAACTTTGGGAGGCAGAGGGAGGTAGATCGCTTGAGACCAGGAGTTGGAGACCAGCCTGGGCAACATGGCAAAACCCCATCTCTACCCCAAAAAATAAAAAACTTGGTTGGGTGTGGTGGTGCAGCCTGTAGTCCCAGCTAATAAGGAGGCTAACGTGGGAGGATCACCTGATTCCAGGAAGTCAAGGCTGCAGTGAGCCCTGATCATGCCACTGCACTCCAGCCTGGGCAACAGGGTGAGATCCTGTCTCAAAAAGAAAAAAAACATATATATATTAAAGGAGACAAACTGAAAGGAAGGTAAAAACCAATAGCAGATGAGTCAATTTTGCATTAAAACCTTGGTCAAGGTCAAAGAACATGTGGGATTATAAACATGGGTGCTGGATTATACTACTCCAATGGCATTTTGGAAGTGGAATAGCTGAAATTTGTGTTAAAGAGGCTAGAAGCATGTGCTTTCTCATGCAATTATGTGAAAAGAACTAGGGAGAAGGTTTAAGAACTAAAAGCTGAGCAGATTAAATGAGTTTTGCCCCAAATTTTGGCTATCTCAACCATCAACTCAGTATCTCTGAGAGCACATCTGGGCCTGAAAGACAAAATCAGGCACTGAGTATTTGGACGTACCAACAAATAGAGGAAAACAGGAGGGAAATGCCTCATATGCACATTACCTGCAACAATACATAATGCACTGACACATCATTTCTAAAACTGAAGGGGAGAAACAGAAGTTTCTGGGGGTAAGTTATCATCAGTAATTGTAAAGTAGTAGTACAGGTACTCTGTTACTAACTCAAAATATGTAAACTACCACTGATATTCTATTTTGCTTGCTGTCCTCTGTCTTCCTTTAGAATGTGAAAACATTTACAATGATTTGCACAGGTTTGTATGACCTTCAAGTCTATCAACTGTTTATCTATTCTCTTGTGAATAGATATTCTCAAAAATGAATTCTCAAACCACAGAGCTTTTCGGGAACCTAACTCCCACTACTAGAAAGTGACTGGTCTATCAAGTAGACACTAGAAAGCACCCCTATCACATGCAGACCTAGGTTCCAAAGGCTCATTTCTAAGACAGTTGGTTAAAAGTCTACATTAAGAACTCCTTTAGTATGTAGTATGTAAAGCCAACTTTTATAAGGCGGGCTTGTTCCAGGCCCAGAAGACCTCAGTGAACTGAGCTCGAAAGTCCCAGTTATGTTTCACTGCATGAGATGACTTATCTTTAATGGGCCCTGGTATAAATTTTCTACTTTAAACCACTAAACCCCATAATTACAAAAAGTAAGTACCACTATCATTCCCATTGTCCAGGTGAGAAAACTAAGGCACAGAGAGGTGAAGTGAAACCATCCCAAATCACACACGACTAATGGTAGAGAGATATTCAAATCCAAGCAAACTGACTACTAAGCCACTGCTTTTGGCCATATTAAACTGAATCTACCATTTCCCCTACTCAAAAAGGGAGGAAAAACAGAGAAAAAATCCACTTCTCCTTTCTGTATTCTCAGTCTTGGGTAACGGGTGTCACCATCAGCCCAATCTCCCAAGGGCAAAAACTGTATTACCTTTGCACCAACCTAATAAAATTCCACCACCCAAAATTTGGTGTTGGAATCTCTGCTCCTTAAATATATGTATATATACATATATATCTTTATATCAACAATTTATATTTGCATCATCATTTTACCAGGTGCACAGTACTCCACTGCAAAGACGTAAATGCATTTTAAGCAAACACCTATTGAGGGTATGTGGCTTGTTTCTAATTTTCACTAGCATGAATTTTAAATCTTAGAGCCTGCTTCTTCCCCTCTGCTAACAGGAACTAAGAGCAAAGTGGTATGAAGAAAACACCAAGAGCCATGAAGACAAGTCCTTTAACTGATATGCTTGCTTAAGGATGTTCTTTTATGTCACCTACACAAAATGTACTCAAAATTTCTATTATTCAAATCAATTCTAGATCTTAAGAGGAACTTAGAAGAGGTGGCCCAATGACGCTCTAGGTGCTCTGGGAATCAAAGCTGAGATCCAGCGCTTAGTGCTATCTATTGTAACGTTTCCCTCACTAACCTGAACATCTAGGGTAATCTCATTTATGTATATATTCCCTAACAAAGGAGTATCTATCAGACAGAAGACATTTAGAAAGAATATGTTCAATCAGTAACCTGCAAGCCCTTCTCATAACTAGCTTATAAGAAATGCACTGGAAAACTGCCTTGCTCTCTCTCCCTTCTGACAGCACCAACTTTTCCACACAGGATGTTCTATAATACAATATATACACACATATATAATTTATATATAAAATGTAAATATATAATTGATTTGCATGAGTGCATGCATACATATACTTAGTTGGTTATATGTACTTTTATACGTATGTAATTATATATCATTTTATAAACCATTGCCTTTAAATAATCCTTGCATCTCAGAAACACAGAAAAATAACAAGGCCCAGAAATAATCAAAAACACACACTGCATGAATAGCTTACATTTTCTTCCAATGAGTCTATTACTAAAAGCAGTAAAGTGAGTTCAGTTTTACTTACTTCCCCTCCCACACTTCTGTGGAGTTTACAGAGAAATGCTACCCCCTTAAAAATTCTTAAAATGTATGTTCTTGTATTTCACAACACTAGCTATCCTCCAAATAATCCATGTCTCTTTCACATTTAGCCCTAACCTCAGATGTGACCTCTGGTTCTATCCCCTGACCGCTTCACTCATTTCTCTATACATCTTTCCCTGCAAAAGAAGTATTTTCAATGGTTTACTCCAAACTAATACTTCAAACTCTCTTCTCCACTCAAACTTTTCACTCAATATCTAGTCTAACAAGCTGTTGGGTGGCTGCCTACAGTGCCACATCCCTGCCTCCATTCTCTATGCCTACAACTCCTCATCACATTCCTGCACCACATGTTATCCACTTGAACTTCCCATCTCTATTCCCGCACCACCATTCTTTCAGTAATTTCATTAGAAGCTGCTGACTTTATCTAAATGGTCTTACTAAATCCTATCCATTTTCGAAGTGCCTCATGCCTTTCCATTCCTCTCCATGCTCACTTTAGTCACCTGAACCAAGTCCTTAATTCACCTTAAGTATTACAAATGCTTCCTAGAATTAACTATCTCCTAGGCCTGATGGTTATGTCATAAACTCTAGGGCAGGTTCCCTAAACTACATCAGACTCTACTCCCAAAAATCCTGATTCAGGAAGCCTGGACAAGGACCTAAGAATATGTGTTTTGTTTTAACAAGATGTTACAGATGAATCCTGGACCCAGCGAAGTTTGGGAACTACTGTGCTTAAAAAGCTGTATCCGCTGCCCTAATTTATTTTGCATAAAGCTGCTACACATACTTTTCTGAGACACAGAACTTTCAACCTGGATTTAACCCCTCTATAATTTAGAAACGTATGATCTTATCTTATTCCTCTGAACTCACAGTTCAATGTGACATTCCATAAAGTGCATTTAAGCCCCTTCTGCATTAGTGTTTATTTCTTCTACCTGAAATTTGCCCCTTCTTGCCTATCCATTTTCAAGATCACCTCAATTTGCCTTCATCCACTTTAAAGTCACTCCAGCCTCTCCTCTTAACTTGCATTTATCTCCTGCTATATTCTGTTAATTATTTATGTTATATACTCACTCCAGTGGTATTATCTACTACTTGGTGAAAAGTACCACTAGATCTCGTATTTCTGTATCGCAGTACATGTTCAATAAACAGATTGGCACAGCGGAATACAATGAAAATATTGCTTCATGTAGAAAAAGTGGGTTGTAAAGCAATATGCAGATAACATGATTGTATTTGTTTTTCAAAAAGAGAATAGTAGTTATGTGCAGGAAAAAAACTGGTGGATTACATACAAAATGCAAATAATAGTTATCTCAGAAGAGAGAAACTGCAGGGAATTGTCATTCTTATCTGTATTCTCTAAATTTTCTAAAATGAATGTGTATTTTGTGATGAAATTAAAACTTAAACCTTAAAATTGTTACCCTGGAATTTTCTCAACCAATAGACATTCTATAAAAATGACTGGCACACTACCATGTCAGTAGTCACACTGTCACAATCCTAATACATATGACATTTGTTAATGTCAACATTTCTACACCTGTACTTCAAATTCCATTGGCCTCACTAAACTGAATATACAATTTCTGGGACTTCATTCACAGACTTGCCAAATCAATTATACATGAGCATGCTATTACTCTACCTGCATTATAGGTGGGGTTTTCTTGTTTTGGTTTGTCCTTTCAGTCAAAACTACAAACCTTCATGTAGTATAACTGTCATTTTTTGGGGGGGAGGGGGTTGGGGGGGAGACAGAGTCTCACTATGTCACTCAGGCTGGAGTGCAATGGCGTGATCTCAGCTCACTGCAACCTCCGCCTCCTGGGTTCAAGCATTTCTCCTGCCTCAGCCGCCTGAGTAGCTGGGATTATATGCACACACCATCACGCCTGGCTAATTTTTTGTATTTTTAGTAGAGACAGGGTTTCACCATGTTGGTCAGCTGGTCTCGAACTCCTGACCTCATGATCTACCCACCTCGGCCTCCCAAAATGCTGGGATTACAGGTGTGAGCCACCACGCCTGGGCTTTTTTTTTTTTTTTTTTTTTTTTTTAAAGACAGAATCTCACTCTGTCGCCCAGGCTGGAGTGCAGTGGCACAATCTCAGCTCGCTAAAACTTCCGCCTCTCAGGCTCAAGCAATTCTCATGCCTCGGCATCCCTAGTAACTGGGATTACAAGTGGGCGCCACCATGCCCAGATAATTTTTTCTATTTTTAGTAGAGACAGAGTTTCACTGTGATAGTCAGGTTGGTCCCGAACTCTTGTCCTCAAGTGATCTGCCCACTGTGACCTCCCAGAGTACTGAGATTACAGGCGTGAGCCACAGTGCCCAGCCAACTGTCTTCTATTTTCTGTGTAAGTCCAGGAGACGTGCAATAGGTGAGAAAACTGGAATTAACATCAAAATGAGCCGAGTATGGTGGCACTTACCTGTAATCCCAGCTACTGGGGAGGCTGAGGTGGGAAGACTGCTTAAGCCCAGGAATCTGAGACTGTAGTGACCACCTATGATCGTGCCACTGCACTTCAGCCTGGGTGACAAAGTGAAAGTGTCTCTAAGTAAATAAATAAATCTTGGGAATAAAGTTCTAGAAATACCTGTAAGACACCATCTTAACCCCTCCTCTCCTTAAGGAGAATAAAATCCTAAATATAATGAAAACTCATCCATTTCAAAGAATTGTCATGATAAACTATTTCAATAGCTTCCAATCCCTAGTCATAAATTATCTCCTAAATTCCTCTATACCAACTTAAGTTCACACTGTTTTTTGCTACATTCTGAAGAAACAGAAAATACCTATACACAGCCTACAAAACACTCTTCATATGCACAAAGACTTATTCCTCAGCTTCTTCTCCAACTGAACAGGAAGATTTTCCATCTCTCTTCTCAAATCTTAACAAACCTCAGTAAATTTTTCTTGCTCAAATATCATGCTTTCTCAATTTATGATCTCCACAGCCGTACACAGTCTATTTAAGCATGAGTCCTGGCAAATGTGGTTGTTCCTATAGCCTTCAAAATAGTTTTTATATCTGTAGCACAGATTCATGTTCCTTTTGTAGGCCATTCTGCTTCATGTTCAATCTCTAATTTTAGAAATCCGTTTCATAACAGAATATACAAAATGTATATACAAAAGTTTATCATTAAAAATTAAATGTTATAAATAATAAATGTTCAACACAAAAGGTAACACAGATATGATGTTGTGTGATCACTTGAATTCTTCTGAAAGCTTCACTGCATGAGGGGGGAAGTTATACCATTATATTAGAAAGGACTCAAAGCCCTTCCCAAAGCACAGTTTTAGAAGAGTAGAATAAATACATAGAAAACACTCGAAGAAAGCATTTAAGATTATTCATAATGAATATCTTTGGCCAATAAAATTCTGAGTAATTACTAATTTATTATACTTCTCAATGTATCGCAATTTTTATAAATATATACATCTTTTATGAGGAAAAAAATGGTCCAAGAAATTCAGCTTCCATCTTAACATTAAAAAATCCCTTTCATGAACTGTAACTAGGGGCCACAATGAGTAACCACTAAGTACTTCCAATTTTTTAAACTCCAACAGAGTTAAAAAGTTCATGACAATGGACAAATATATTTGTTTTTAAAAATCAGTTAATATCCTGCTAACTATCACCATCCAAAAATAAGACCCAAAAAAGTGCTTAGCGTTGCTGAATCTGGTATTTGAGGCCCTAAGGCACCAGTGATGCTCCGGAGCCAGCCTGCCCCAGGTGAACTCCTGGCTCCATCACTTATTGCACCCACAGAATTGCTGTATTATCAAAGATGTGGCACCTGTAAACCATTTAAAACAGTGCACAGTAAGTGATCAATACACAGCTGCTTCTTTTTACTGTTATATTTTAAATTACTATTACCTCCACCTTTTCACTCTATCTCCTAGTACACATCTACACTCCAGCCACATGAACAAAGTCCTACTACCCAAATACCACTCTTTTGCTAAGGCTACTCCATGGGTCTTCTTTATCCACCTCTGCCCGTAAATGCCACGTCCAAACCCAATGCCAGTGCTGTCTCCCCCAGAGCTTCCCACCACACACCTATAGACATGACCCTGGCACAACAGTATTTATGCCACCATTACCACCCTAACCCCACTCTGCCCTGAACTGCAGGTAACTGCATGCATGTCAGCCTCTAGCCCCTGAAGTGGAAAAAGCCCTGTTCACCTCACCCTCCAGAAGGCTAATAGTCTCAACTACAGCTGACTGTCAATACAGGAGTAAAAGAAAATCATAACCATCAAACCAACTCATCTCCTAAAACATCTACTTTGGGTTGCTTTACTGAAACAAATGTGAGTTAAAATTTGTAAATATTGAAGATGAGATAAGTAAGCACAGTTAAGTGATACTTGCAACCTAAGAGTGGAACAAATGAGTTTGCTGTGGTTTAGCTCTATAACTCAATCCAATGCAAAGGGCACAAAAGCTAGTACTTTTGCTATAGAGAATGACTGTTCTATGTGCTAAAAAAAATTTATATAATTATAAACTCTACAGTTTAATCAGATAAATCTTGGGAATGACTCTGGTTTATTTCCTTTTAAATACTAAGTCTCTTTTCTAAAAGGAGTATTTTTAAATGTGGCATTACTTACACTAAAAGCATTAGAAAATCTGATGGGCAAAACACTGAGTACTGCTGAAGCCAAGAGGCTAGGGACGTGAGAGCTCATTCTAGTATTCTCTCCACTTCTGTATATGTTTTCAGTTTCTTGCCATTGAGTTTTTCGAAAAATTAAAGCAGGAGTATGTGAGAAAAGTGTCAGAAGTACAGTCATCTTCAAACCACAAAATAAGTGAGCTACTGGACAAAAGCAGCTAACTAAAAGAAATTTAAAGAATCAGTGACACTTTCTGACAAGAGAGCTTACAAACATACCATGACTGAGCAAAATGTGTGGGATTTTCTTGTTTCTCTTCTGGGAAAGGGAAAAGGGTTAAAATAGCTTGAGCAACTATTATTCATGAAATGTTTTTAACTAAGTCACTAACAAAGATTTGCCTATGTAAGCTTTGATTTCTATAACTTTTTTTTTTTGAAGCATTCATTGTGTTAACACAAATGTAGAGCTGTAATGTGAAACTTCAGGGAGCCGGGGTAAAACTCCCTTTCAGATGTCATCAGCTAGTTTTGAGTGATCGACACAGGTCAAACTTCATAGTGCCAAGCTGGGCAATAGAGACAGATTCCACCACCAGTCTGATCAGCTGCCATTCTCTCGCCGCTCTTAGGGGAAAAAACTGTACACATTAGCAACTTCCCCCAAAATCTCTTCTTGCTACCCAAAGTCATATTTGATTTTTATCTTCATACTTTTTCATATTATAAACAACACATTCTTCATGATATCTAAGAGATGAATTATACAATTTAACACATAATTTGTTATACTTAGAGCTAAGAGATTTTCAATTTCATTTAATTCAAATCGTTCCTTTATCAAATGTGGAAAGTGAGGTCTAGAGAGGTTATATGCCTTACTTATGAGTATCTGAAAGTAACAAAAACTTTGAAAAGGTTTAATCATAAAACCAAAGTTAACATAATATTCAACTGCCATTTTAATTAAGCATTCAAACTACTCTGTTACAGAAGTGCAGGTTGAGCATCTGTAATACAAAACTCCAAAATGCTCCAAAATTTTAAATCTATTGAGCACAGACATGATGCCACCAGTGAAAAACTCCACACCTGAACTCATATGATGGGTTACAGCCACAGCTCAGCCAAAACTTTATTGTGTGCACAAAATTACTGAAAATATTGTATAAAATTACCTTCAGGCTGTCTACAGTATATAAAACATAAATGAATGTTTAGTCTTAGGTCCCATCCCCAACATATCTCACTACATATATGCAAATATTTCAAAATCCGAAACAGTTGTACTCCCAAACACTTCGAATTAGGGATACCCAACCTACGTTTGTAAATATATCTGTGTATAACAAGAATATGAGCACTTATATATAAATGAAGACGCAAAGGAAAATGTCCAGAAGAAAAAACAGCAAACCTTTACTAGTCAGGGCAATGGGCCTGGAGAGCTAGGGGAGGAGCGGTAGGGAGGAGTTGTAAAAGATGACTTTAAAAAAAAAAAAAAAATCAAAAGAATTTTAAACATCAACTCAAAAAGAATTTTTTCTAAATAACGGTAATTAGGATATTAAAATTTTCACTAGTAAAAGTCACTACTAAAGATATATATATATAATTACATATATAAATAGATATATATAATTATATACATATATAGAGATGTATATAGAGATATATACATATATAGATATATAGAGATATATAGAGATATACATAGATATAATTTTTTTTTTCATTTTTGGAGACAAGAGTCTCACTCTGTATCCCAGGCTGGAGTGCTGTGGCATGATCTCAGCTCACTATAACATCTGCCTCCCGGGTTCAAGCAATTCTCATGCCTCAGCCACTCAAGTCGCTGGGATTACAGATTATAGGCATGTGCCACCACACCTGGCTAGTTTTTGTATTTTTAGTACAGAAGGGTTTCACCATGTTCACCACACTGGTCTCAAACTCCTGGTCTCAAGTGATCCATCTGCCTCAGCCTCCCAAAGCACTAGGATTACAGACTTGAGCCACCGCACCCTGTCCCATCACTTTATATTTTCAAGAAGGTGGTGAGGGTGTGTTGGTGCCTGGGGTCTCTAGCTGAAGAAAAGGGAAATTTTTCTATCTCTGGTAATGTCTTTATGGATATAAACCTCAGTTAACTGGAATAGCTATGGAATGTATGCTTCTGGTTAACTAAAAATTAACCAGTAAACACTCTGTAGTAACCATTACAGAAAATACTTCTGCTTTAAAAAGTACGGTATGCCAGAGATAAGTTAGTGTTTCTTGACATTTGAGGCATTTCAAACACCTGATGTGTTGTACTGAACAATTACAACTGGATGTAGCCACAGAAGGGACAAGAAGTGGCTAACACTGGGACGTCCCCTGAAATTTTTAAGAAATAAATATATGTATCATCCTTAAAAAAAAAAAGAGGAATGACCATACATACTTATGGATACACTTCAATAACATCAACAATGAGAACTTATTTACGCCTATTGATACAACTGAGAAACAAGTTTACATAACTGAACACACATGAATAGTACCCTAAAAATCACATGATGCCATGACACTGGATGACGTCCAGCACTGAAGATGTAGAGTGAGGCTTGCTGTCACTGTGCCTCTACCTCGTGGACTTCACAGTATAGTGTTCAAAACAGACAAAAATCACACTAATGTATGACTACGCACACACCATACACCATGCTAAAGTTATGAGGGAGGGAAAGATTGCTAAAAGAGGGAAACATTTAGATTTGGGGAAGGAGGACTGTCAGAAATAACCTTTCTGATATTTGACAAGTGAGACCTGAATTTGTAGTCTTTGTATCTGTAACGCTTCCTAAGCTCACGATTCTTTTCAATCCTAGATCCACATTAAAAAAGTTAGTGAGAAAGTTCAAAACTCCTGAGAAAGTAATAGGTGGGTGGGGATCTGGAGGTACTAAGGCTGTGCAGTCAAGACAATGAAAGACGGAAGGAGTCATGCATAGATGCCTGCAAATAATCAAGCAAGTCTCACAGAGGTGGGATGACTTGACTCGCTCCCTATAGTTGAAGAAAACAGAACTAAAGCCAAGAATTAGGAAAAGGATGCAGGAGACTAGGCAGAAAATAGATAAAAGAACAAAAACATCCAATAATGGGACAGCTGCTTTATGAATGGCAGCCCCCAGTCATTCCTGCAGAGCTTGGGACCCACAGCATCTGCCTGGGCCATGATTCCAACCCTAGGTGGGAAGCGGGGTTCAACTGCTCTAGAGTCCTCTCAGTGGGCCTCATCTTCACCCAAAGGCCGACATCACTAAAAAATCATTTAAGTATCTACCTACCCCATGAAATATAATCAGAGGAACAGCTAAAATGTAAAAGAAAACTGTCTCCACCACTCAGCTTGTTTTTTCATCCTTAGATTCTGTACTTTCTGAGAATGTACATGCCGTAAGAGCAAAACTGTATTCTGGAATCATGACGCTGGATACTTGCTTATACTGAACCATTCTAAATCCATACATTCCACTACACAATCCCACCCCAGCCATGCTCAATAGGAAACTGACTGTATTAATCCTTACATTCCTCCAAGCACCTGCAAAGAACCTGTATGCCTAACGGCTATTAAACAGTAATCCTCACATATCCTGCTTCTGTACAAGAAAATAACTAGTACTGCTATTTCCACTTTAAACAACCACAAAACTGAAGAAAATATTTGCGCCAACTGTTTTCTGACAATCAACAAATGGTAGCCCAAGACTGTGATCCCTGAAGGGTCATGAGTCTCCTGGTTGTCTGGGAACAATTTCCCAACATGGTGAAACGAACTAGAGGCTCAGTAAAGCATGGCGGGCATGCTGAGATGTGAAGGTAAAGCTTGGTAAAGCTTAGAGTTCAGGCATCTGAAACCATGTGCCAGAGAGAAGGGAGGTGCACAGAAGGGGACCTCCAGAAGTCTGGATGTAGGAGAGCCATGAGGACCAGAATGCACATGGGCCAGGTGAAACAACCTGAGCCACAGAATGATTACTTAGAGGCTGAGACCAGAACCAAAATGATAGACAATGAGCAAGTCTGGGGGATCTGGGGTCCCTACCCAGCCACAGACAAGAAATCTCATTAACACCTTGTGATAGTTAACTTTATGTGTCAACCTGCCTAGGCCACAGGGTGCCCACACATTTGGTCAAGCATTATTCTGGGTATGTGCATCTTATGACTGCTCAGCCTCCACTGTCACGTGAGCCAATTCCTTACATCAATTTATATTTGTTTATTTACTTATGGATACATACATATATACACGCCTGTGTATCTCTTATTGGTTCTGTGTCTCTGGAGAACCCTAATACACACCTGAACATTCCCTTCCTCCTTCAAGACTAAGAACCACACTCTAGCATACAGCCTACTCCAAACCAGTACCAATAATGTCTAAAACAAAATCCAGACAAGAGTCACAGGAAAACCCAGTTTGAAAGTCATGGTCCACCATATTAGACAGGGTAAGGAATCACCTTGAGGTTACCTAAGGTAAATAAATTTTGCCTTAATAAAGTATAAAACCAAGCCTACACAAGTTCAAGGTGACCAACCAGACTTTAGAACAAAAATCAACCTTCTTAGGAGAAGAAAAAAAAAAAAACAGTATTCATCAAAAGTTCCAAGGGAAGCATGCCAGGCATGGTTTGGGAGGCTAAGGCAGGATGGCTTGAGGCAAGGAGTTCAACACCAGCCTGGTGAACACACACACACACACACACACACACACACACACACATATATATATATATATTTTTTTTTTTTTTTAATTAGCTGAGCATAGTGGGGCACACCTGTAGTCCCAGTTATTCAGGAGGCTGAAGTGGGAGGACCACTTGAGCCCAGCAGTGTGAGGTAGCAGTGAACTATGACTGCACCACTGCACCACTGCACCACTGCACTCCAGACTGGGTGACAGAACAAGACCTTGCCTCTGTTGTTGTTTTTTAATACAAAAATAATTAGTAGGCAGCAAAGAAACAGAAAAATGTGATCCAATAAGGGGGAAAAAGGAGTCAGTAAAACACCAACCCCATGTTAGAACAGATGTTAAATTTAGCAGCAAAGATTTTAAAGCAGCTATTTTATACATTCAAAGAATTAGAATTATTTTCAAAATCTTAAAGGAACACATGGTCTTTAATGTGTGAACAGATAGGGGATCTCAGCAGAAAAATAAAAATTATAAAAAAAAGAACAAAAAGAAAACTCTAAAAATGAATAACATAATAACCAAAGGGCAAAATTTACTAGATGAAATTAAACAGCATATTGAAGATGGTAGGGAAAAAAAATCAGCAAACTTGGAAGACAGATCAATAGAAACTATCTAATCTAGGCCAGGGACAGTGGCTCACGCTTGTAATCCCAGCACTTTGGGAGGCTGAGGGGGGGCAGATCACCTGAGGTCAAGAGTTCAAGACCAGCCTGTCCAACATGGTGAAAACCCATCTCTACTAAAAATACAAAAATTAGGCAGGCATAGTGGTGCATACCTGTAAATCCCAGCTACTTGGGAGGCTAAGGCATGAGAATCACTTGAACCTGGGAGGCAGAGGTTGCAGTGAGCCGAGATGGCACCATTGCACTCCAGCCTGGGCAACAGAGTAAGACTCTGTCTCAAAAAAGAAAAGGAAAGGGAAAGAGAAAGGGAAAGAAAATTGTCTAAAGAAGAGAGAGAAAAAAGACTAAAGAAAACTGAACAGACCCTTAGTGACCTGTGGAACAATATCAAGTTGTATAATGCAAGTAAATAAAGTCACAGAAAAAAAAAGGGATAAATATCTGAAGAAACCATAGCTTAAAATCTTTCAAATGATAACCATACCCAGGCACAGCAGAGTAAAACAGCTTAAAGCAGAGAAATAGAAAATCTTGAAAGCAGCCAGAAGAAAAGACTGGTATATCGAGGGAATAAAGATAGTCATTACCACTTACATCTCATCACAAACAATGGAAGCCAGAAGACAATGGAACACCATTAAAGTGCTAAAAGACAAAAAGTATCAATCTAGAATTCTACATTCAGTGAAAAAACCTTCAAACTCAAGACTGAATACAGACATTTAGAGATTAAAATTTGTAAGAAGGGAAAAAAAGTGAGAGAAGTCCTTGCCAGCAGAGCTGCACAAGAAATGCCGAAGAGTGTTAAGACAGAAAACTGATACCAAATGGAAACAAAGTTTTCATAAATATTTTTCCTTTGGATACTTATATTTAAAAACTGAGAGTTTTAAACAAAAATAAATTTTAGTTGTTTAAAATACAGCTTAAAGCAAAAATAATAAAATTGTACATAATGTATAATATAAGTAGGAGTAAAAACATGGCAGCAATTGCACAAAGGGATGGCAGATAAATCAATCTGATGCTCTTTATGGCTACTACATTTGGCAACTGGGGAATGGGAAGTGGGAAGTGGAAATTGTCAGTGTGAAGTAGGAGTTGCAACAATATTAACTCTAAATATTTGAAAATATGTAATGTGTATATCCCTCAAAATGTAGAACACCTTCCAAAGTTCATGTGAAGAAGAGCTTATACACAGTAATTGCGAAAGATACAAAGAACCTTTCATTACAAAAGAGAAACCAAATTTCACACCAAAAGAACTAGAATTGGCTGGGCGTGGTGACTCACATCTGTAATCCCAGTGCTTTGGGAGGCTAAGGTGGGTGGATCACCTGAGGTCAGGAGTTCGAGACCAGCCTGGCCAACATGGTGAAACCCTGTCTCTACTAATAATACAAAAATTAGCCAGGTGTGGTGGGGCACGCCTGTAATTCCAGCTACACAGGAGGGTGAGAAAGGAGAATTGCTTGAACCCAGGAGGCGCAGGTTGCAGTGAGCCGAGATGGTACCATTGCACTCCAGCCTGGGCAACAAGAGCGAAACTCTGTCTCCCAAAAAAAAAAAAAAAGGAACTAGAAATAACAAGACTATCTGAAAAACTTCAAAATACGTATCTTAAGGTGTAGAGAAATAAAAAGTATTTTGTAAAAGGTAAAAAACAGGCAGGTTCAAGAAAAAAAATCAAATATTAAAATTAATACACACGTTTATGTTCATGATTGGCTCATGACCATGAAAACTTTCCACTGGCACCTTTCTAAGTGTGAACATCTTTTTTTTAAACACTACATATGCTTATATTTTATTCACAATGGGCTATATTAGACCAGTCCAAAATTAACTACCTAATATAGCACAATAAGAAAAATATAGTCCAATTATAACCTATTTTCTTTCCTTTTTTTTTGAGACAGAATCTCGTTCTGTCGCCCAAGCTGGAGTGCAGTGGCACGATCTCAGCTCACTACAACCTCCACCTCTCGGCTTCAAGCAATTCTCCCGCCTCAGCCTCCCAAGTAGCTGGGACTACAAGTGTGCACCACCACACCTGGACAATTTTTGTATTTTTAGTAGAGACAGGGTCTCATCATGTTGGCCAGGCTGTCTTGAACTCCTGACCTCAAGTGATCCGCCCACCTCAGCCTCCCAAAGTGCTGGGATTACAGGCGTGAGCCACTGCACCTGGCCCCTATTTTCAACCTTGATTTAACCAAGCAACTTTAGAAAGGGTACAATCATAGTATATTTTTGGCTACTCTTCTGCAATCTGCACTTTCTCAGTCAATAAAATTCCTAGATGCTAAAATAAATTCCAATCATTCATATCATTTCCCTAAACTCAGACTCATTTTTAATACTTGATAAAAATTACCACTGTCAGCTTACACTGACCCTAAAAGAACAATAACTTCCATTATTTAGAGAAAAGTCGCTCAAAACCATTGTTATAAAAAACAGATTAGGTGGTAAAATTTTGGGAGCTGTCTCCCAGGTTGGATCTCAAATTTGGATCATCAAGTTAACACTAAAAAGTTATAAAACTATGACTAATTCTTATTATAGCTGGAAGTATACTTATGATATATCTACAAGTTGCTACTTCAAAAGCAACCTTCCTACTTTTCCAAATAATTTATAGGAGTGTGATAAGCTGGAAAATGGTCCACCAAAAGATATCTACATCCTACACTGTGAAACCTATAAATGTTTTATGATTTGGGGGAAAAACAGGTCTTTGCAGGTGTGATTAAGTTGAGAATCTTGAGATGAGGGGATTATCCTTCATCATCAAGGTGGGCCCTAAATGCCATCACAAATGTTGAGAGAGGGAGGGGGCAATCTGACACAAAAAGAAGACAACACAACCATCGCAGGAGAGATTGAGGTAATGTGGCCACAAGTCAAGTAATGCTGGCATCCACAAGTCAAGAAGTACTGGCAGCCACTAGCAAGTGGCTCTCTCCTACAGCCTCCTAAAGCACAGCCCTGGCCCTGCCAACACCTTGGTTTAGGCTCAATGATTCTGATTTTGGACTTCTAGCCTCCAGAACTGTAAGAGAATAAATTTCTGTTGTTTTAAGTCACTAAATCTGTGATTTGTTACAGGAGCCACAGGGAACTAATACAAGTAGGTTAAAAAAAGTTTTCCAAATGTTCTTAAAATATATACATTCTACAAATGTCACCTATGAAAAATGCTTCAACCTGTGTTTGTATTCTTAATTTGCATTCTGGGATGAAAAACTGTGCTTAATCTACATCAACATCTCATTTGGAATGATGTACAGTCTCACTGCTTTCTCGTGAGTACCTTCAAGCTTTAGAAAGACAGAACCACTGGAAGACATGTAATGTAAACTCTCCACGCCTCTCATGCTCAGTGAAACCCAACACTGAGCTACCCAATCCTAAACAGTAGTACCTGTCTAGAAAGTTGTCACATATTCTATTAAGAACAGTAAATGTTAAAATGCCACACCAAAACTGTCAACAACATGAAAGTACAAACTGTATTTGTCTTTTTTTCACTACTTTACCCCAAACATCTGGTACAATCTTTGCCAAATAAATTAACCTTTACATTTCCTGTAAAGGTCCCCTACCACAAACTCTGCAGGAATGGTTCCCGCACTCTTTCCCTGCCTGCATCCTCCACCTTGACAATGAATCCACAGATCTCTATCCCCAATTTCATAATGGGGTAGCAGCAATCACACTCTTGTCAAAATCAAGGCAAACCAAATGTGCTGAAAAAGGAGGAAGAGTCTTATGGGTCTTATAAAAAAGGAAAATCCACTTATTTGAATATCCACACACAATCCAGATTTGGCCCCACCATTGCCAACCACTTCTAGGTTTTAAAAATCTCATGCTCTTTCCACTAAAGGGCTCTGCTCTCTCTACTCACAAGACTGTTGGGAATGATTAAAGTGACTTTGTAGGGAGTGCCTAGCCCATGGTCTGCATAACCAATCTTAGCTCTGCTTCCCTTGACTTCAGGGAATGGGACACATCCTTCATCTATGCAAGTTTCTCTATCATTTTATTTGCCTACAAGGTCCTAGTAAATGCACCAGGGTAGAAAGAAGAGTCCTCTGAGCAACCGACACTGTTCTCTCTGCGGTTTAAAAAAAAAAAAAAAAAAAGTTTCTCCTCCTGTCTCAAGCTGTGCTTTTTACAAAAGGATCACCTCACGTGGCCTCTCCGTTCCTCTGAACTTGTACAATATATTCACAACCTGTCCTGTTATGGTTGTAGGGCTCATTCATAAAAAGAAAATGATTCTTAAGGACATTATAATGAATAGTTTTTAAGTCTTCTCTCCTCTACTGGACTGTAACTTCCATACGGGCAGACAATGTGTCTCATTCAACTTGACATCGCCAAAGTACAAAGCAGAGTCTTCCACATAGGACACCAAAGGCATCAAGTTGTCATTTGGTATTTTATAAACTATGTAAAAACAAAAGTATCTATAAATTATTCAGTTTGTTCTGCTATTGGCAGTTACACAGGACAGATAACTTTTTCTGAGTCTGTTTAATTACGCAAAATCAAGAAGCCTAGGGTTTTACCTATTATTTCCCAGTTTATTCCTAAATGGAGATAATAGCACTTACCTTTCAGGGCTGTTGTACACAAAATCTTGCCAAACAACTTGTAATACCACCTAAAAATTTTTACGGCACTTTTATTTTTTTTTTTTTAAGAGACAGGATCTCACTCTGTCACCCAGGCTGGAAGGCAGAGGTGCAATCCTACCATACTGCAGCCCTGGACTCAAGACTGGACTCAAGCAATCCTCCCACCTCCAGAGTAGCTAGGATTACAGGTGCCTGCCACTGTGCCAGGCTAACTATTTTGTGTGTGTGTATGTGTGTGTGTGTACACTGCAGGGTAAAAAAATATATATATATACACATATATAAATATAAAATATACAAAAATATATAAATATAAATATATATATATATTTTTTTTTTAAGAGATGAGGTCTTGCTATGTTCCCAGGCTGCTCTCAAACTTCAAGCAATCTTCCTGCCTCAGCCCCCCAAAGTTTGCTGGGATTACAGGTGTGAGCCACTGTGCCCAGTCTTTTACGGTACTTTTAAATTTATGAAATAATTTGAAATACAACTCATCTCATGCTCTCTGAATCCTGTGTGGTACAGGAGCCAGGCAAGTATTAATTACGCACTTTCACATGTAAGGCGATTGGGGCACAGATGGCTAAGGTACTGGATCCCATACCACTGACAGCTGCATCACAATCACCCTGAGGGGCTTGTTAAAAAATTCAGATTCAGAAACACAACCATCAGAATCTCCAGAGGGTAAGGCCTGAACCTATATTTTGAACAAGGACCCCAGGCAATTCTGAAACATGGCCAACTTTGGGTATTTAGATTAAGAATTTGGAGCCCAAGAGGCCTGGTGATATTCAAGCAGCAGCTTCCTTTTATAGGACTAGTTTACTGAAGAGAACTATAGGTTCCTGCTCTGGAAAAGAGATGTCCCTTGTGACTAAATGTGTACTTAAGTGCTCCTAAGAAACCAGAGTGTAGCAAACTTCTAACTACTCTTCACTGGACTTTTAATTAGAGGAGACAAAGGTATAATCAGGGCTGGTTAGTTTTAGGTTTCTAATTAATTTCAAAACTTGTCTTTCAATATACTACCCTTAGCACAACTTGCCCAAATAATTTACTTTTTCCATTAATTACATTAATTCTTTGCTAAACAAAAATGAGGAAAAAGGGTCCCCAGAAATATACTAAGAAATAGCTTCATATATACTAGTTGTGGCAGAGACTCCAGTCATCATCTTCCATAGTAATGGTAGCCCAGCACATGACGGCCCAACTAGGTTATACCTCCCAGGCTCCCTTGTGGCTGGGTATGGCCATGTGGCTAAGTTCGCATGGAAAGAATGTGAAAACAAGTGCCACTTCTGGGCCTTAGGACACTGAGTGAGCATTTCTATTCTGTCTCTGCACCTCCTACTCTGCATCTTCTGAGCTAGTACAGAGACAACACACGAGGACTATACCCTAGGGCAGAGCAGAGGAACAAGACGGAAAAAAATGCATGACTCCAGATGACCACGTGAGGCAGTCACCGCCACCAACCTAGGCACTCACCTCCAGATGATTCCATGCTCTTAGAGCCATCAAATTGCTGGAACTGTTAGAGTGGCTCAACTGTTTACCCTAATTCACTACTCTCTACATGATAAATGGAACTAATTCCTTCTCACAACTACATCAGTTGAGGACATTCTAATGTGTTCACCATACTTGATGATAAAATTCTGCACCCTGAAGGGCTCTCAAAGGGTCGTCTACCAATTCTTCAAGTTTATAAACAATGAAAGTTAAGCCTATGGAAATTTTAAAACATGGTAGGTAGTAAGAATAGTTGATGCCAGGTCTCTTAACTTCCTAGTTCACTTTTCCCTCAATATTACGCTACGGACTAGATTCTAAAATCATAGAACAGGGAATTACACTTAAAAAAAAAAACAAAAAAACTTTGGATTAATTTAATTCACTGACTCAAAAAATAATTTACCCCAGCATCTATCAATTGCCAAGCAATGTATTTTCAGGTGAATGGAGATTTCCAGAGGACTTCAGTTTTCTGGCTATACTATGCCTTTAACTCTCCTGAGCCTGGACAAATTACACAGAAAACGGACAAATACAAAGAAGTTAACATTACCTTAAATGACAGAAAAATAACTCATTTTGAAAATTTTCTTTAAAGAGGGTAATATATTAGAAACCCTATTCTACTTCTCCCACTACTGCCCTCCATCCCCAACCTAAAAAAAAAAAGAGGCGTTTTCATTTATACCAAGTCCAAAGCCACAAACCAATAAACCCAGATAACAATATGCCTCCTATACCCCTTCTCCTTCCTAGAGGACAAGGGCACAGGGACCTGTGGTCCACCCACTTCACCTACTGGCCCTGCACTACACAGAAAACAGATACATGGGGCCAGGAATCACTCCCAGGAGGAAAGACAGCAATGACTTAAGAACATGTCCCTGAGAGAACATCTCCTATGTTTTGTGTGGCATATAAAAGCCCTGGCTTGTCATATGTTAACAAGGTGGAAAACATGAAGAGTTTTCAGTATACAGTGCCATTATGAAGACAAAAGGTTTCCAAATCCCAGAACAGAGTCTATCCTAACAGGGCTTTATTCACAAGGATAAAAACCAATTGACTTGGATGCAAAATTTCACAGAGTAAATGTTTCCACCCATCTAGAATGTTTTTCTTTTTAATCCATTAAATGTAAGTAAAATCTTAGTATTAAAATAATATAGCCAAAATCACATCCTAAGGTTTCCAAAGATGGGAGAGGGGACACAGATAATGCAGGGCAGGTACTATGCCAGAGTAATTCTTATAGGATTATGTTTCTCAACCTTTTTTTGAGTATCCCATCCCCAGGAGAGAAATTTAATTTAAATTTAATTCAATAAATTAAATGTATTCTTAACAAGGGAAATTAAACATTAAGGAATAAGGTTTTGTCAGGTAAGATTAACTTCTGGAGGGCCACAAACCATGATTAACATCTAAGATTTTCCATCCCCCTCCGAAGAACAATGAGGTGAGGAGCGGGAGCACAGATTCAAGCTGCCCTGAATATATACTCCCCAATAACAATCCTTACACCCTTGAAGGGCGACATCATCCTTACAGAGAATAAGAATACAGGGCCTAAAAATGCGATCTTCAAACTCTGTAACATCCAAACCTCTGCTAAGATACTTAGGTATAGTTAGCCTAGTTAGGTTAAACCTGAGAATCTACATTTCCTAGTGAGCTTTCGGACGGACTCCAATGTATCTGGCCCATGAGCCAAAATGTTTCTGACAAACTTCCACTGTCACATCCAAACCTAATCACAGGATGCCCATCCCTCAAGTCAGAATCAAGAAGAGAACTATTTAAATGGATGAAACAATCCAGGGCATGAAGAAGGGAGAGATCTGTCTGGGGGCGGGGACGCAACTACAGGGAATCTGAGATCCCTCTCTTCTTCCACCTGTACAAAGGACAACCACAGGTGAACTGTAGAATACTTGAGATCGTTTGTGAACTGTAACACGTAACCCAGGAGGAGGTTTATGTCACTGATTTCACGAAGTACATATTCAGGATTTCACAAGTACATATTCAGGGTTTTTATCTAGTCTTTTGCTACTTTAGGTGCAACGTGGAGCTGAGTATCCCATAACCTTTTTGGCACCAGGGACTACTTTTGTGGAAGACAATTTTTCCACGGACAGGAGGAGGTGGGAAATGGTTTCAGAATGAAACTCTTCTACTTCAGATCATCAGTTAGATTCTCATAAGGAGCATGCAACCTAGATCCCTCACATGTGCAGTTCACAACAGGGTTCGCGCTCCTATGAGAATCAAATGCCGCCACTGATCTGACAGGAGGCAGAGCTCAGGCAGAAATGATCGCTTGCCCAAAGCTCACCTCATGGGGTGCAGTCCAATTCCTAACAGGCCACAGACCAGTACCGGTCCACGGCCCAGTGGCTGGAGACCCCTGCCATAAAGTATTCATTGTTCTACTTTCTTCACTCCCAAATCTGTATTTATGATCCGTATCAAGATGAGTACAGTTCAACTGAATTTGAAAAATTATATTAATTTTATACTGCTATTTGAATGGAGTTATAGCAAAAGTTAGAAATACACCACTGCAGGTAACAAACCTGCATGTTGTGCACATGTACCCTAAAACTTAAAGCATAATAATAATAAAATTTAAAAAAATTAGAAAAAAAAAAAAGGGTTTAAAAAAAAAGAAATACACCACTGCATTACAAAATGAATCGGTCAGTAGGATTAGACAATAAAAAACAAACAGAATAAAAAAGTTATCTTTCTTTTTCCCTTTCAGAAAGAGACTTGGTTCATGTGGTAGTGTTCCTTGGTGGCCCAATAAACCACTCTTGCCAGTGTTCACACCTTGTACAATCCCCACCCCACCCCGAACCCCCTGAATCTGGGCTGGCCTGTGGCTTGCTTCTGGCCTACAGAATCCAGTGGAGATGACACTGCCAGTTCAAGGTGTAAGTCTTAAGAAGGCCTGGCAGCCTCAACTTTGCGCACTTGTGGGGAAACCAGTCACAGCTGTGAGAAAGCCCAAGTGTGCCAGGTGGAAAGGCCACCTGGAGGAAGATGCCCAGGGCACCAGGCATGGAAGGGAATCCATCACCTTGGACTGCCCAGTGCCAGCAGATGCCACGTGGGATGGAGACAGGCCCTGCCCAAATTGGAACACAGTGAGCAAAGAAATGAATATTGTTTTAAGCCACTGAATTTCGCCATGGTTTGTTAAGCAGCAACAGATAACCTCAACATGTTATATGACAACAAATACAAGGAAAGAATTACAACAAACCTGTTTGTAAAATGTTTCAAAATAAACATTCTACCTCTTCTGAAATAATTTATCTCCTGATTTGAAAAGAGGCTTGTACATTGTGACATCTCATATCAGCATACTTCTTTAACAAATAATTCAAAACTCCTACCAGATGGTTACTATTGGTGGTTGGGGAGTCAAGACCCCATCTTCCAGACCAGAGACCTATATGTACCCAGAAAAAAGACAGTTTATTAAACTCCGGTAAAAATGTGCCTGTAGGTAACCTCTTTGAGAGCACATCCTCCCAACTAAACAGAGAGTGGAGTTTCTGAAACTACTTGTACCCTTACAAAGAGGCAGTCTTGAGTAACAGAGAGTACTGCTACCTGCTGTCGGTAAAGCACATCATGGATACTTCTTTATCAATGCACTCACTTACTGAGACTACACATCATGTGGCAAGCATCCTGGATACCAGAAAGAGACAGCTCCCCACCAAAACAGCTCAATCTATCAAAGGCCCTACTATGGTCTGAATGTGTCCCCCAAAATTCATTTGTTGAAAACTTCATCCACAACATAACAGTGCTGGGAGATGAGGATTTTGGAAGATGTTCAGGTCATAAGGGCTTTGCCCTCACAGATTGGTTAATGCCATTATAAAAGGGCTTAACAGAGGAAGTTTGGTCTCTTCTGCTCTTTCACGTTCTGCCTTGTGAGGACACAGCATTTCTCCCCTCAAGAGGGTGCAGCGTTTGAAACGCCATCTTGGAAGCAGAAAGACTGGATCCTCACGAGACATCAATCCTGCCAACACTTTTATCTTGGACTTCCCATCCTCCAGAACTGTAAGAAATTATTTTGTTTTCTGTAAACTACCTAACCTGTGTTTTGTTACAGCAGCACAGACTATGACCAGTCTGAATACTGGTGTTCCCCACAGAATTTCTACATTAGGCCCTAACAGTATTAAGAGGTGGAGCCTTTGGGGAACTGTGGGATTCATGTCCTTGTAAAAGAGGTTAAAGGAAGTTGCCCTGCCCTTCCATCATGTGAGGACACGGCAAGAGGCATCATCTATGAAGCAGAAAGCAGGCCTTCGGCAAACACCGAATCCGCTGGTGCCTTGATATGGACTTCTCAGCCTCCAGAACTGTGAAAAATAAATTCTATTTTTTATAAATTATTCAGTCCAAGGTATTTTGTTAGAGCAGCACAAACAGACCAAGACATGCCTCAAATACAAATAATAATTTTATAAATGCTATATATGATAATACAATAAGAAAGGAAGGAACTAATGAGAACAAAAGATGGAGCTATTCTTTCCACTTCTCCCCTGCCTCCTTCTAGGAAAGTCAGGAAAGACTACAGGAGATGACATCTGAGATGAGTACGTCAGGTTACAGAAGACTTGCCCCAAAATCAACCTCACTTGGATTGAGCATTTTAACACTGCTTCCATTAGGGGTATGTTGTCAGCTTTATTCCCCAACTGTCTCTACAACCTCAAAGAGCCTGTCACATACAGGCACACAAACATTTGTTAAATTCAGTGTTAACAACTACAACTATGTAACCTTGGGCAATTTACTCAACATCATTTATGAAAGATGGATAATGGCTTACAGAGTTGCTTTGAGGGTTAAATGACAGTATTTGGAAAATGATAACAGGCAACAAACAAGCTTGGGTGGCTTTACTAGTTTAGAGGATCTGTATGTTTGTTTAATGCACTGAACACACCTACTACATGCCCTGGCAGAGGCTCTGTGCCATATAGAAAACGTTATCAGAAAAGCACAGTATGCTCCAAAGGCAAAGCTGAAGAGGAGCCTAACACGAGTGGGAAAATGTAAGCTCTGAAGTAGAGGGAAGATGGCAGAACTGCAGAAAAGAAAACGGAAAGATAAACTAGGGCTAGGTTATCAAGAGAATCTGAATAGTTTAATAAATTTGTCTTCATTCCATACAAAGGAGAATCGTGGAAGATTATAGGCTGTAGAACAGCCCAATCAGGAACAGAGCAGGTAAACAAGGGGTTAAGGAGGACTGCAAAAAATAATAAAAGGCAAAAATTGGTTTGAAAGAGTATTAAAGCTTCAGCAAGTAAACAACATATTGAATAATCCATACATTTACCTCTGTTCTCTCACAAAACTGCACTGAAGATAAAACTCACCTAAAATCAGTAGTTAAAAAATAATAAAACAAGATACAAGACAGTGATGGACAAAGAAGTTTTTAGACAATGGATAGAAGATGGCACAGTAGTGGCAGGCTTAGGAGACTAAAGGAAGCCACAGAATAAGTGTCTACAGTTGAAGATGCCAAGGAAACTAGCTCATGTATCCCCAAACCTGGAAAGAGGACGAACAGGAGGCTCAGGACATGCACATATTCTCTGGCTCTGTCCACTGAAAGCCGAGGAGCGCCCACACACTAACACTACCAAGCACACCTAACATTCAGACATAGGTTTCCAAATGCCATTCTCCACTCCAAAGAACCAGGGCACTAGGAAGAGTTCTGAAATTTGGTAACAAATGCACAATCCATAAAAGAAACTTTTAATAATTAGACTTCATCAAAATTCAAAACAGCATCATTCCTGCCTGAGACATCTAATCTGTATCTAATATGAGGAAACACCAGGCGCACACTGAGGGTAACACTCTAAAATCACTGGTCTGTATTCCTCAAAAATATCAACATCACAAAAGAAAGAACAGGTAAGAAACTGTTCTAAATCAGGACAGTTGAAAAACAGTAACAGGCCGGGCGTGGTGGCTCACGCCTGTAATCCCAGCACTTTGGGAGGCTGAGGCAGGCGGACTGCCTGAGCTCAGGAGTTCGAAACCAGCCTGGGCAACATGGCGAAACCCCATCTCTACTAAAAATACAAAAAATTAGCCGGGTGTGGTGACAGGCACCTATAATCCCAGCTCCTTGGGAGGCTGAGGCAGGAGAATCACTTGAACACGGGAAGCGGAGGTTGCAATGAGCCAAGATCATGCCGCTGCACTCCAGCCTGAGTGACAGAGCGAGACTGTCTCATAAAAAAAGAAAAACAGTAACGACAAAATGTGTAAATGATCCTAGGCAACATTCTCTCCCCATAAAGAACACTACACTATGGGGGCAACTGCCAAAAACGGAATGGAGTCATATGGATTAGATAGCAGTAATGTCTCCATGTTAAACTGCTACTTTGATGGCTGTATTGCTGTTATGTAAGAGAATGCCCTTGTTTGTAGGAAAAATGCACTACAGTTTTCAAATAATGGACTTCATGCCAACAACGTTTAAATGGTGTAGAAAATAAGCTATTTGTACCATACCTGCAAGTTTTCTCAGTTATTGTCAAGAAAAATAAATAAAGGTAATAAGACCCCAAAATTGCGGCCCAAACCCCATCCAGGATGGCAACTATCCTAGCTCCAAAGACATCAAAGACATATTCTCTGGGGACCAGTGAATATGGAGACTTGGTACTGACAGGTATCAAGCACAACAGAAAATAGGTTTGAGGCACAGGACTGAAAACAAAAGTGAAGGCTGAGCACAGTGGCTCACAACTGCAAGCCTAGAACTTTGGGAGGCTGAGGCAGGAGGATCACTTGAGCCCAGGAGTTCCAGGCTGCAGTGAGTTGTGATTGTGCCACTGCATTCCATCCCAGGCAAGTGAGCAACACCCTGTCTCTAAAAAAAAAAAAAAACAAAAAACAAAATACATAAGTAAATACTACAGAAGTGAGCAAAAGTGTTTAGACAGAACTGTGCATGCCAGCCCTTCTTCCACAGTTCTGCCTGCAGAACACCAGCATGGGATTCACAACCCCAACCTGAGACCCAAGAGCACTGCCATAAAACCTTAGGGATACTCATATTCATGGGTCCACCAATCCGCCTACTAAGCCTCCAGCGAACAAGCCTCACCCTCGCAAAGAGCTCTCATCAGCTTTATGCCTTACTCCTAAATACAAGCCACATGCCCAAGGATGGCCAAATATTTGAGGAAAGCTGCCAACATCAAGGAAAGAAACCAAAACAAGCAGAGAAACAGGAATCCAGAGGAAACTGAGACAACGCTATGATGGAAAACAAAAAACAAACAAAAAAAACCAGTCCTCCATATATCCATAAGTTCAACCAACCTCGAATCAGAAATATTCTTTTAAGGCAGCACAGTAGCTCACACCTGTATTCCAAGCACTTTGAGAGGCCAAGGCGGGCAGACTGCTTGAGCCCAGAAGTTCAAGACCAGCCTGGGCAACACAATGAGACCCCGCCTCTACCAAAAATACTAAAAAATTAGTCGGGCATGGTGGTGTACGCCTATATTCCCAGCTACTCAGGAGGCTGAGGTGGGAAAATCACCTGAGCCCAGGGAGGTCAAGACTGCAGTATGTATTTGTTTATATATATATATACTTTTTTAAAAAAAGAGAGAGAGAGAAAAGTAAGGCCAAGTAGTGGTGGCTCATGCCTGTAATCTCAACACTTTGGGAGGCTAAGGTAGAAGGATCACTTGAGCCCAGGAGTTCAAGACCAGCCTGGACAACACAATAAGACTCCATCTCTTAAAAAAAAAATTTTTTTTTTTAATTTAAAAGCTTTTTTTTGGCCACTGCACTCCAGCCTGGGCAACAGAGTGAATGAGATTCCACCTCAAAAAAATAATATAGTACAAACTTTTTTGGCTGGGCGCAGTGGCTCACACCTGTAATCCCTGCACTTTGGGAGGCCGAGGCTGGTGGATCACGAGGTCAGGAGATGGAGACCAACCTGGCTAACACAGTGAAACCCCGTCTCTACTAAAAATACAAAAAATTAGCCGGGCATGATGGTGGGCACCTGTAGTCTCAGCTACTCGGGAGGCTGAGGCAGGAGAATGGCATAAACCCAGGAGGCAGAGCTTGCAGTGAGCCGAGATCACCCCACTACACTCCAGCCTGGGCGACAGAGCGAGACTCCGAAAAAAAAAAAATGGAGAAAAAAGAACTCAAAAGATTTGTCAAACAAGGCAATTTCTGGTCCTTGCTTAGATCCTGATTAAAATAAACTGTTAAAAAAAATATTGATGAGGCAAACAAGGCAATGTGAATTCTTACTGGATACTGGAAGACTCACTGTTAACCTTTTAAAGGTATGACAAAGGAATTGGTGCTACAGCATCCTTATCTTTTACAGATACACATTAAAATTTTCAAAAGTGAAATTATACATCTAGGTTTGCTTTTACAAATGCAAAAGAGGCAGGGTCAGGCTGGTGGCTCATGCCTGTAATCTCAACACTTTGAGAAGCCAAGGTGGGTGGACTGCTTGAGCCCAGAGTTTTGAGACCAGCCTGGGCAACATGGCAAGACCCCCGTCTCTACAAAATACAGAAAAATTAGTCAGGCAAGGTGGTATGTGCCTATAGTCCCAGCTATTTGGGAGGCTGAGGTGGCATCACCTGAGCCCAGGGAGGTCGAAACTGCTGTATGCCATGACCACTGCACTCCAGCCTGGGCAAGAGTAAAAAAAAAAAAAAAAAAAAAATCAAAGGGAAGAGGGACAGATAAAAACACAGAAATTTATAAGGAGGTCATGAAGGGAAGAGGGAGAGATAAAAACACAGACATTTATAAAGAGGTCATGAGTTAACACATGTTGAATTTGAATGATGAGTACAAGGAGCTCATTATATTTTCTACCTTTTCCATAGTGTTGTGTTTTCTTTTTAACGAAATCCAAAATTCAAACTGTATCTGCTGTATGAAGCTAGAAGGCCATGAAGCCACATATACAGAATTCTCAGTAAAAATTACATTCCAACTCCATTTCTATACCCAGTCAAAACTTTTAAAAATGAAAGCAGATTAAAGGTATTTTCTGACCGTATCTCAAAAAATTAGCCTCCCATGTACCCTTTTCTCAGGAAGTATTGAAAGATGTCCTCCAGTAAAACGAAGGATAAAAACAGAAACGATAATGGCCAGAAAGCCAGGAAACAGGAGATCCAACCATGCTGGAAAATATGCAAAAGGGATCCTATTAGGTCCAGAGAGCAAGAATTTCATAGAGGAGCAGTTTGATTGAGGCTCTATAAGATGGTTCTTAAGAGGGAACAAAAACAACTGTCGGATATTTTTTATTATACCAAAAACTACATTGAGTGGCTACTAAAAAGAATGAGAAAACTTACAAGTACTAGAAAACAAAGCGAATGGAAATACAATTACTAACTCTTAGAAAAACAAGATTATACAAGGTGGAAAATGTAATCATAGTACACAATCTGGTTTATGGTGAACAAAACTTAGTCATAATTAAGCATGGAATATTGATTTTACCAAAAAAGATTATATAACTATAATCAGGAGCTGGAAGAAAAAAGTGTGATAGGTGGCTTAATGTTAAATAGGCATCGACCTTAAATAAAATCAACAAATAATGTATTAAATCTTAAGGCAAATACAAAAATAGGGACAGGGTTGCCTACCCGGCCTCCAAATTCCCTTTCTTTCTTTGTAACAGAAGCTAATTTTGTTCAGAACCCACTTGCACACCCACCTCCATTTAGGCATGTGCTCAAGGAAAGCATGCCCAGTGCCAAGGGACCCACGTCCATTTAGACATGTGCTCAAGGAGAGCGTGCCCAGTGCCAGGAGTGAGCCTAACTGGTCTAAGTGTAATCCCATTTCCCTTTCTAGTGAGTCTTTCCTGAATCCAGGGCGTGTTCCTAGGCCAAGGTACCACATTCTTATCCAGCTACAAGAAAAATAATCTTCCCTTCTTCCCATGGGCACTGTTGCATCTGAATCCAACTCCTGACACTGCCGCAACCATCTGATTAATCTGAGGATAGAGCCTGCCAGTGACTAAAGGGGGAAATGAGAAAACCTGGGGCCCTGAAGACATCACTGTGCTACCAAATCAATTAGCCCCTGAGCCTGTCCCTGGAATTCCAATTGTGAGTTAAGTCCTCTTATTTTAAGCCAGTATGGGTCAGGTTCAATAGCTGCATCCAAAAGCATCCTGATAAAACAAGCACATTGTTTAGAATAGACAGGTAAATTGAAGAAGCAGCTAAAAGAACTGAGGAAAAAGTGATTACCTATAGGGCAGAGCTTGCCAACTGTTGTGTGTGGCACACAGCACCACAGATGTTTTAGATGTGCAAAGATCCCCTAAAACCCTCAGAATACCCAAAACGGTGTCTTCAATTTCGTCCATGAAGGCCCCGACGTGAGAAAGTCTGACAAGTATTGCTCTACAGCAGCGGTCTCTGACCTTTTTGGCACCGGGGACCAGTTTCGTGGAAGACAATTTTTCAAAGGACAGGGTGGGGGTTGGGGGTGGAGAGATGGTTTTGGGATGATTCAAGCGCACTACATTTATTGTGCACTTTATTTCTATTAGTATTACCTTTTAATATTAATATATAGTGAAATAATTATACAACTCACCATAATATAGAAGGAATACAGAATAAAATCTAAGAGTGGAAACTAAGGCCTGGTTTGAATCCTACCCTATCAACCACTTCCCATTTAAAATGGGAAAATTAGTTCACCTCTAAGCTTGTTTCATCATAGGTTAAATGAAAACAGTACCTTACTGGCTAGTGGTATGTGTACGTTTATAAAGTGCTCAGGGCAAGCTTAATAAAGATTGCCCTAACTATGTTAACGGGTGCAAAGAAGGTTTCCTACAATATGCTAATGTGAGCTGTCAATCTCCAAGAAGGTAATTTTCCCCAGGCTTATTTCCTTCATACCATCTGAAGGAGGAATGGTTTGCAGAGCAAATTTTAGGGAAGAAGAGCAGAAACAGAGGGAAAATCTTTCAGACTAATTTCTCCATTAACTAGAAGAACATGGTATGGTAATACTAAAAGTGCTTTCTTAAAGCAATAAAGCCTAATAGCTCTAAAATTCCGGTGAAACAAGTCATGAAGCGATAAGAAAGAAAAGCTCAGAGAACTTTGATGGAGGCTCCCATGACCCACCTCCTAGTGTTCACATCCTGTGCACACCATTCCCCGAGTGTGGGCAGTACCTGTGACTTGTTTTTAAGCAAGAGAATACAACAAAGGTAATGGCATGGCATGTCCATGGTTATGACACGTTAAGATGTACACCTCTTGCAAGGTGACTCTTTTACTGGCTTTGCAAAAGTAAGTGGGTGTGTCAGAAAGGACCACATGGCAAGAAACTGATGGCAAATGTTTGCTGATTGACAGCGTACAAAGAACAGAATCCTGCCAACAACCATATGAGCTTAGAAGAGATCTTTCTGTGGTTAAGTCTCAAATGAGACCACAGCCTCAGCCAACATCTTTACAGCCTTCTAAGACCCTAAAGCAGTGGACTCAGCTAAACTGTGCTCAGACATCTGACCCACAGAAACTGAGATAATAAATGGAAGTGTATATTTTAAGCTACTAACTCTGTGGTGATATTGTCATTTAGCAAGAGATAAACATACTGCTACATAATAAAGTTCTTCTACCATAGTCCCTGCTCTGCTCAAATACTGATTTTCAACTACTCTAACTTCATGTAGATGTATATATGAAGCCAACTTCTGCTTGTCACAATTGTTCTTAAGCAAACCTCACGTCCAAGATGTCAACATTAACCACAATCTGATCCTGCATTTTATGACAGCCACTTTAACAACCTTGTCTGCTAATTCTATTACCTGTCATTACTATTTCTATTGACTGAGTTTTCTCTTCTGTGTCTTCAAGTTCACTAATCTTTCCTTCTAAATGTCTAAAATACCATTAATGCAACCCAGTATATTTTTCATATCACATATTATAATTTTTGCTGCTAAAAGTTTGATCTGGGTCTTTTGTATACCTTCCACGTTTCTGCCAAACTTTCAGAACATATGAAATACAATAACTGTTTTAATATCCTTGTCTGTCAACCCTAACATCTGTGTGAGTTCTAGGTTTCAACTGCTTGATCTCCTAATTATGAGTCATGTTAACCTGCTTCTTTACACATTTAGTAATCTTTGATTGCATGCTGGACATTTTACATGATTAATATTGGGATCTGTTATATTCCTTTAAAGAATGTTGGGCACTGTAGTAACAGGCAATTACATTAGTTTCAGATTAGTTTGCTTCTTTGAAGGCTTGCTTTTAAGCTTTTTTCAGGCAAAGCTAGGAGTCTTTACTTCAGGACTAGTTTAGCCCCACTACCAAGACATAACTCTTCTGGGGTCTCAATGAATCCTGCATTTCCACTCTGGTTACAAGGTACTCAAATAATTCTCAGCCCTCTGTAAACTCTGAGATTTTTTCTGCTTACAGCTCCCCCAGAAACTGTTCTTTTGTGAAACTTCACCTTATACATGTACAATCAAACATTTAAGGGGACCACTAAGTAGATGTATAAGAACTCTTTCTCAGTATAGCTCCCTCCTCTCTGGAACTCTGCTCCTCAAATGACAACCACCCTTGGTTACCCCTAACTCCAATCTTTGTTTTCTCAACTTAGTGGGGCCACGTGGCTTTATCTGGGATCCCCTTCCTGCACTGAGGTGTGAAAAGTGCCTTCAAGCAGAAAACTGGCCATCACAGGGCTCATCTCACTTGGTTCCCATCTGTCAGGGATCACAGTTCTGTGCTACCTATTATCTGATATCTGAAAACAGTTCTTCCCTGTGTTTTGTCCAGTTTTCTAGATGTTTACAGTAGGAAGGCAAATTCAGAATAGTCAAAAGCAGAAGCCATGATTCCTGACACTGAAGTTTAAATGTTTTACACTAAGATACAACTACACACACACACACACACACACATACACCATTACCTATCACATCACCCCATCTTTATTTTTTTCATGGCATTTATCACTTTTTGTAATTATGTTATTTGCTTTCTTGTTTACTCTACATCTTACAATGGAACATAAGCTCTGTGAGTGCAGGGACCTTGTCAATCTTGTCACTCCTGTATCCTTAACACCTAAAACATATCGCAGCCAAGAAGAGGCACTCAAATTCAGCAAACTAATTAAATCAATAAACAGGTTTCTAAGTATTTCACTTAATATATGCTGTGAACTCTTCTCAGTAAATTCTAATCTACATGCAGGTAAACCTGACCCAGGAGAGTTCCTTGGAATTATCTATTGTCTTAATTAGCATCTTCCAAGTAAAGGTTCTTAGTTGCAAACAAAGAAACTGGCTCTGGCTTTGTTTAAGCTGAAAGGAAGTTATTAAAGTGTATTAGGCAACTCACAGAAAACCCCATGGGGACCAGGCTGGAAAGCTACATAGTTAAGAACATCCAAAATTCAAACCACAGATATGGTCCAGTGAAGACCAAATGAGACTCAGTCACTGCAACTTATACTGATACCAACACCAGGCACTAAGTGTTGCAACTGGAATCTCAGTCACTGCTGCCTATGGAAAAGATAAGCTGCTATCCCATCCCCATCCCTCCTTGACTAGAGAATACAGATTCTACATACCGCCTGCCTCTGCAGATCACTGGCCTCTGAGGTAGGCAAGCACTGCCAGTCATGGAGGCCACAGGATTGCATCCTAACTGCAAAAGCGGTGGGGAAAGTGAACAATTAGCTTTCTTAATGGTGGAGATCGCTCTCCCTCTCACAAAGACTCCTAAGATAAAGACTTCCCCAAACACAGAAAGGTGTTAGATTATCTTGTTTATAATCCAAAAAAACTAATGAACCAATAACACAAGGTATCAATCCCAGCATGCCAGAACTTTTATCTATTTCTTCAGTTAATGGGTTACAGAAACTCTTCTTTTTCTCTAAATGTTCAACTTTACGGCACTTAACTGTTTAGGCTTTTTATTATCTGGAGGTAAACACGGATAATACCAATCACTTTCTAGGTATATTAAAATAACTAATAATAAATAGTTATTCATTCAGTAGGCCAGTGGCTGGTCTGCTGCAGGTAACTGATTAATAGTAGCTATTGTTACTGTTACTAAATAGTAGCTTGCTTTTTAAGAGGAGAAACTCAGATTTACAAGAATACCTTTTTTAGAAAATAATCTGCCAAAAGGTTGAAGATCCAAGTTTTTATTTTACCTTGGTAAAGTAAGTGTGATCCCACACTCCCTATGTTACCAGAAATAAAGCAACAAGTAGTTTAAAGTAGTTTAAAACGGTGCTACCAAAACTAAGTTCAAGAAATTATAAATAAATAAGTAAATCAATACAACTGCTCACCCAATCCACAAGCCAGGTTTTCCTTTACACTCACTCCAGGGAGTTCTGACTAACTGAAAGCTTCAACTGCTAGGCACAGTGGCTTACGCTTCATGAGGCTGAGGCAGGAGGATCACTTGAGCCCAGGAGTTTGGACCAGCCTGGGCAACAAAGTGAGATCCCCGTAAAAGTGAGATCACTATAAAAAAAAATTTAATTTTTTTTTTTAAAAAAAAAAAGAAAGCAAGCTTCATGAGGGCAGGAACCATGAATATCCATCTGATTCACTATTATGTCCCAAGAGCTTAGCATGGAGCCAGGCACAAAGAGACCTGCAGGAATTATGTGATGATTTGCTTTTCCAAATATTTACTACAGAAATTAGTCACTGAAAAAGGTTATAAAACTATATTCAAACATATCCCTTTATAAGCTTTAAGAAAGCTCATTCAGCTGACAAGATCAACAGCTTCAATTTTCTAACTACACGACTCATTCTTTTGAAAACTTGTCCATACTACAAACTTTTCCTCATTCTTGTTCTGTTGTCCAAACTTGAAGTTAAAGCCAAAAAGAATCCAAATGAACTATTCTGTCAGTCTTTAAACAAATAATCAAAGCTACAGGGATTTTTGTTGTTGTTTTTGTTTTTGAGTCAGGGTATCACTCAAAGTGTACTCACTCAGGCTGGAGTACACTGGCACAAACACAGCTCACTGCACCCTCAACCTCCCAGAATCAAGCGATCCTCCTGCCTCAGGCTCCCGAGTAGCTGGACTGCGGACCACCACACCTGGCTATAGCACTTATATTCGATATGCACCTGAAAGCTACTACAAATGCCAGAGCTACATTCCAGATATAACTGCTGAATGAACTTCACTGTGTCGGCTAGAAGAGTGAAGAATATCCTGATCCAGGCTGATCCCTCTCCACAACTTACACCTGCTCCAAACAACCACTAAGGACTGTCCCCATTTCAGTAAACTACTACAATTATACACTCCTTTAATACAGAAGACAGAATCTTTCCACTCCACATTTCCAGTATCTAATTCTCAATACATAGTAGGCATTTCATGTGCATTTGTTGAATTATTCCACGAATAATTTTCTTTCTCCTGACTACATAGAACTTTCTAATCCTATCTTTAAAAAACTTCATCTTTTCCTTTTTCCTCAAAGCTCTCATATTTCCTGCTAATCTCTTAGTCCAACAAACATCTTCCTACTGTAGGTTTTTGGTCCTTGAGACCAACTAGTAAAGACCAAAGCATGTAGTTCACTGATTCATTCAACAAATGTTTATTTAGTGTTTACTATGTGCCAAGCACCCTGCCAACCACTGAGATTGCAAGAGAGAGCAAAACACTACTGGTCCTCATCTCTGGAGGGCATTAATCAAATAAGCACTAAAAAATTATCAACTGTAATAAGCGTTATGAAGGAAGAGTACAAGGACACATGAGATTTTTAAAACGAAGAGCGCATAGAAGGGATAGAAGAGCTGATAGAAGTGATGATCCCAAGCCAAGGAAGCAGCATATGCAAAGACTAGGAGCCGGTACAGTCACATGATCCAGAGACTGGTGAGAAGAGGCAGTGAGCCAGCTGGAGCCAGATCATCCAGGTGGCAGGGCTTGCAGATCCTGTGACTAGCGTGGTCTCTACCCCAAAAGTCATAATAAATCATCAAATAATTGTGTAGGTTTTTTTTTTTTAGGAGAGACAATTCTTGTTCATCTATTTGCTTAAATCCCTCTTCCATTTCTGCTCACTCAAGTGAACTTTCCTTATTCTTTGACCTTCCCTATAGGCCCACATCCTTTACTTTGCATGTCTGTATCTTTGTCTTATTCAGCAAACAGCCTTCCTACAAACTGTCTCCCGTGAATCTTAAAACGCCTGGCTTCTCCCTTTGCATAGCTGTCTCTAATATTGCTGAGTAACTGTGGGCCTTCAGGCCAATTCCTAGGTAAATTTACCTAGCTTTACTGATGTTTTAAATTGTACTACAGAACCACAACAACGAAATACAAAAAAAAAAAATTAAACTGTAAAATACTCAATGAGATCCTATAGGATCTTACCATTGTTGTTTCAACAAACTTTTACAAAACAATCTTTTATATCACAGAAGCAATGTCTCTCAATAACGAACATTTGATGTAAAGATAAAGTAAAAAACACCACTGTGGTAACAGTTGTTTTTTTCGAGGGAAAATAACCAAATCAGAATAAATTTTTCAACAGACAGTATTTGTCTTAAGGGCTAGAGTCCTATTTTTATCCAAACAAACTTTTAAGTCAAAATTAACTGTTAAAAGGACTCTAAAATGAAACAAAAATTTTTTGACCTTCAAAAAGCAACATCAAAAATTATTCCATTTTATAGACTCTATGTTCGCTTTAAGGAAAATTTAATTTGTATCTATTCTAGACTAAGTCCTTAGGCCTACTCAAGAACTATTAAAGATTCCCCCAGCCAGAACGTAACATCCGTGATAGCAGGGACAGGAGTGGCCTTTGTTTCAGCACTGATTCCCAGGCCCCAGGTTTTTCTATATTTGGCACCAGCAGGTGCTCAATAAATAGTTCTATCACTCCACAAGATAAATGCTTTTTAAATAACCAGTCTTCCAATTAGGATACATGAAAAAATAAAGAGAATATGAGATTTTTTTCAGGCAAATACTAAGATGCTCAGAAAAAATGAAACTGCTCACATGCTCAGCTACTCTCCATTTTCCAAACCATGAATTATGATACAACCTTTTCCTTTACAGATTCACAGCTTCAAACATTGCCCTCTCCCACTGCCCTATTTTTTAGCTCATATTTAATGGTGCTGCAAATTATTTCCACCTGTCCCTAATGTAAGGTCTGAACTACAATAATAATTCTATCTTCAGTTCCTCAACAGTTCCTTCAGGTCCTCAGTAGGACATATTCTCCATGTCCCACTAAAACCTAATCACTGCATTCCTAGAACCTTTTAGTATACTGCCAACAAAGCTTAATACTCTTTTTCCTATCTCCAAAAACTTGGCCATGTTGCTGTTTGAATCCAGAAATACTCACTTTGGTCTGTTGGAAATTAAAGTATAATTAAGAATATTTTTAAGGTTTTCCCATCTGTCTTCCACTTTTCACCTCTTCGTATTCCCTCATGCCTATACATTACATCTAGAATGGTCCTGCCTTCCAAACCCTCCTTCTTACAGTGTCACCTCCCTCCAACCCACAGATCTGTCCTAATCCCTGCTGAAAAACCCTCAATCGCCCCAAATTCATATCTTTATAATATTAAGACTCAACCCCACTCTCATGTCCACAAGTGTCCCCTTCACTCCCTGAGCATACCAAACTCACTCTCCCTCCCTCTCTCCCTCATCTGATGCTCCAGGGATATGACTCTGTCATTCTTCAAAGTCACCTTCATTTCCCACCACCACCCATTGCCCACATGACTTCCTCCAATAGACTGTCAAGTCCTCAGGTTCCACCATAAAAAGCCCATCCATCCACTCTTCAAGATCGAGACCCAGTCCCATCTCCACAATGCACACTCGAATCCCCATAATTGTCTTACTTCCTGTGCTCTTCTAGCTCTCCACATGTCAACCCCTCTAACTGTTAACGGCCATGGTCTTATCTGTGTTCAAGTTTTCCTGTATTGACACACCTATCTCAACATTAAAAGCAGATGTAACCAAACCTTATTCACTTTTATAATCAAAAGCTTCTACCACGACTCATATCTCATACAGAGGACATGCAAATGTTCACTCAATTGAAGAAGAACAAGAGCCCCCTTTTCTGTAGGCATTTACAATTTATCAAAACATCAGTTATTCAATCAACAGAGTAACGAAATAAAGGGAACCCAAAAAATACTTTTGTTTTGTTTTTCGAGATGGAGTTTCGCTCTTGTTGCCCAGGCTGGAGTGCAATGGCGTGATCTCCGGCTCACCACCACGTCCGCCTCCCAGGTTCAAGCAATTCTCCTGCCTCAGCCTCCCCAGTAGCTGGGATTACAGGCATGTACCACCACACCCGGCTGATTTTGTATTTTTAGTAGAGACAGGGTTTCTCCATGTCGGTCAGGGTCGTCTCAAACTCCCAACCTCAGGTGATCAGCCCACCTCGGCCTCCCAAATTGCTGGGATTACAGGTGTGAGAAACCATGCCTGGCCCCCAGGAAATACTTTAACTATAACATACATCTGATGAAGAATGAATTATTTTGTTATTTAAAATAAAAATCTTATAGTACAACTTAAGGTGTTCAAACTCAGTCATAATTAAAGAAATGCAAATCCAAACAACTAGACATCATTATTCACCTATTACATTCACAAAAATCTAAGGTAACAACAGTGTTGGTGAGATTTGAGAAACTATACACTCTCAGACACTGCTGGTGAAAGCATAAACTACTGCTACTTTTCTGGAAGACAATATGGCAACATATATTCAAATATCCATATACCTGGTGAACCAGCCACTTTCCTTATAAATAGACATCCTATGGCCAATACTCACAGAACACAACTATACATGCAAGGAAGTACGCACCAGCATTGTTTAAAAGAGCAAAAATATGAACTTAAATGTCCTTTAATGCAGTCTGACTAAACAGAGGTACAACCATAGAACAGAATACTTTCCGACCATTAAGAACAATAGAGGCTGGGCAGTGTCTCACAGCTGCACTGTGAGAGGACAAGACAGGAGGATCACTGAGGCCAGGAGTTCAAGACCAGCCTAGGCAACATAGCAAGACTATGTCTCAACAAAAAATTTAAAAATTAGCTGGGTGTGGTGGTGTACACCTATAATCTCAGCTACTCAGGAGGCTAAGGTGAGAGGATCGCTTGAACCCAGGAGGTCAAGGCTGCAGTGAACTATGATCATGCCACTGCACTTCAGCCTCAGTGACAGCGAGACTCTGTCCCAAATTTTAAAAAATGGGAGCTCTGTGAGCTGACATGGAAATATTTCTAACATAGGTCAAGTAAAAAAAAATGCGGGGCACGGTGGCTCAAGCCTGTAATCCCAGCACTTTGGGAGGCCGAGGTAAGCGGATCACGAGGTCAGGAGATGGAGACCACCCTGACTAACATGGTGAAACCCCATCTCTACTAAAAATACGAAAAATTAGCCGGGCGTGGTGGCAGGGGCCTGTAGTCCCAGCTACTCGGGAGGCTGAGATAGGAGAATGGCGTAAACCCAGGAGGCGGAGCTTGCAGTGAGCCGAGATTGCGCCACTGCACTCCAGCCTTGGGGAAAGAGCGAGACTCCGTCTCAAAAACTAACTAAATAAATAAAAAGCTTAAGTTGCAAAACTGTGTGTTTAGTATGTCTGATCCCATTTGGTTTGGATTTTAAATACACAGACACTGTGTACATACACACACACACACCTGTCTATGCACTTAAAAATAATGGAATCATACATAGTTTTCTAACACAATACATACTAAAAGTATAATATATATAATTGTGTGTGTATATATACACATGCATACATTTCTGGTAGGAAAAACTGAACAGTTATTATTATGGAACATGAGAAGGGGGAAATGATCTGCTATCATTCCACAGAGCTTGTTTTTTTAAACTATATACTACTTGTGGATCTCTTTAAAAACTAGAATATCCTAGATGATCAGAACCGTACCTTATATGTTTGATAACACTGCTCAAATACGGGCCCTAACAAATAAGACAGTAAGAAAACAGGGACACTCCCTCTAGTCCAGTAGTTAATCAAGCGCAGGGTCCTAGGCAGAATTACCCACAGTGCCATTACCAACACTCTCAGTGATAGGAAGCCATCGAAGCAAGCTAACACTACCAACCTCTGGCCACCAGAGAATACTCACATGAACCTTCCCATGACCATACCACAAGGTGATATTTCTTAAACATACCCTTAAAAAAAAAATTGAGACGAAGTCTCACTCTGTCGCAGTGGCACGATCTCAGCCCACTGCAACGTCCGCTTCCAGGGTTCCAACAATTATCCTGCCTCTGCCTCCCAAGTACCTGGGACTACAGACACTCACTACTGCACCTGGCTAATTTCTGTATCTGTAGTAGAGATGGGGGTTTCACCATTTTAGCCAGGCTGGTCTCGAACTCCTGACCTCGTGATCCACTCGCCTTGGCCTCCCAAAGTGCTGCGATTACAGGCATGAGCCACTGCGCCTGGCCTAAACATACCCTTCATTTTTCTCAGTAAAGGGCACATGGACTGTGTTCTTCCCTCCTTTCCAAAACATTCTTAGTGCAGGCATCATTCTGATTTCTGGACTGACACCTGCACTAAGCAGCTGTTCTCCCCTTTGACCACTCCCAGTGGAACTCCTCCCAGCACTCAGACTCTCTCTTCTCTCTGCCAAGCCATTCTGTCATTCTGTTCTTCATCTCCTCGTCTGCTTGTGGGGCCTGCGGTTTCAGGTTTATATTGGTATAGGAAGAGGGGGGCTTGGCGGGCCAAAAGGCAACTTTTGGGTGCAAAAACAGGCATGCCTGTTCCAATTTAGGGCTATGGGTTTTCAGGCTAGATCTAATAATAATAACTGATACAAATAAAGTGTTAACCTCATAACAGGTAAAGAATATTCCTCCAGGGCTGGGTGTGGTGGCTCACACCTATAATCTCAACACTTCGGGAGGCCAAGGTCAGGAGTTGGAGACCAGTCTGACCAACATAGTGAAATCCCGTCTCTACTAAAAATAACAAAAAATTAGTCGGGTATGTGACAGGCACCTGTAATTCCAGCTACTCGGGAGGCTGAGGCAGGAGAATTGCTGGAACCCGGAAGGCGGAGGTTGCAGTGAGCCGAAATTGTGCCACTGCACTCCAGCCTGGGTGACAAAAGTGAAACTCCATCTCAAAAAAAAAAAAAAAAAAAAAAAGTAATATTCCTCTAGGAATATTCTAATTTTAAAATTTTAAACTAGAGAATTCCAGATTTTATCTTAATCTAATGAAATGAATTCCAACAGTGAAAATTACAAGCAACCTAAAAGGAAAGTAGTAATTTGAGGACAAGAACTACCTTTGTTCCTTCTAATCATGTCAAGTAAGTAGCTGCCTATACATCTATTCTAATGCTGTATATACATTGCCCACAATAGTGCTGATACTAACAAAACCTTACTTAAAACCTTCAGCTTTTCACCTTTAAATATTCACTTAACCTTTAAACATTCACTTGAGTATTTAAATATTCACATTATTTTTCTATAGGGCAAAAAGGACAACTGGGCCAACCATTCACTAGACATAAGCTCCCACATTAAAAGCCACATACTTACTTTAAGATGATAACTATTCCTATAAAATCCCACTGCACTCTGTACACCTTGTCCTTTATTCCCTCTTCTGTAGAAAGAACAAAGAACGAAGAGTCAGGAAAAACAATGCTAGTCCCAGGCCTGCTTATTCTGAGGCACTGATTAGTCACTCAGCTTCTCTGCACCCACTTCCTTCTCTAATATGTGAGAAATGAACTTTATTGGTGTTTCTCAAAATGTTCCTACTGCATCAGGATTACCTGGAGTCCTTAAGAAAACAGATTCCAGCTAGGCCCAGTGGCTCAAGCCTGTAATCCCAGCACTTTGGGAGGCCAAGGCAGGCGGATCACGAGGTCAGGAGATTGAGACCATCCTGGCTAACACAGTGAAACCCCGTCTCTACTAAAAATACAAAAAAATTAGCCAGGCGTGGTGACAGGCGCCTGTGGTCCCAGCTACTTGGGAGGCTGAGGCACAAGAATGGCGTGAACCCAGGAGGCGGAGCTTGCAGTAAACCGAGATCGCACCACTGTACTCCAGCCTGGGCGACAGAGCGAGACTCTGTCTCAAAAAAAAAGAAAGCAGATTCCAGAGCATCACTCTAAACCTACAGAAAGAGAGGCATCTGAGCTTGGAAATCTCTTAACTTTGACAAGTTCTCCAGAAGACTGTTTGGGAACCATTAGTTTTCCCAAGTCTGTACTAGAGCTAATAATATTTCATAGTTTAAGGGAATCTTAGATATTTATATTTCTCTTTTTTCAAATCCACAGGAATTCAAGAGGAACATACTAGATAGTAAATGTACGTTTAAATATCTCTGCTATCATCCTTCTTGCAGTGTTCGGTGACTCAAATCTTTATGACATCCTGACAACATGCGAGTGTTATTGTAGCATTGTTTGCTGAGGGTATGAGCAAGAAGACATTCAGTTGGTCCAGTGGACTATTAACACTAAATGCAAAAGCTCAGATTTCAAATATTGCTTACGTGATACAAGCACAGCAATCAAGAACCATGTTTCTATCAGAAAATAAAGCGTCAGTAAAATAACTGTTATTAGACCCAAAATCCCTTCACTACTAAAAGTATAGCTACATTTTTCTAATCTGACCACTTACTTATATTTTGCATAACGGTCTATTTGAATTCACATACCATAGTTTAAAAAATTAATGATTAAATACAGAAAATAAACTTATTAACTAATGCAATCCATTGTATTTTCAAAGTCTATTTCTGGAAGCTTCTCCCAAAACATTTTGAAGTGTAACAGGCAATGTTTAATCATCCCCCATTCTCCCCTTCTTCAGTAGACCCAAATTTTCAGCCAAATAGTCACCTATCAAAGACCACATATCCCAGACTCCTTTGTATCTAAACATGGCCACATGACTAAGTTATGACCAATAGGGTATGAAGAAAAATCATGTATGCAACTTCCAGGTTTGTCTTTAAAGGGATGGAATGTGCCTTCCCAAAATCCTATTCCTGGACTGTGGATGTAGTGAGAAACTGCCTTGTACTATGAAGAAAATGGTAAGCACAGGAAAGCAACAAGACAGAAGGAACCAAGCTCCCTCACATCGTGGTGCCACCATATCAGCCTTAGATAAGTTATACTGTTGTTTTATGAAGGAAAAATAAATTTCTCGTTTAAGCCACTGTATTTAGTCAGAAACAGGCCCATCTACATTCTAACTGGTACATATAAGAAAGCTTAAATTTATCGTAACTCTTAAATATTAGCTACCAACCAACTCAGCAAAGCTAAAATTCTATACTCTTAAGTCACAATAGAGCTTCCTACTGAATAACCCCATTACTGAGATTATTGCTACTGTGCCATTTTATATTTATATGGCATTTTACACTTCAGCACTTCATTATAGTGTCTCATTTCACATTCTCAAAATCCTGGGCAGGGCAGCCGGTGCTATCTATATCTGGCATACAGGATACTGAAGCGAGGAGAAGCTGTTTTGCCCAAGATGACATGGCTAAGGAGTGGTAGTCAGGAAGGATTCAACATACAGGTTCCGCATTCTATCATTCTATGAATCTAAACCCCCTATGTGCCAGGCACTGGAGTTACAGCCATGATCAAGAAAAACTTCTTCCTGTCCAAATGGACTTTAAAATTTAATGGAGAAATTAAATTTACAATTATATTAAATGAAATTTAATGAACAATTATATATAAGAACATATATGAATAATCATATTTGCAGTAAGGGTTGCAAAGAAAAACAAATGGTCCTGCTTGGCCAAAAAAAAGAATGCATGGCCAAGGAAGACTACCTGGTTTGGGGAAGGCCTCTCTGAAGAAAATATTTATGCTAGGATCACAGAATGAGCATGAATGAAGATGAGGAGAGAAAAAAGGAGGAGAAAGAAATCCATGAAGAAATGTACATGCATTATCTCAATTTTCACAAGATTCCTATGCTAATTACTATCAACCTCATTTTACAGATGAGGGAACTGATGTTTGGTGAAATCACTGTACCTAAAGTCACACAGCCAACAGAACCTGTTGAGACTCAGATCAGCCAGATTCTGGAGCCTCTGTTCATGGTTTCATGGGCAGGGGATCTTTCCACAGTATCATGCTGCCTCAACTGCTGTCTATAACTGGATAGCAAGCAGACAGACAGATGTCACAGTTCAAACCTTTTTTTTTTTTTTTGAGACAGTGCTCCACTCTGTCACCCAGGCTGGAGTGCAGTGACACAATCTCAGCTCACTGCAACCCCCCACCTCCCAGGCTCAACTGATCCTCCCACCTCAGTCTCCTGAGTAGCCTGGACTACAGGTGGCACTAACACACCTGTTTTTTTTTTGTTTTGTTTTGTTTTTTGAGACAGGGTTTCACCATGTTGCCCAGGCTGGTTTCGAACTCCTGGCCTCAAGTGATCCGCCCACCCTGGCCTCCCAAAGTGCTGAGATTACAGGTGTGAGCCACCACGCCAGGCCTCAAGCATCTTTTTACCCAAATACATGGGTGCCAAGATGCAAGCCTTAACCATACATGTCCATAACATTTTACGGACATGCAAAAGCTTTTGTGAAAAACCCAGAAGAGAAAATGCATAGCTCTGGTAGAAGAACCAACTGCCAAGATGTCGAAATGGCTCTATATTATCAAATAATATAGATAATGATAATACGGAAAAGCTTTTTGTGAAAGCTTTTTTAAAAATTAAAAAATCAAATCTTGTCATTGGAAATGTTATACACTCAAGAAAAATTAGGGGGTTATTTAATGAACAGGGATGTTATTTAAAATAGAGTTGATGCTGAAAGCCAGTTTCATTCTATGTTAAGCCAGTTCACTGGGCCCCCCCCAAAAATCAATTAAAACAAACTTTTCTAACATGGGGAGATAAAACAAGAATATTCACTGACAAGAACAAAGACACATTTTAAGCTATTACTCACTATGTATCAGATATGAGCATCTGCCCCAAACCAAAAAAAAATTATGTAACTTGTCAAAACCTAGTTTTAACAGTAATACAAACTTTTAAATATCGCTTTCTAGAAGAGAAGATACATAGCTCTGGTATAAGAACCAATTGCCAAGACACCAAAATGGTTCTACATTAGCAAAACATATATGCCCAAAAGAAACCACACCATTTCACGTGTTCAACGTAGGGTATTATCACCAATAAACAATTCTCACTCGTTTTAGTACTCTGGAAGTAGGATTTCAAAGCAAAAGCTTAACTTTTTAAATACCTAGCTGGCTTACGCAGTGCAATATTTCCAAATCATTTTGTTTCCATATAAAAAAATAATAATCAAACTAAGGCTGCTGGTAGCCAGTATTAACAAATAAGATCTTTCTTCAATTACCCAATATGAACGAACCTTCAATGATTATTTTAGTCACATGAAGTCTACATTTCACTTTCAAACACTCTATGGTAAACTTTACAACTCTAGCTTAAAATTGTAGCACTGACATAAGGCAAGATTTCAAAAAGCTTTCTTCATTTGGGAGCAACTGAGGAGAAATTTTAGGTAATTTAATATAATTTGCTGATTTTTCCAAGTAATTAAACACAAATTTTAACTCTCCAAACTTTTTAATCCAAAGTTGAGCAAGCTTTGGGTCATAAATTACCACCTCTCTAGCCATCAGAAAATTGCCCAACAGTCAAGATAACATCTGGTAAAAAGTCTTTTAAAAGGCAAAACCACCATATATACATAAGGTGCTATTACACTGGTCACACAATTCACTTTCACAGAGCAAACTGTTAGTATCAAGTTTCAGGAAACATTACTAATAGTTTCACGTAATATCTTTACTTCTAAATCGAAAATAGACGAACATATATGGAGGTAAAATCACCAAAACACTCAACAGAAAGTAAAGATTCTTGGTTCAGTTTAAATAACTGCTTATGATTACTACAAAATAAGACTAACACAACTTTGGGGATGAGGAACTAAATTCTTGATAAAGACTTTCTGGAAGTTTTTGGGTTTTGCTGGGTTTAGATAAGTTTTTTCTTGGGGAGGGGTGAAACTGCTTCCTGTGTGTGTACAGGAAACGTGAAAGCCTTCTCAAATATGAGGAAAGCTAATGCCAAAGCAAAGACAAACTGGCACACGCCTAATCACAAATACCAAGAAAGTCACAAGTGAAGCCCACTCTTCTACTAATCTTGTGTTCAGTGGCACAAGATTATAAGGCAATTCCCTTCTCGCCTATAATACAGTTAATTCTATCCACATTTTCTTCTCATAACTAGATACTTGTCAACCATAAACAGACACACGAAAACACCTCAGGGCAGCCTAAATTTCCAAGCTATTTCTTAAAAAAAAAAAAAAGGTTTTCAAGTGAAAACAAAGATTCAATCCAAATTAACACTTCGTGTAGTTACAAAACAAAATGCATGCCAAAGGTCACTGTATACCATGTTTATAACAAGGTATCTTGAATTTTCCTTTTGCAGATAGTCATAGCCCTCTAAAAACCTAATGTAAATTACCTAAATACATTGTTGCAGTTACCTAGGCCTCTCCACCCCCATATCTTTAAGTCATAAACAGTAACTCTCCATAAGTAACACGAAGGAGCAAACATCAGACAATATTTTGGAGGGGAAAAAAAATTTAACAAATGGTCGTTTTTACTGTCCACATTCCCTAACAAGACATTACACTAATATGGAATGTTTTAAATTATCTTAAATGTTACTGCCTCTAAAAAACTGGACTTATTTTTAGATATCTTGCACACAATAATGTGTTAAGTTTCTAATAGGTTCCACCAAAATATTGTTAAAAGGTTTAAGAGATGATCTTATACTTAGATCTCAAAACAAAGATCTCACTAGGTCATTTAGTCCATTTCCCACCCCTACCAATAATTACCATTCATTCAGGTCTATTCCTTCAAATATTTTTTCAACACCCACCAGGTAAAAAGGAGTGTGCCTTCATGGCGCAAACACAAGGGGTGACCCTTCCTCCTGCAATAATCTCTGAGCTTATGCCTCTCGAGGTAAAAATGAACTTTTTACAAGAGAACTTTTTACTAGTCTTAACAAGAGAACTAGGTGTAGACATTGACAGAAATCCTTAACTTTCTGGCATGGTTTGAAGTATAAATAAATTTGGACAGCTACCATAAACACCACTGCTATACCAGGGAAAATCCTCCAAAGTACTGGGATACCTGAAGTATGCGTAAAAAATCTTGACTATAATCAAGTAAGCTTTTTTCATAACCAGTTTCTTTGAAATGATCTTCTGCAGCTTAAAACCTTAACACATGAAACTTTAGTTCTGGTCTCACATTTTTAAAAGTCTACTTGAAAACAATATTATCCTAAAGTAACTGATCAAGACATGAGAAATTAAACAACACAAAAGCTAAAGGTAATTCCCCTGAGTTATTAAAACACCTCAAAATCAAAATGCTAAATATATTCATTAATACTTTGGACACATAAACTATAAAAGGGTCACAGAGGAACCCTTAAGCATTCAAAGAATAACTAAAAATAACTTTACACAAAACTTTCTTATGACTCATCAATACTCAAAAAATGACTATAATCAAAATTGTTTGAAGTACAAAACACATCAAGGAATATCTTTAATTCCTTTCATTCAAAAATTGACTACATAGTTTTCTTGGGGGGGGAAAGGCCTGAAAAGTTTATTAACAGGCCTCATCACCATTACCTTACCTTTTGGCCTCGGCAAGCCACAAAGGTAATTCCACGCTAAAAACCTTACGGGGACACATCTCTAGGTTAGAACCCTGAGTCATTAAACACGAATCACTCCAAAATTTGCCAGTATTTCTAATAATGAGTTACACCCTAATGATTCACAACTCCAGACTGGCTACAGCCTTCTGGCTCCTGGAGTCCCAGCTGTATGACCTTAGACCAGTCAGTGCCCCTCTCCAGACTCACTCTCCTCATCTATAAAATGGGAACAGTTCCTACCGGCTGGGCAAGCTGGTCGATCCACTGAAAACCCTAAAAACAGAGCCTGGCACTTGTGAAAACAACGTTCTAAGGCGTATTTTCTGACAATTTGGGCGGAATTCAAGAACCAAATGGTGCTAGCATTCCTGCGCTGTGCCCAGATTATGGGATTCGTGTCACCTAGGGTTGGGCGAAAGGCACAGGCAAGTAACCAGAGTCACTGACTCACTAATTTTACCATTTTTAACTATTTCAGATTAGGGAGGAGCCTTTCGCCAAGTACTGAGCTACTCAGCAGCTTTGGTGGCTCCGAAGCGAGAGTGGGTTTGTGCCTATAAATAGACTGGTGAAGTTTTGTGGCGATACACAGGTATCTATTCTAATTCACCTCTCCTCAGCCACCAACTCCCCCGGCTGCCGGGCAGGTCATCCCTCCACCCCGAGCCGCCGGGGACACTCGCGCTCCCCGCCCAACTTCGGAGGCCAGTGAGTGCCCCTCGCTCCAGCGCGGACCCCCAGGGCCGCCGAGGCAGCGGCTCCCGACCTTCGCCGGCGCCCGGCCCGGCCCGGCCCCGCCGTCCTCGCCCACCCGGCAGCCGGCCCCATTTTCTTAACCCGTGCATTGTCCTTGCGAATCACCCCGGCGGTTCCCACACTGGTGGGGACCGAGAGGAGGGACGAGGGAGGAGCTGGGGGAAGAGGATGAGGAGGAAGAGGAGGAGGAGGAGGAGGAAGACAACCTCCACCCCTTCGCTCGGGCGGCCAGTGAAGGTCTGGCGCTGTCTACGGCCCCCCAGGCCCCGGCTCCCGGGAGGCCGCGGCCCCCGCTCCCACCCTCCGCAACTTTCCCTCCGCTCGCGCCCGCCGCTCCTCCGGGACCCGGCCTGAGGCTCCCTCCCCCGGCGGCCGGCCCTGGGCCCGCGGCGCCTCCTCCTAAAATGGCAGGTCCCTCCCTCCGCCCGGCCGGCCTCGGCTCCGGCCCGGCTGCGGGCCGCCGGGGGAGCCGAGCGCCAGGCCGGGCGGGGCCGCGGCCGGGCCGGACACTCACCGGGACGATGGCGGGGCGCTCGCGCCGCTTCCTCCGGTGAGTCTCAGCCTCGGGCTCCCGCGCCGCGCTCCCGCCGCGGCCTCCGCAGCCAGCGCCGCCCCGGCAGCCTCTCTCCGCCCCCGGCGCTCCGGCTCCTGGCCGCGCCGCAGCCTGCTCAGTCTCTCCTCGGCTCGCGGTTCCAGCGGCGCCCGGGGCCGGGGAGGCGACAGCCCCCTCCCCGGCAAATACCGCAGTCCCCGGGCCCCGATTCCAGGCGGCGGGGCCGCACGGCCGGCCCGGCGCAGAGGGCGGCGTCGGCGAGGCCGGGCGCCGAGCGGCGGCTGCTGCCGGCGGCTTCTTCCCGAGGAGGATTTTGTAAATCTCACAAAATGGCGCGCGCTCCGAACCTGCGCAGCGAGAAGCGCCGGGGCCCGGGCGGCGGCGGCGGCTCCTCCGCCAGGAGAGCCCGAACCGCCCGCCCCCGAGTCCCCGCACAGACAGACAGACACTCGCACACACCCGCACACTCGCGCGCACAATCGCCCTCGCACACGCTCCCTCGCACACACACTCGCACTCACACCGGTCCCGCCTGCTCGCCGGCGGCGGCAGCGGCACCAACAGCAGCAGCAGGAACAGCAGCAGCAGAAGCGGCGGCGGCGGCGCCCGCACCCCCCGCTCGGGGTGTCCGCTCTCTGAGGCCGACCTGGGCCGCGATCAGCAGCAGCGACAGCAGCAGTCTCCCCGGATACCCCCGCCGCGGTTGCCGCCGCCACCCCCGCCTCACTCCAATGGGGCTTTTTATTATTATTCGGGCGGGAAGCGAAAGGGTTTAAAAAAAAACCAACCAACAAAATGGCGACGGACCGACCCGGTCGCTATAGCAACTGTCAATCAAAACGCAAAACCCCGGCTGACGTGCTGACGTCCTCCTCCCGCCCCCCAGCCCCGAGCCGGCGGGCGGGGCCTGTTGCTCAGGTAACGGCAGATTCCGTTCCCTCCTTTCCGTCTCCCCCTCTGTCCCCAGCCAACCACCCAACCCCCTCAGGTCACGTGAAGGATAAATTCGGAGCTCGGGTCCGCTACGAGTGTCAGAGGAGGGCGCGTGATTCGCCCGGGGGAGGGGAGAGGAGGGGGACGGCTAGGCCGAGGGAGGGTAGGGGCTGGGGAAGGGGGGGCGAGGCGGCGGCCAGGCCTGTGCGCGATCGCCCGCCGCCTCCCGGCCGCCCCGCCCCGCCCCGCGCCCGCGCCGACTGCGGCCCGGGGAGCGCGCGCGGCCTCCCGCGCCGCCGCCCCCGCAGCCCTAGCGCCCCGCGCTTCCGCGTCGGCGCCCGCAGCCCCGCCCGCGCCGGGGGGAGGGGCGGGCTGCCCCGGGCGGGGGAGGGGGAGGAGGAGGGGCGCCGCGGCCTTCGGGCGGGGACCCGGGAAGCCCACCCCGCGCGCCCGGGCCTGGAGGGCTCTCACCGCGGTCCGGGCGCCGCGCTCGCCTCTCTCCCCGGGAAGCGCGGCGGCCGCGACCGTCCGCGCGTGGAGCCGGTTCTTCGAAGGGCTGGCGGGCCTCCTAGCCGGAAAATGCCGGCGGAGGCCGTGGTGGGGGCGGGGAGGAGCCACCGCCGCGCCCCAGACATCGCAGGAATTCCGGACGCTGCGCCGGGCCCGGCGGCCCTGAGGCTGGCACCTGGCTCCGGTCGGGCCGCCCAGGTTTTGTGGCGCCCGAGACCAGCGTTGGGAAATTAGGCTGGAGCCATCATGAAAACTTTTTCAGGCAGTGCACGCTCGCCTGTGCCTGCCCATCTGCTTCCAACCTCTCCCCACCTTTCGGGGCGCAGCCTGCCTGCTCCATCGGAATGCCCTTTAGATGAATCCCCTTGTGCTGTTACTGTGTCCTTGTCGTCCAGCTCTCTGGTTTTCTTTTCTATACACCTTCTCGGTTTCCAGAGTCTTAATTCGCCTGCTTGTCCTTAACCATCAAAACTCTTTATTAATATCCTGGCTTTCGCTGATTTTTATTCTCCCTACCCCTTCTCCCTAGCTATGTATTGCTGGGTGAGCTCCCGAGGCTTGAAAACCCAAGTATGCTGTGCTGGCTGCGTTGTAATCGGTAGAGAGCCACCAGCTAAAAATTGTATTTTGTACCAACTCTAATGGCATTTAATAAATGTATACCTAAAAAGAGTGTGTGTGTATATATATACTATTTTACAGCAGAGTCACTAATTGATTTCTAAGCTTGATTTTGCCACCTTGTGATAGTGTTCGTAACCAATTTTTTTCATAAATTTCACAAATGTGACAACAGATAAAATCTTATAAACAATATTAGATGTAAAAAACTCGCAGTAAATGCCGCTGTCTATGCTACATGACTCAAATACACCTGCTTTAAATGATTTCCAGCAAAAATGTCCTTGCTACAGTTACTAGGACATTGATATACTAAGGTAACCATTCAGATTAGCACAGACTTTGAAAGAAATCCGACTAAACCGAAAATAAATTAGTCAAAAAGTAATTACTAAGGTAACCATTCAGATTAGCACAGACTTGGAAGAAACCTGACTAAACCGAAAATAAATTGGTCAAAAAGTGGTCGGGCAAATAGCTTGCTTTCAGGCTGATCTCCATGATATAAAAAAGTTGCCGTAGCTGGCAAAAGTTCTTTCGGATTATTGTTTCAAAATTGCCCTGCTAGTGTGATTAAGGTCCACGGTCAACTTAATTGTTTTGAAGAAAGAGGAAGTGGCCCAGAGCGCCCCTTATTCAGAGGAGAGGTCCCTACCTGGTTCCTCCCAAGCTCAAGCTTCCACCTATACAACCAACTTCTTCCTCTCTGCTTGTGGGTCTCCTTCCTGCCCCCACCCCATCCCACCCCATTCACCAAGCTTTCGCTTCTATCAGAGCACATCAGCATTTGCAACCTTTAATACTAAATTAAATTTGACTCAAATTTTTATTCCTGGTAATGGAAGAAACTTGTATAGTTAATCTTCCAGGTAACCTGAACAGAATATGATAATGTCTCAAGATATGTGTCCTTGTCTTCAGTTCAAATCAACCTAGAAGATATCGGAGTGGGGCAGAATCTTGAGATTATAAACATGCGGGTATAGAAGGCATTGCTGGTCTTCGTATCTAGAAGGCTGCACCCCTTTTCTCCCCAGTGTGACAGCCTTAGACAACATTGGTCAATGAATGTCATATCCAGGTTGGAATGCTGTAAAATGGTTTTATACAGGCTTCACCTAAAAACGTAACCTGTGAATTACAGCTGGCTCCAAACAAGTGACCACATGTAGGCCGGAAGGACTCTGGTATAGATGCCAGCTGACCTGGTTCACAGATGAAATCCTTGTCATCTAAGAATCTTCCCATTAGATTCACTTACAGATGTGTTTATTCA